>NC_000021.9:37674203-37984157 GCF_000001405.40 Homo sapiens | reverse complement strand
ATGAATGAATAAATAAATTTTTAAGTCTGTTTGATGTTTATTTAATTTTTCTCAGGAAATTACTGAACATCCTGCAAATAGACTTATTTGCAATGTTTAATCTCCTGGGCACAAGTTTTCTGGCATAATAAAGTTTGGTGACGAAGACAGTGGAATAGTGAGGGCAGGTCGAGGTCAATGTAGACACTAAGTTTTATGAGTTCTGAGTTCCATACCTGGGGGTATTTTAAGTGAGACACACTGAAGGAATGTCAGTAAAGTGAGTCAGTGGGAACTGAAGCTATGAGAAAAGGCTCTCTGGAAAATGGGGCACTGGGGCTGAACGTCAGGGGTGAGTTGGATTTGTGTGGGACAGGAAGAAAGGCATCCCAGGAGGTGGGAAAGTAAATGTTTGGAGTTAGAAAATGTAGCTGGTGGTTGAAAACAATGTTGAGCCCATCTTTGCTTCGAGACAAAGCAATCCTGGAACATAAGGTTGGACAGGAAGATGTCAGATCTTTGCAAGTCTTAGATGAAAGGAAGACTTCCCACTTCATCCTTTACAGTGAGGATTCCCCTGAAGGGAGCTTTGAGATTTTCATGAAACTGGTCATTTAGAGAGTTCAGTACTGCTGAGTACTTGGCAACCTACAGGGAAGAAGAATCAAAGGCAGGAATATCAAGTCAGGAAGCCAGCATACTAATTCTGTTGTGAAGTCATACAATGGCATTCCATGCGTCTGTTTCTGCATCTAGGCATATATCATTTTAGATAGAGGGGTATTGCCTGTCAAAGATTTTGTCAAATCTTTGACAGGCAATACCCCTCTATCTAAAATGATAAATAATACCAAAAGAAGATCCTGGAGTTGTCTGATATTTTGTGTAAAATATATTTCTAACTCTTTCTAAAAAAGAAATCTAGAGGAAGGTAAGGAGGAAGGAAAGAAGGAAGGAAGGAGGGAAAGAAGGAGAGGGAAGAGAAGGAAGGAAGGAGGGAAGGAAGGAAGGAAAGGAGGGAGGGGGAGGAAGGAAGGAAGGAAGGTAGGAAGGGAGGGAGGGAGGAAGTAAGGAAAAGGAAGGGCTGGGAAAGGAAGGAAGGGAGGGAGGAAGGGAGGAAGGAAGGAAAAGGAAGGGAAGGGGAAGGAAGGAAGGAAAGGAGGTGGGGAGAGAGGGAAAGGAAGGAGGGGACAAAGAGAAAAAAGCTCAAACTTTACAAGCTGATAGTTGACATTAGTCTAAAATTGTTCTAATATTAATAACATCATCTAAAATTACCTTATTTAATAGTATTTCTTCTATAATAATATTTTCATTGAATACAAGGTGCAGATCTAAACCTCACTAGAGAAAAATACACCAAGAGGCACATAAGTAAAGAAAAATAAACTTTTATTAGCCCAGTGAGGCATGAGTTTGATGTTCTTAAGAATCAGAGGCAAGCAAGCATATAAGTGTGACCTATGTTGGTAGTTTAACCCGGGAAGGAAATCCCACTTCCTTCTGATTCATAGCTCCTTCCAAGAGTAGAAGAAAGGGACATTATGTGTTTGCCCAAAGGTGTTCAGGCTGAAGAGGGGTAAGGAAATGCATTTAGCAACATAAAGGGCTTAAGAAAAATGGCTTCTAAGTGTAAATCAGAAAGAGTGATGAGAGACTTTTATTCAAAATCCACGAGCCAGGTGTACTATACCCTGCGCCAGGTTAAATGCTCACAGCCCTTGTATTCAGATGGAGGCCTCCATGTGGGACAGCACAGTACAAACACACAGGCTGTATAAACAACACACCACTGCACATGCCACAGCCCCAGGAAGGTGAGTTATGGGAGTGATTGGGGATTACGGGTCTGCTCCATTGTAGAGGACAGACATACAAGTAGAGAAAGAGAATTTTGAGGGAAATTACTATTTCAAACCATTTTCATATATTGAGAATTTCTCTTTTCCATCCAGCCCCCCTCCCAAGTGACCATCTGAATTGAGATACCCTTCCTGATGGCCAATGAGCTACATGCACAGAATCTAAATTATAAAAGGACTTCACACATGCTCTCCTAATTTGCATGATTCAAAGACAACGACCACAGACCAGACTTCCCACAAGGGGGAAACGACAAAGACGGGGTTGGGAGGGGTTTGCCTAGGTCTAAAGCTTTAAGCTTGAGTACACAATTGAAATTTTGATTCAGTACCCCAGAGGTGAGAGTTCTTTAATATTCCTAATTTATCCCACAAATAGAATTTCCTCTAGGCCCCAGCGCTCAAAGATGCCATTACTCACTGTGGTTTGAAATGGAAAATGGAAAGGGATTCTTTTCTTATTTTAGGAAGTCAAAAGGTGGGGCTGAAAAGCAAGCATCTTGTTGTTGTTTAACGAACTTGGGTCTAAATATCAGTATAGCTTAGTCTGTTCCATCAATGATTTCACCTCGACTCCTGCTTAGCCGCCAAGATGCCTTTCTTTGGCCCCTCTTGCAACCAGGTGGAATCTAAGGATAAGAGTTTCCACATTTGGCCAGGCGCGCTGGCTCACACCTGTAATCCCAGCACTTTGGGAGGCCGAGGCGGGCGGATCACGAGGTCAGGAGATTGAGACCATCCTGGCTAACATGGTGAAACCCCGTCTCTACTTAAAAAATACAAAAAATTAGCCGGGCGTGGTGGCGGGTGCCTGTAGTCCCAGCTACTCGGGAGGCTGAGGCAGGAGAATGGTGTGAACCCGGGAGGCGGAGCTTGCAGTGAGCCGAGATCGCGCCACTGCACTCCAGCCTGGGCGACAGAGCGAGACTCCGTCTCAAAAAAAAAAAAAAAAAAAAAGAGTTTCCACATTTTGGCCCTCACTTCAGCACCCATCTCCTCTGCATGGTTGAGAATCCTGCCACACACCTGGTTATTTCGCAGGGAGGGGGTCAGCAGGTCGAGGAGCTCAGGGCCCCTACTTCCCACAGCACAAGAGATAACTTTCTGCAGACAAGATACACGAGGAGTGTATGAAAGTCAAAATAAAACACCGTCTTGAAAAACAGCTGGCTCGCTGGCTCCCTGTGAAGTGATAAGAATCTGTTCATTGGTTTTAGATTCAAATCAATTACTATTCAGAGGAATCCATCAGCTCTCCACCACCGTCACCCATCCCATTTGTTCTTTTATTAATTCTAGTTATTTGTGTGTGGAACTGGGGGTGATCATTCCTCTGGGCCTGTGTTCTAACTAAGTTCCTTTAAAAAAAAATCCCGGTTTTTTTTTTTTTTTTCTAAATAGAAAAGCAATCTATGCCTGTTATATAAAATACAATAGTAAGGATAACAATTGTTCTTTTATCTTTTACCTTCTAAGTGTCGTATTGTGATATTTCACATGATTTCTTACATCACCCTCACAATTAACATAAGTAGATATTACTTATTCCTAATTTATAGATGAAACAACTGAGATTTAGGGAAGCTCAGAATTTGGCCATGACCATTCAGATGGCAGGTGTGAGAATATAATCTAGTCACTCTGGTCCAGAATGGGCACTCACTCTGTCCTGTTAGGTATAGCAAAATGTGGGAAAATCAGACATAAAAGTTCCCCCCATTGCTGCCATGCAGAGATGACTGCAATTATAGTTTGGAGACTTACCATTAATTTTCCACTCATTTGTAACTGACCAAACAATTCATGCAGACAGAACCATTTTGTAACTTGCTTTTCCCCCATTTAACAGTATGTCTCTAACGTCTTTCTACATCAGTACATGTAGATCATTCATTTTCTTCTGTGTACTCTTCTTGCAGCTTTGCTGGTAGTGTCTTCTCTTCTGCAGCCCTGGCCTGGAGGCAAGTGTGATCTCTCTGCAGCATTTGACACAGTGTTCCCTCTCTCCCTCCAGAGCAGACTTTCTTTCCCTCCATCAAAACACCAGCACTGAGTTTCACGTCATCAGAATACACCACTTTCCTGCCCTGCTGGTCATCATCCTTGACCGACTCCCATTCACTGCCGCTCATTCCTTGGAGATTTAGCTCCTAGTTTACTGACATGTTCATCAACACTACTGAGGATATCAACAATTCGAGGTTTCAATATCCATGAGATAAATCTTCCAGTATTCTGTCTTCTCCATTCCCTGACCTCCTCTCTTGCAAAGATTTTACCTTCACTTTCTCTCAACCTCTTCCTTCCTAGACCTTGTCATCCTCAATCATTTTATTTTGTTTGGTTTCAGGCATTTCACTTTCCCAGCACTACCTCACATTTCCCAACATCTTTCTTGCACTAACTCAGTTCCGACTTCTTCAGCACCAACAGGATCAACCACGCAAATTCTACTTTTTCCTATCCCTTACCATCGTTTCGTCCTTACCAACATCTTAAGCCAACTTGCAGTCTATGGTCAATCAAGATAATAACTTCATCAATTTCCCTCTCCCCTTCTAACTTAGTATTGCTAACTTGGCAAAACCAAAACACTATTAAAACCCAAGTCTACGCTCATTGCCCACCTACACTGGCAGGGCTGCATAAGAGTGGAGGAAAACTCAGTGTTGCAAACTGGCCTCATTTTAAATGATTGGATAGTAATCCTGCATCAGTGCCCATTTAGAATGCCATCTCTCTTATTCCAGAGGAACCCTTCCCAATGCCTAGCAAAGGCCAGTGCCCTACTTGCATTCCTGATCCCTTCCCTCCTCCCTAGTCAAGGACCTCCCTCTTGTACATCTGCTCACTTTCTCCTGAACCATTTATTTTTTCTCTCTGTTGCTAATCTTTCTCATCAGCAAACATACATGCTATTACCTCTCCCGTCTAAGAAACAGGCAAACAAACAAAACTCTGAACCTTCCTTCCCCTCCAGTCACCATTCTACCATTCCTTTTCCCTTTTCCCTTCCAAGTAAAACTCCTTCAAGGAGCAAACTATTCTCATTGTTGCTAATCTCTTTCCTCCTATACCTCCCCAACTTTTCTAATTGGAGCAAAATTGGCAAACAGTAAAAGGCACATATCTTAAGTATATAGTTTGGTGAATTTTGAAAGATGTATGCACCCACACAACTCCCACCATGATTAAGATCATCAAGGTGGAAAGCTTTTCCATCACTCAGAAACCTCTACTGAGTCCCCACTCCCAAGAGCAACCATTGTTCTGATTTCTATCAGCCTAAGTTAGTGTTGCCTGTTCTTTCCTGTCACATCAATTAAATTATGCTGTGTATATTCTTTGTGACTAGCTTCTTTATACGCAACGCAATGTTTTATGGATTCTCTTATGCTGTTACCTGTATCAGTGACAAACACTTTTGTGTGTATACCACAATTTTCCCTTTATTAATTAAATTTTTAGTAATTTTCCCTTCAATGATTACACGGATTATTTTCAGTGTTTGACTGGCATGAGTAACCTCCTATAAATATTCTTATGCAAGACATTTTGTGGACAAATATTTTCATTTTCATTTGTCTTGGGCTATACCTTGGAATAGAATAGATAGGTCATTAAGAAGGTGTATAGACCAGGTGCAGTGGCTCATGTCTGTAATCCCAGCACTTTGTGAGGCCACAGCAGGAGGACTGCTCGAGCCCAGGTGTTCAAGACCAGCCTGGGCAACGTGACGAAACCCAGTCTCTACAAAAAATACAAAAATTAGCCAGGCATGGCGGTGCACGTGTTTAGTCCCGGCTACTTGGGAGGCTGACATGGGAGGATCACCTGAGCCTGGGGAGGTAGAGGCTGCAGTGACCCATGACCATGCCACTGTACTCCAGCCTGAGTGACAGAGGGAAACTCTGCCTCAAAAAACAAAACAAAACAAAAACACACACAAAAAAAAAACAAAGAAGAAGAAGAAGGAGGAGGAGGTATATAGTTAACTTTGTGAAAAGCTGTCAAACAGTTTCCAAAGTGGTTGTGTCATCTTAGGCTACCATCAGCTGTGTATGAGAGTTGCAGTTGCTCTGCATCCTCACAAACATTTGATGTTATCAATCTTTTTAATTTTAGCTAATTCTAGAGGGTGTGAAATTGCATCTTGTGGTTTTAATTTGCATTTTCCTAGTGACTAATGTTGTTGAGCATCTTTTCATATTCCTATTGGCTATTCCTGTATCTTCTTTTGTGGAGTTTCTGTTAAGAATTTTGCTCCATTTTTTTATTGGATTGTGGCTTTTTCCATATTGATTTGTAGGAGTTCTTTATGTGCTCTGGGTACAAAGCCTTTGTCAAGTATATGTGTTGCTAATACTTTCTCAGAGTCTGCAGTTTGCCTTTGCATTTCCTTAATAGTATTTATCAATAAGTAGTAGTTTCTAATTTTGCTACTGTGGTCATATATTTTGCTTTTACCTTAAGCTGCCATTTGTTCTTTAAATAAATTAAGAGGGCCTTCTGTTCTCATCTAGTAGTGTTCTTCCCTTAACCAATCCTGCAAATTAATTCCTTCAAATTGTCTGTGGCCTATGATGAGTTTTATTGCCACCCAGGTTAGCCTTTTTTACAACAGTAATTTCACACTGATGTGTGTCAAAAACACAGTGGTGTAATGACAACTTACTGAGGATGATATAATGAGCTCTCTCATTTCACAAAGCCCCCCATGATCTCACCCCGATCAGTCTTTCCAGCCTAATGTTATAACCTTCCTCCCTTCTCCCATAGGTTCCAAGCCCCAGCGTTATGGTTCCTCCTCTTTTTTCACCTTCACATGGTTGGTTTCTTCTTCATCTTCAAATGTCACTTACATTTCCTGACCAATTTAGAGTAGGCATCATAGTTCTTCTCTATTGCATCTCTCTACTTCAGTCTCTACAGATGCCACTATCAATATTTCACTGTTGCTTCATTGATTAACTCTTTTTACTCTCTCCTTTCATTCTCCAGCTCTAAGCTCCATGACAACAGGGACCACATTTCTCTTATTTCTTTGCTGTATTCCAGCACCTACAATAGTGTGCTCGACATATGAGTTGAATGAATAAATGAATGAGATGGTAAAATCCCCTCCCACCCCCCAAAATCAACTATTTTGCTTTGCTTTCCTTCATTTTGTTTTGTTTTCCTTAAGCTAAAAGAATCTGGTTTTATTTTCTAGGTATCAGACAGCGCTTGTTAAAAATATTGCTGGCTCAGTCTAGCAGTCATTCTTAAGATGTCTACTTTATTTTTTAAAACTTACTTATTTGATGTATTAATTATACATCCTGATTGTTCTATTAATTCCATTTCCTCAAGCAGATGATTTTCCATTTATTGAGCCTGTTGTCGCTCTCTAACATTGTTAGAGATCAAATGTCTCAGGAAGGGGAGACATAATGGAGTGAATCTGGCTGATGACCACCATGGTCATTCCCCAGCAAACCACCCCTTAGGTTTCCCCTGGACTCTGCCTGCCCCGACTTCTTCCATCTCAGATAAGGAGGACCCTGTATGCTGCTAACATCTATGGACGTGTATGCATGGCCATCTCTTGGCTTGTGGCATCCCTCTTCCATCGTGTCCCATCTGCTCTCAACCTTTTAGGGATTATAGAGTAGGTGGGAAAGGGCAGCATGCTTCTAATCCACCGTTTTGGAAACAAAGACAATAAAACTTGAAATCAATTTCCAGAGTTTTCAAAAGCTCAAAGCTTAAGTTCAGGGACTCTTACCGTGACTGCAAAATTAATTCACAAATAGGCCGGGCACGGTGGCTCACGCCTGTAATCCCAGCATTTTGGAAGGCCAAAATGGGCAGATCATGAGGTCAGGAGATCGAGACCATCCTGGCTAACACGGTGAAACCCCGTCTCTACTAAAAATACGAAAAAATTAGCCAGGCGTGGTGGCCGGCGCCTGTAGTTCCAGCTACTGGGGAGGCTGAGGCAGGAGAATGGCGTGAATCCAGGAGGCGGAGCTTGCAGTGAGCCGAGATCGCGCCACTGCACTCCAGCCTGGGCGACAGAGCGAGACTCCATCTCAAAAAAAAAAAAAAAAAAAAAAAAAAAATTAATTAATTCACAAACAAGGCTGCCTGCTCCACGTGTAATTTATGTTTCCCAGTGAAATTACCCCTGAAAACTAAAGGAAAGTTTGTTTTGAGATGTCCATGATGTGATTTCATATTGGATATTGGTTTTGGAATTAAAATAGAAAAAAAATTAGCTGGGAGTTTAAACTTAGGTTAAATAATCCTATCTCAACCACTAAATAAGCAGATGGACCTTTGACAAATCACTAGACTCTTTTTTTTTTTTCCTGTAGAGTCAGGGTCTTGCTATGTTGCCCAGGCTGGTCTCAAACTCCTAACATCAAGTGATCCTCCCACCTCAGCTTACCAAAGTGCAGGATTATAGGTACCTGCCACCATGCCCAGCCACCAGACTCCTTAAGTTTCAACTTAATGACAGGAATTGGACCAGATAAACTTCAAAGTTACTTCCAATTCCATGACACAATGAAAAGTGAAAGAAAGGGTGAACTCAACTGACATTACTCCAGTGCAACTCTTTAATTTTTTTACATAACTGCTAACTAACAGCTGAACCTCATGGGGTAGTAATAATGGCCATATGCTCTGTTCATGAATGGGAGGACACTGATGAGAGTAATTCTGGAAGTATGTAATTGTCCTCTGTGTAAAATTCAGCCTGGGAGATATAGGAGTAATTAGAGATAAAGAAGCCAAAAGAAAGTGACTAGAAATGGTCAGGAACGTTGAAGGAAAATCAGGAGTAAGTAACATGAAGGAGGCAATAGCAGTGAGGGAGAGAGGTGGAATGACAAAGACAGGGGACAATATATGAAAGTGATGAAAGTGTAGATGGAGCAGTGGCTTCAATGTTGGCTACAGGTGGTTTTGCTTCATGGCTCAAGAGAACAGAATGGTGAAGGGAATGAGAGGGGGAAGGCTCTATCTCCTGCTGCAGAGAGCCCCTTTTCCTTTGGCAATGACAGAAAATAGGACTCTTTTTTTTAAAGCTGTGTCCCAAGGGCCTTGTTTTTTCCCTCCTCTTAGGATTTGTCAGTGTCCTGGGTAGAACCTGTGCACTAGGATGGTGCTGTGCAGACCCTCCCAGTCTCCAAGGAGTTTGTATTGGTCTGTTCTCATGCTGCTAATAAAGCCATACCTGAGACTGAGTAATTTATAAAGGAAAGAGGTTTAACGGACTCACAGTTCCACATGGCTGGGGAGGCCTCACAACCGTGGTGGAAGATGAAGGAAGAGCAAAAGGATGTCTTACATGACGGCAGGCAAGGGGGAATGTGCAGGGGAACTCCCCTTTATAAAACCGTCATATCACATGAGACTTATTCACTCTTATGAGAACAGCATGGAAAGACCGGGCCCCAGGATTTAATTACCTCCCATCATGTCCCTCCCATCACATGTAGGAATTATGGAGGCTACAATTCAAGATGAGATTTTGGTGGGGACACAGCCAAACAATATCAGAGTTGATGCTCATTGGTCAGAGATGGTTTGGGAGAAAAGGTGTACTTCTCATCCCACCTCCTGCAGGCATGAACGGCACAAAAAAGTGGAGGAAAGGGGGATTCTCTCTTTCTCTGCCTAACTGCTTGAGCTAGGACATACATCTCCTGCCCTCAGACCCAGACCGGGACTTGCACCACTGACCTTTCTGGTTCTGGGCCTCCTATGCTGGGAATTACAGCACTGGCTCCCTGGTTCTTAAGTCTTTGAGCTTGGATTGGTACCTACATCACTGGCTTTTCTGGAGAAGATGGTGCTGTCCAGGGCCTTCCAGTCTCCAGGGAGTTGATGTTTACTGGTCAGGGATGGTTTGGGAGAGAAGACGTATTTGCCATCTTAACTTTGCTGCAAAACCCTCTTGCTATGGATGAGGCTCCAGGGAGAGAAAATGCTTACACACAGCCACCCAGCCAGGTCAGGAATGACTAATTCCACACTCCAAATCCAATGCTTTTCCCCATAACACTAAACTGTCACCTACGTAAAAACATGAATCACCGCATATTAGTGGTTTAACAGTGGCTGTGGGTGGTAAATGTCTTGACCTCGAGGAGTACCTGTGACATGAGGCAACTCAGCAGAGGTGAGAATGGGGATCTCAGGCCACCGTTTCAGGACCGCTCCTCCCTCACTTTGTAGGGCCTGCGCTGTACCTACCTGAGCCTGGTAGCAGAAGGAGCACCTCTCTCCATAGCCAGCGTTGAAGGGTTCCCATGGTCTCCCAGAAGGCACAAAGATAGGCTCTTAACTAAATCAAACTCACCTTAGGTAAGTCTACCTGGACTGTGGTGGTTAGTTATATATCAATTTGACTGGGTCACGAGATGCCCAGATATCTGGCTAAACATTATTTCTAGGTGTGTCTGTGAGGGTGTCTCTGGAAGAAATTAGCATTTGAATTCATGAGCTGAGTGAAGCAGATGGCCCTCTTCAATGTGGGTCAGCATTATCCCATCTGCTGCAGGCCTGGATAGCACAAAAAAGTGGAGGAAAGGGGGATTCTCTCTCTCCCTTTCTCTGTCTAACTGCTTGAGCTAGGACATAAGTCCCCTGCCCTCAGACCCAGACCAGGTCTTGCACCATTGACCTTTCTAGTTTTCAGACCTGATTGGTGGGAATCACAGCACTGGCTCCCTGGTTCTCAGGCCTTTGGGCTTGGATTGGAACTTACATCACTGGCCTCCCTGGGCCTCTGGCCTGCGGAGGGCAGATTACAAAATGTCTCAGCCTCCACAATCACGTGAGTCAATGCCTCTGTATAAATATCTTTCTTTCTCGCGTTCTCTTTGTATGTGTGTTTGTGTGTGTGTGTGTATATACATATATGTGTGCATGTGTCTCTTTATATGTGTGTGTGTATATATATATCCTATTGATTATTTTTCTCTGGAGAACCCAGACAAATACATGGATCAATGGTGATTTCTAACATGGAAGTAGCCATCCTGATGTGGCTTATTTTGGTCTGTGAATAGGGAGAGGGCCTTCTCCTCTCATGGGTCGAGCACACACTCAAGGAGGCTGTCTTCAGGCCAAGGTCACCCTTGTGAACACTGATTGGTATGAAGAAGAGGTGAACACAGGTGTGATGGAACCAACGTCTTTGTTCCCACCTAATAGCTACCTGCCTTCTCTTCCAGTTTGGGAGGGTGACGTGCCAGGTCCTGATAGGAAGGCAAAAGTGGCTCACCTCAGCTGCTCTACCAAGTACCCCACAGAGGGTAAGGAGGTTTCCAAACCAAAAAGTTTTGCCCACCCATAGTTTTTGGTTAAACCTCATGAAACTGCCAAAATTTAAATTTCTTGACTTAGAAAAATGGTAATTCTGTGGGGTTCAATCTAATAATAACTGCTATTTATTGAGCACTATGCTAAAAGCTTGCTTGTATTATCACATTTAATCCTCAAAACAGTCGTAAGTGTTAGCAACAGACATTGTTATCTTTCTTACAAATAAGGGATTGAGGCACAGAGAACTTAGATAACTTACCCCAAATAAATCATGCAGCCAACAGTTAGCAGCCTGACTCGGGCACCCACATTAGCTGCCATCTCTCAAGAAGCATGAGGACCCCTCACTAAGCAGAGGAGAGACCAGGAGACACTAGAAAGGCCATTGGACAAAATCAGAATGACAAATGGGAATTCTCATTTTCACTACACAGAGGTGTGAGAGTCCATCCCCGCCTGTTGCAAGCTTGGCAGGGGAACAGGAGAGAGAATACCTGCAGGTGCCTTGTCAAAGGAAGATGAGAACGACGCTGTGGAGGGGAAAGGGCAAGGGCCTGCCATGTCCTGAGTGATGGGAGCTGGAGGTAGCCGCCACCATCTGTGGTCTTGACCCATATGCAGTGAAGCACAGGACCTGACAATACCAATGGGCTTTGTGGCCTGTGGACCTGGGCACTATCACCCTGCTGCTTCCTGGTGGAGAAGTCTGTGAAATGCCCGTCCATAGAGGGAGGCTGCTCAGGGAGACGCCTCTGCATTGCAGAGCACAGGGTCTCCTCTCATTTCCCTCTGGCCGCCCTCCGTGATGCCAGAATATAGCCATTGTCTGGCACAAAGCAGGTATTTAATGGAGGAACATTCTCTAGTTTAAGAAAAGTGCACTGTGGCAGCCTCTGGAACACACCTGGCAGACTCCAACTACAGAGAACACCACCCACTGAGGGCTCAAGATGTGGTGCTTTGAAATCCATCATAGCTGCATTTGCAGGAGGACTTGCATCCCCAGGGCTGCTCCCAGCGAATGACTGTTTTAGGTCACTAAGGCAGACACAGGGGCCCCCAACACCCTGAGGACCCTCCAGAGACTGCAGCAGGCAGTCCAACGTGCCTTCTCTCAGCCTCCCCTCCTTCTCTCTTGACATGGAGTCAGATTTGCATCAAGGCTTAATGGCCCTCCTGGCCTTCCCTGGTTCCCTCTTTATCTTCCCTCATGTGATAGTTTCTCCTAACAAAATGCAGGCAAGTTTAATCCCATCTCAACACATGCTTCCCGGAGGACCCTGACTAATAAATAAGCTGACATGGCATGCCAGGAGATCCTGGGCCGAATTGCCTTTATGATTCTCAAGCTTTCTAATCTTTGCTACACAAATAGTGATGGCTTCCCTCTTTCTTCGGGGAAACTGCTGTAATCAGCAAATTGTCACTGTTGTACTGAAGTGACCCTGAGATATGAGTCCTTTCCCTGGAAGGTAATTTACATGCTCTGATACACGAAAAGCATGTAACACTTCAATGATGCTTAAGGCAAAGGTGCTGAGGTTTTTCTTTAATACTACAGAGCATCTCGTAGGACAGAGAAGGCTCTGCAGTGAGCCTTCTCAAGGGATGAAATGGAACTATGAGATCGAGTTTAACACCTTAGCCCCAAGGAAGTAAAAACCAGAATCAGGACACTTCCCATTTGAAGCAACACCCACTACTGGGCAAAACCATCTACATCCACCACTCCAAACTATAGGAAGGCTACTCATATCCTATCACACCTGAAAAGTAAAGCACTCAAGTAGGGGCCTCAAATTAATGTTGCCACATCTGCTCGAGTAATACCATTTGGAGTAGAGGAGTAAGAGGCAGCAAGAAAACATTCCCAAGCTTGCCAAGAATCTTGGTATCCTAGAAATTCTACCAGTGTTTTCAACAGATTAAGCTTAAAAGTAATCGGGCATAGCCCAGAAGAAGCATGCCACTCCTCATTTTTGACCAGCACCTAGTATACTAGTCTGAGGTCACCAAACTACACATTAGCAGATATTCCCGGGTACCATGGGGTGATGGGGTGAGGATGAAAGAGGTTCCCAGTCCAGCTCACACTGAAAGACTTTTCCAAAGCTCAGGGGTGATAGCAAAATCTGGATGGTTTAAAAGTTGCTTTTCCCTGAGAGTTCTGCCAGTCCCAGGGACATAGCAACCCCATGCTGCCAGACCAAGGAAACACCCCAGGAGACAGGCACGGATCACTCTCAAATGGGGAACTATGGCAAGTGCCCAAAGCTCTTAATCAGGCTGTCAACACGTGCAAAAGAAAATGAAGAATGCTCCTCGCAATCTCTATGATGAGGTTTGGAGTAAAATTATTTGTTTCCAACACAAGCTTATGATTCAGATCATTCATAGTAATTCTGCCTGAAGCCCGTGGCATTTGTACCACTGGCCAGGACATGGTCTCATTAATATTTATTTTTTTCTAGCTGAGGCAGTGATCACATATATTTGGGATTGTTTACAGGCAGGCTCTTGCCGATGTTCTGTTTCTAAAAGCTGAATTAACAACCAGAGGAAAATGGCATTTATTCCTATTTCGAGAGCAATGACAGGGGAGGTTAGAGTCTAATAACTTCTCTGAGAGTGTTAAATTGATGTTAATAATAAAAGTGAGCCTGGACCATTAAAGCCTCACAGTTATTAACTTTTATTATGAACATTAACACTGGTAACTTTACATTTATTTTTCTAACATTCACACACACACACACCACACACACACACACACACACACACACACACACACACAACACAATATTTCAAGCAAAATGGAGAGGACAAATTTACCTAAACTCAGTCCTGTTAACCTCTTGAACTCCAAAACCCAGCCGAGGCTCCATCTAGCCTCAAGTTTCTTAATTTCCTCCACAGCTACCCTTGGTTCCTTCAATCCCTCTTCTCCTAAAACAAACAAAAGCATGTTCCTTTGTCATTAAAAAAAAAAAAAAAAAGCAAAGTAAACATGCATCACACAGGCCAGCAGCCAGAAGTTTCCAATGCTCAGTGTCTGCTGCATTCTACGCCTCTATCACACAAAACTCACCACCCTCTAGTTCTGGTTGAGTCTGTTTGTATGAGTTCTAGCCCAGCCAATAGGTGATGCCCTGGACCATCCTTGGGCCACCTTGCTTCTGGGAGTCCCAGGAAAACTCATGGAGAGCAGGTTCCCTAATGGATTCATCACACAAACTATGGCATTACTTATTCTCCTCTCAGAGCCCAAGATGGGCTTTTCAAAAACCCTGGGCCTAAGAACGTGGTACAATTATGGATATTGAAATCAAATGGATCTAGATTCCAGCCCTGCCTCTGCTCTCTATTGTGTAACTCTGGGAATATTGTTTAACCTCTCTAAGCCTCAGTTTCTCCATCTGTTAAGTGAAGATGTTACTACTACCTATCTGGCAAGGTTACTGTGAAGAATAAATGGGAGGATGGGTGTCAAGCGGTTAGCAGAATGACCAAAATAGGAATGCTGATTCTTAATAGGCATTATAGTTTTATTTTAACTCTTCTCTGCTTGAGTGCAAGGACAAAGACATTGAAGGCAAGAGGACCCACTGGGTCTCACAGCACAACACTGGAGAAAGGCCTCAGGATGAAGTGGGCCATCCCATCTACACTCACAGAAGCAAAACGGGAGCTCTCTGACCTGTGTTGTACACACACGGCCAGCTCCATGGCCTTTGTCACGTGGAAAATGAGAACTGCTATGGAAACAAAGTGTGTGCTGAGAAAAAATACAAGCAGTAATAGTAGCATAGTAGGCTGCAACAAACTATGCCCACATCAGTGACAAAATATCTACCGACAAGTTACTGTTAAAATACTACAATCCAAGAAGCTGTTGTAAGCCAACGTTTTGGAAAGGTCAGTATCTAGCTATTCAAATCATATCATTACATTCTCTAGGCCAAGAGGTAGCAAGTGGGTTTTATTACAATCAACAGGAAGGGACTGCCCAGCTTTATGCTGAGAAGGACTCTAAGGCTCAGTTAGAGTGACATCACCACTTATTGATGCCGTTCAGTTGACTGGAAGAATGGGGATGTCATGCTACAAGCACATCATCCCTTCCCTAGACAAGGCAGAAATTAAAAAACACTTACACAAACACAATATTTAGAAATATTTATCTTGATCAGAAAGGAGTTGGGTCATCCTCTTCAAATAGTATTGATAGCATAACTGTTAGAGGTGCAGAGAAGGCCTGGGAAGTTCTACGCCCACCACCCACTGAGGGTGTATGCACAACCTTGGAATCCTAGCTGCTCCTTGGGTGAACCAATTGGCTGCTGATTTTACCACCTACACTTGCACTGGTCAAGGGCACTGTTGGAAGCAGCCCCTAGCCCATCCTAGGAGCCACCTACAATGGACCACCCCAGCCCTGGAATTGGAGCTCACCGCCAGGGCCTCATCACTCACACCTTCTCCCTGGCAGTTCTCCGACCCTTTGGCTGGCGATCCCAGATGCTGCAGAGTTGAGGTAGCATCATCCCTCCTGTGAGCTGCCCCAGACTCTTGCCTGGTTCTTCCAGCTGTCTGTATTATCTGGTTCTCCATCTCAGGTTTGTCTGAAGTCTTCTTATTGTAATAACAAAAACTTACTCATAAGTTTTTTGAGTAATAAATATAAATGTAAAAAGGTTAACACAGAGTTGTCATACTTCCTTCCAGGCCAGCTATTTAGACTTGAGTTGAAATCTGACCTCCTTTTCTCACCCAGTCCCATGTCCAATACACTCAGGTGTCATCCATGTTAAGGACAACAGGAATTGGTGGGGAGAGCTGGGAGATGCAGGATGCCCTCCCAACTTCTGGCTATAGCTGATTGGCTCCTGAGCAGATATTTAGTGTCTGGAAAGTCACCCTAGCACATGGGGTGCTGGACATTCCCATCCCAGCCATTCAGTAAAGTCCTAATTGATCAGCTACCGTGCACAGTCCACAGTAAATGTGTGAGGAAGAACAGGCCAGTTTCAGAGAAGACATTCAGGAAGTCAAAAATTATGAGCAGGGCTCTGGAACATACTTTAAGTAAGGCAATGGAAAAAAAAATCAGCACTTTCAAGAAAATGATAGCTGCTAAGCCTCAAACACATTCCCAAACATAAGCCTTTGAGGTTAACATGACTGCATTGGAAAATCACTAGATGTGAAATGACATTCCTATGAAGATATTGAACATGGGTTTATATGCTGCAGAATAATTGGTTTCCTTGCACAGTACTGTGAATAATAGGTGCTGCACTTGGTGTTATACTGCAACAACAAGAACTGTGGATGTCCAAGTTATCATTTTGAACTAAATGTCATATTTAGTCAACTCCAAAATTAGCTCTTTAGCTGTGGTGGTGACTGAGTAAATAGGAAGAGAAGAAAGATATTTAGGAGATTTTAAATTTCTATACTATAGTAAATTCCATCAAATTGGACTCTTTGTCACCCATGTTTCAGAATAATGAAAGAAGAAGAATAGAAGAAAATAATAAAAATAAGTTCCCTTTTATGCATGAAGTGAGTTACTGGAATTCAAAGGGTCATAAGGGTTTCTTTCATGTCTCCTTTCTTTCTGCATTCTGTCTTCCTATTTATGGCTTTTATAAACAAGCATGTGGGATGTTTTCTCCAAATAAATCCACAGATTTATTTAAGTGCATCTTATGTCATACTTGTCATGAGGGAAAAAAAACAAGAAGCATGTGGGTGCATTATTCTACTACATTGCAACACTCACAGAACATTCTGACATTAGACTTGCAAACATTTCCTATGAAACAACAAAATCTCCCATTTTTGTTAGTATCAACTTATAATAGGCTCCATTTCTTATCATATGGGACCAAGTTCTCCATAAATTTACCAGGAGTGGAAACTTTTCTCTGTGCTCAGAAATCCCCAGTGCAGAAAGAGAGATTGGAGAAAACGCCTTAGAGCAGAGCCCGCTGGAACTGAGTGGAAGGAAGTCACTTCAGCCTCCCGCGGCAGGGGTGTGGACAGTGCAGTGTCAAGTCCTGTGCATCCCGATGAGGGCTGTGGAACATGCCTGAATCCTCTTGGGTGGAGAGCAGCACCCCTCATCCCTTTCTGCTAATGCTTCCTTCTGTTTTCAGCAGTGTATTGATGTGGGGATCTCAAGTCACCAGCAAAGAGTGAATTAGAAAACCCTTTTCCAACTCCTATCTTCCATGTGAACCAAGTCCTGTTGCTGTATTTGAACAAGGGCAGGTGTTTCCAGCAGTAAAGAAGAACTTTCAGGTTACAAACTAGTTTTCTTCTTACCTTGTTTTAGACTCTTAAATGAATAAATGTAGACACCAAGGAGGCAAGAGGTTAACATAAGAAAAGGACCAAAGAGAAAAAGGGATATTTGAGAAACCTACAAAGAAGACAAAGAGAAAAGAAGAGCGGCAAGAAGAGAAGCCAGTGAGAGGGGAAGCCTGTGAGGAGTCAAGACCCCGGGCCCAGTTCAGCTGCCGTGGGCGGTGGAGGTCCGGGACAGAGAGGGTTTGTTCCATTGGTCACCACGTGACGGAGTACAGCATTCCTGTGTGTGTGTGTGTGTGTGTGTGTGTGTGCGCGCGCGCGCGCGTGTGCTTATTAAATATGTATGTAGACACATATTTTCACAGCTAGATCTCATTAAGCATTCAGAATAGGTCCAAGCAGTCTCATGTTTTTATAAGCATCATCTCTTTTAATCCTCTCAACAATCCTATGAGAGAGATACAGTTAAAATCACTCAATTACAGAAGAGGAAACCCTAACTGCTTCAGTGCCTCGCCTGAGGTTCCAAGGCTGCTAAGCAGTATTGATAATCTAATTTTAACACAGGCCGCATGTGTCCCCATATTTTAATTGTGTCATGCATTTTAATAGTTACCCAAGGACATCCTTCCTCCTCTCGAAAGCAGTAATTGGCCTGTGACCTTTTGTGGGTCTTGCCCACCACCCTTATGATTTCTAAAATCACGTTTCTGCCTCTGCCCTCGGCTGGGGTCTGCCTTTCCTTCACTGGCTCACAGGCGATGGAGTGAATTTAAAATATATCTTGAAAATGCTCGGGATGTGCCGCTCTGCTTTACCAAGCTGGGATCTTCACCTTCTACCTGCACTGGCCCAGAGCCTTAGAACCCTCTCTCTGAGCGCTTGAACCCACAAGAGCAGGTGGTGGTCCCAGCTCCAGGGGTTCTGAGCAGTGGTGCTAAACAGCTCAGGAAGTGCACACAAACGCCAGGTTTCCTGAAGTGTCACGACCAGCTATGTCCTGCTGAAAGCAGGAGAAGAGGAAAATGAAGCCAGGAGGAGCGCGCAGCCAGCAGCGTGCTGACCAGCTAACAAGGCACCTGCAGACAACCCCCACCCCACCCCGGCAGCAAGGGCAGACTGATCTCATGGACTGGGAAAATCTGGCTGGGAGAATTCCAACAGCAGTCCCAGATCCCAAGCAAGTGCCTACGAGAAGAAAGCTCAGCTCACTGCACCTGAAGGAGGGCAATCTCCAACTCAGCCCAGGTTTTCTTACTCGAAAATCATAAGAAGTCCAGCTCCGGCCCAAATCCCATGTGTGATCTTTCAGGTCCGACCACAGGCAGTGACAAGGCTTTGCCTTGCAGGCCTCTCCAGGGAAGTTGCCCTCCCCACAGCAGTCTTGGTATACAGCAAGTGTATTGCAGTCCCCAGAGGGAGCTGCAGTCAGGGACTTGAGCCCTGCCTGGCCAGCCCAACTCATGAACATATCTGCACTCCTAGTCCAGGGTCCTCTACCATAACCTCCTTATCAGGATCCATGGCTAAAGAACATCCTTGTCCCCCTTCTCTCCCCAGCCTCTGTGTCCATAAAGAGGCAGTAGACCTTAGACTGGCACTCCTCTGCAGTTTCCTATTGCCCAGGTCCATGCTGATCTTGACCTGGCACTGCTCCATGGGGGAAATGGAACACGGGGAGGGGGGTGGTTGGCACTTCTTTTTCTGCCTCTTGCTCACACTGTCATAGTAAGCAGATAGAGGCTTGATTGCTACTATCAGTTTAGCTCATTGTCCTCTTGACCACCTGGATGCCTAGTAGCTCAGCAAATACTTTGGATAGGAAGTCTTCTGGTGTTCAGTACTCATTCTGACCCTGGCACTGGCGCTTGACTCTGGGGAGACAATAATTCCAGCAATATAGGATCTCTTCCTTAGTAATCATAATTGGGCATTTTTATTTCGTGTGATCAACTGTAAGTACTCAAATTTGGTGGGGCAGTGATCTCTCACTTGATTATCACGATCTTCCAAGGAGCTCGATTTCAAGAACAGCCAGATTTTACCAATACTTCCTCATGCCACCCCAGTGGAGTCTGCATAGTCCAAATCACAGCACCCAAAGAGAAACGGATATCCTCATGTTTCCTTTGTCCCCCTAAACCACATGTGAGCATCTCTGGGCCTAGCTTATCCCCATAGCTACACCATTTTCATCTGGGGCTTTTTTTTTTTTTTATGGAGTCTCACTCTGTCACTCAGGCTGGAGTGCAATGGCATGATCTTGGCTCACGGCAACCTCCACCTCCCAGGTTCAAGCGATTCTCTTGCCTCAGCCTCCTGAGTAGCTGGGAATACAGACACGTGCCACCATGCCAGGCTAATCTTTGTATTTTTAGTAGAGGTGGGGTTTCACCATGTTGGCCAGGCTGGTCTCAAACTTCTGACCTCAGGTGATCCCCCTGCCTCGGCCTCCCAAAGTGCTGGGATTACAGGCATGAGCCACTGTGCCCAGCCTCATCTGGGGGTTTAATCAGAGCCTGAGGTCTCTAAGCTTCCGGTCATCATTCACTCATCACTACTTAGCATCTTTCCTCAATTTTTAAAAGCTTTTTACTTCACAGTAATTTTGAACTTACAAAAAAAGTTGCAAAAATAATACAAACTATTCCCATGTAGGTTTTACTCAGATTTATCAATATTTAATATTTGCCCACATTTATTTTTCATATTCTCTCTCCTTCAAAGTCTATTGGTAAATGACTGTGTATACACACACATGCACACACACATAATTTGTTTTCTCTGAAAGTTTTGAGAGTAAATTTCATACATCATGCCTCTTTACCTTTTAATACTTCAAGCCATATTTCCTAAGAACAAGGATATTCTCTTTAAAAAGAAAACCTAGGTTTTCTTCTAGGATTTTTATCGTTTTGGGTCTTACATTTAAGTCTTTAATCCATCTTCAGTTAATTTTTGTATAAGGCGTAAGGAAGGGGTCCAGTTTCAGTTTTCTGCATATGGCTAGCCGGTCTTCCCAACACCATTTATTAAATAGGGAATCCTTTCCCCATTGCTTGTTTGTGAACCATCATTCTCAGCAAACTAACACAAGAACAGAAAACCAAACACCGCATGTTCTCACTCATAAGTGGGAGTCGAACAATGAAAACACAGGGACACAGGGAGGGGAACATCACACACCGGGGTCTGTCGGGGGGTGGGGGCCTAGCGGAGGGATAGCATTAGGAGAAATACCTAATGTAGGTGATAGGTTGATGGGTGCAGCAAACCACCATGGCAAGTGTATACCTATACAAAACTGCAAGTTCTGCACATGTACCCCAGAACTTAAAGTATAATAAAAAAAAGGAAATCTAAAAAATAAATAAATAAAATAAAGCAAAAATAAAAAAAGAAAACCATAGGTAACAATTCAAGAAATTTAACATTGATCAAATCTTTTGTCTAAACACAGACTGTATTCCAATTTGCCAATAGTCAAAAAATGCTCTGTGTAGAAATCTTCCCTCCAGTTTAAGATCCAGTTTAAGATCATGAATAGCATGTATTTATTGTGTTCCCAGGCTTTTTAATCTGGACTATTTCCTCAGCCTCTCCGTAGTATGACATTGACATTTTCGAAGACTATAGGCCATTCATTTTCTAAAGAATTGCTCAAAGTGGTCTCTGATGTTTCCTTGTGCTTGGATTCAGGTACCACCTCCCTGAATGGAAATCTACATGGAGAAGATTTGTCCTTCTCAGGGCATCACATCAGAGGCCACAGTGTCCACGGCAGTTCAATGAGGATGCTCATTTTGGTCTCTGGGGCAAAGAATTGTATAGAACCTCTGCTGTACACTGACAATTTTTACTCTTGCTTTTACTTAGTGGTCAATAGGGAGACTTTTTTTTTTTTTTTTTTTTTTTTGAGATGGAGTCTCGCTCTGTCACCCAGGCTGGAGTGCAGTGGCACGATCTCAGCTCACTGCAACCTCCACCTCCCGGGTTCAAGCAATTCTCCTGCCTCAGCCTCCCGAGTAGCTGGGATTAGCGCCACCATGCCCGGCTAATTTTTGTATTTTTTTAGTAGAGGCGAGATTTCACCATGTTGATCAGGCTGGTCTTGAACCCCTGACCTCGTGATCCGCCCACCTCGGCCTCCCAAAGTGCTGGGATTACAGGCGTCTGCCACTGTGCCTGGCCGGGAGACATTTTTAGACTATGCAAGTGTTCTTCCATAGATTTGGCATCCATTGATGATCTTTGTTCAAATAGTCTTCACTATGATGATCAAAATGCAAAACAGTTTTAAGGTTTTTTTAAACAATAACCTTTAATCAACAGTCTAAAGTAGAATACTTAAATTTCTTTAACAACTAAAGAAACACATGGAATTATCCACACTTCTTGATTTCTTGACTCCCATAGAAGAACCTCCTTCTTCTATGGAAGGAGGGCCCCAAGCCTCATCTATTCACGGGGAGGGAGTCCCCTGGGAGGTGTGAGTTTCTCCAGGGGGACAGTCATGGGACTATGCTCCCAGCTTTTAGAAAGTCTCCACCTTAAGTGAGCAGACGTTGCTTAACAAAGGTGCCTCTGAGCTCTCAGGTCCAAAGGCAAGACCATGTTTTCTTAATTTTCAGATCCAGTGATGTCAGTTATCTCATTTTTTATTGATAGCATCATAGTTACACATATTTTGGGGCTACATGCCATAGTTTGTTACACATATACAATGTGTATGGACCAAATCAGGGTAATTGAGACAGCCATCGCCTGAAACATTTATCATTTCTTTGTGTTGGGAACATTTCAATTCTTCTCTTCACCTATCTTGAAATACGTAATAAATTACTGTTAACTATAATTTCCCTACTTTTCTATCAAATACTAGAACTTATTCCTTCTATCTAGCTATATTTTTGGACCCATTCACCAACTTCTTCATCCTCCCACACCCCTCTTTCCTCAGGTGGTACCTTTTTTATTTTTAAGAGGCATTTGTGGATGAGTATTAGCTTAAGTGTCCCTTATATAGAGATGACCAATTGTCTCTAATTTCCCCAGATCATTTCAGTGTATGACACTTGCACTGGTGTAATTAATGATAGCATACTCTTTCACTTTCAAAAGTCATCTCCATAGAAGATAAATTCTATCATCACCTCTACTTATGGACCTATTTTTTCAAATAAATATCTAAGTACTTATTCCAGGTCTACAGCATCTTTTACTGAAATGGAAATTACTTTTTTCCTGATTCTAAGAAGAATCCATAATCTTTGTGAAAAAGACCAGAAAATCTAGGGGAATAAGTAAAAAAAAAAAGAAAGAAAAAAAAGAAACTTACACTTAATCCCATGTATTAGCTTGTTCCACTTGTGAGGTTGCTTTAGTTTATCAATATTTTCACATCCACTTTCACATTTGATTTTCATAACTACACTGTAACACAGCTGAGCTGTGATGATTATATTTTCCTGTTTTACAGTTGAAGACATTGAGCCGAAGGATCCTGAAGCCCAAATATTCTGCCTTGAAATCTTGTCTCTCCACTATATCACATTGCCCAAGAGATGCATGTAAAGGGAAACACACCGTAATGATAGTAGCAGCAATAACAGCTGAAATTATTGAGTTCTTACTAGGTGCATGCCCTTAAAGCTCTAATCAGTCTTAGGAGGTTGGCACTAATGGAGAAAGTGATGTTTAGTGAGGATAAGCAATTGCCTAATATCTCTCTCACAGCTCATAAGTGATGTATTTGTGCTTGTCAAGTTCACACCTGCCCAGCTTCTATGCCTGAGCTCATGGCCACTATGATCTACCCACTTGACATTTGCTAAAATATATTCAATTGAGGTATAGTTCACATACAATAAAATACACCCATTTTAAATGTATGGTTCCATAAATTGTGGGACATGTATATACAATGCAACCATCACCAATGCTATGGTTTGAATATTTGTGTTCTCTCCAAATGTATATGTTGAAATCCTAACCCCCAAGGTGATGATATTAGGAGGTGGGAGGTGATTAGGTCATGAGTGGGGAGCCCTCCTGAGTGGGATTAGTGCCCTTATAAAAAGAGACTCCAGGGAGCTCCCTTGTCCCTCCCACCAGGTGAGATCATAGTGAATAGGTGCAGTCTATGAACCTGGAATGAGGCCCTCACCAGACACTGACTCTGACAGCATCTTGATCTTGGGAGTCCCAGTCTCCAGAGCTGTGGGAGGTAAGTTTCTGTTGTGTACAAACCACTCGATATATAGCATTCTGTTACAGCCACCTGATGGACTAAGACAACCACAATCAAGATTTTGAACATTCCTGCCACCCCCAGTAGTTTCCCTGTGCCCTTCTGCAGTCAGTCCCTACTCCTTGGATGGCCTCAGGCAACCACCGTCTGTTTTCTTTCACTATAGCCTAGTTTCGTCTTTTTTTTTTTTTTTTTTTTTTTTGTATTTCGTATACATGGAATCATATGGTAATGTACTTTGTAATGTGACAAGGTTGAATTTTAGCTGAGTCTGGGCTCCTGAAAAAACAGCAAAGTTTCAAAGAATTCCCCCCACCCTTTCATGCTCTGGGAAACACCGTTCCCCACAGGACTTAGCTACAGTTCATGATGTTCTCTGTTACTTAGGACAAGGCCAGACCCAGACCCTCCAACTTCCCATTCTTTGCCTCATAAATGATTGGCTGATCTCCTTGTTGCCACTGATCAAATGGAACAAAATACTTGTTAGACAAAGATTAAGATTTGGTTATCCTCAGCCAAAGCCTGCAGACAACCCCTCCAGAGAATAAACTAGCTTCAGGTAAAACATTTTCACCCCCACTTTCCCTCACTCAGTTCTTCCTAGCCTTGTTCACTCCTCTCTATAATAGAAAAATGCTGCTTGCCTTAACCTTTGAGATAAGTGTCCACATTATAGATAGAATGTTTTCTCTATGGCAATACCCTTCCCACCCCCACTGCAATAATCCTTTTATATAAAGTCTCTCCAGTGAGTCCAGATTTGTTTTTATTTGATGTGTCTGGCCTCACTTGCTCAGCATGATGGTTTTTTGTTTTGTTTTGTTTTTGAGACAGAGTTTTGCTCTTGTTGCCCAGGCTGGGCTGCAATGGTGCAATCTCAGCTCAGTGCAACCTCCGCCTCCTGGCTTCAAGCAATCCTCCTTCCTCAGCCTCCCGAGTGGCTGAGATTACAGGCATGTGCCACCACGCCCAGCTAATTTTGTATTTTTAGTAGAGACAGGGTTTCGCCATGTTGGTCAGGCTGATCTCGAACTCCTGACCTCAGGTGATCCACCCGACTCACTCTCCCAAAGTGCGGGGATTACACATGTGAGCCACCACACCCGGCCGTAGTGTAACATTTTAAAGAGTCATCGATCATGTTTTCCATTGTATCAACAGTTTGTTTCTTTTTGTTGCTGAGTAATAGTCCAACATATACAATTTGTTTATCCATTCTACAATTGATGTCTGTTTGAGTTGATTTTATTTTTTTAAGAGAGGCAGGGATTGACAATTACACAATTCTCGAAGAAGTCTTTTTGTGGACAGGTGCTTCATTGCTCTGGGTAAATATCTAGGAGTGAAATTGCTGGGTAACCCACATTACATCTTTAAGTAGAATGTCATAGTATCCTCTCCTATGATACTCCCTATGTGGCAGGCATAGGAGAGCAATTTCTGATTAAAAGGCTTCCAGAAGTGAGAAGCTTCAGGGTTTCTTCACTTGTGTTTTACTCACACATGGGCACGTATGACAATTCTTAGAAAACATACGCTTTAAATCAAATTCCCCTATCACCAAATAGCTTGGCATTCAGTGCAGTTCCATAGATGAGGCTGGAACATGTGCACATGAGTTTCTAGCAATACATATGCCCCATCTGCTGAGGGATTGCTTTAATTTGCCCATTTTTAATGCTTCATTCACAGTGTTATAAATATTATGCCCTTTTTTTTTCCGGGCATCTGTTGCTCCCCCCTCTAGTTCTCTCCCCAGTAGAGCCTGGTTTATTGTATTCATAAATAAGAAATGGCAAACATTCATTCTTTTTAAGAACACAAAGGCACATTTCTTTTTATCCCATCAAATTAAGTTCAGCTACTCCACTAGCTAGGATTACATAAGACAATTCCAGTGAGGAGGAAAGAAATCAGCCTTAAAAACACAATCCCCATTTGAATAGGGAGGGAAGAGAACAGATGAGGATGAAGTGCAAGCTTCCCTTTGTGAATTTTCAACTCCACCTTCTGCTCAGATGCCCATTTCACTCTCCAGCCTGTTTTCTTTCGTCCCATCCGGACTTCTTTTGACCAGAGAAGAGAGCTGATGACCAGAGTGTGGACACAGGGCGGAGGTCTGAAGGGAAGAGATGGAGAATGGATACTAGCAGAGGTGGAGAGAGCTGGCAAATGATCTTGCTCCCTGGAGGTCTTATGGATCTGGAAAAGCATTTGCCACGACTCTATTTTTACCCTGCACATTTCCACCTACACGGATCAAATGTGTTCCAACTTTCCAGCACTCAGTCTCCCAGTTTACTGCTTGTCAGAAGCACTGACTACTGCCATCAATAATTTACAGCCTTTAAATGTGGAAGCTACACTGTTCCTGGAACACACACTTACCTGGTAGTGGTGGATTTTTAACCAGAGCCCATAGTCTCAGGTTAATTAAGTCGTAGTCACTATTCCACCCTCCAATTAATGCCATTTAATTCCCAAATAAATATATTGCAAATTTATAATCATTGTAACACCAGTTACTTGTAATTACAGATTTATAAAACAGAACATCCAGCCATATATTAAGAAAGACATTTTAGAGGGATAAATAAATACACTTCTGGTGAAATGTGTCTGTGGCTTTGTTTAGTTCGTGGTATTTTGGTTTTTTGTTTTTTTTGTTTGTGTTCTGGAACAAAGCAGCTTGTTTCTTTGCTTTTGTTTTTCAACTGGTGTGGGCCAAATTGTAGTCACTTTTAACAGGTCCCTTAACCACCCTGTTCTTTTCCATTTCTCTCTATTTCATTACATGTGGCTGAAATTTATCAACATGGAGCCAGGTGAGAGTCCTTCTGCAAGTCCCTGGCCATGCTGAGTCTTTACAGGCAGCAATAAAGGTTTCTGAACCCGCATCCTGAAAGCAAACAGATAGGTTTACATTGGGGACCAGAGTCCTTCCTCTACTACCAGGAGTCAATTCCTTCTGCTCAAAGGGCCACTGCTGTCCAGGCAGTAGAGTTGCCAGATTTATCAAATAAAAGGGGAGATCAGTTACATTTAAATTTCAGATATCAACAAAGAAAAATTTAGTGTATGTCCCAAATATTGCATGAGACATACTTATACAAAAAAGAATTATTCATCTAAAATTCAAACATAACTTGGTCTCTGTATTTCATCTGGCAGTTCTACCAGGCAGAGATACCCAAGCCTGCACCAAGAATTCCATGGGAGACCTGCAGCCTGTGGTCAGTTCTATTTTTGTTTTTAAACGTATACTAGTTGATTATAAAGGATATTGCAAAGGATACAGACGTGTAGGGCGAGGTATGGGGGCAGGGGCACGGAGCCTCCATGCCCTCCGTGGGTGCTTCAGGGAACTTGTCAGTTCCCAAAAGCAGGAGGGGTCTCGGTAAATATACAGCTTCGCCCTTTCAGGCACCTGGAATAACTGAGCTGGCCAATGACGTCATCTCTTGCTCTGAGACTCTTTAAAAGGGTTGTTAATTTACTACTGGATTTCCCTCAATCTATAACACATTTATTCATTTCTTACCCTCAGCTATTATTCTTTCTTTTTTTTCCATTTGTCATTTACTTTTACCCAAACTTTTCCACCTTTGAAAGGGACATTAACTTCAGCCATTGTGCTGGTCCAGATCGCTGGTAGCAATATCAGCCTAGTGAGTGCCTCTACCTCAGTCTGTTCCCATTCATTCAAGACAGGGTTACACAGATTCCAAACTAGTGAGCCACTTCTACCACCAGGAAATATAGTTGTATTTATTCTTTTATTTTCTTCAAGTTTTATTTTTAAGTTCAGGGGTACATGTGCAGGACGTGCAGGTGTGTTACATAGGTAAACGTGTGCCGTGGTGGTTTGCCGCACAGATCAACCCATCACCTAGGTATTAAGCCCAGCATCCATTAGCTATTGTTCCTGATGCTCTCCCTCCCCACACCCCACCCCTAACAGCCGCCAGTGTGTGTTGTTCCCCCAACCCCATGCGTCCATGTGTTCTCATCATTCAGCTCCCACTTGTAAGCGAGAAGACGCAGTGTTGGTCTTCTGTTCCTGCCTCAGCCATGGTGGAAGACAGTGTGGTGATTCCTTAAAGACCTAGAGGCAGAAATACCATTTGACCCAGCAATCCCATTACTGGGTGTATACCCAAAGGAACAGAAATCATTCTATTATAAAGATACATGCACGTGTATGTGCATTGTATTTAGTCCTAACCCCACTTTTGCCAGACGAGATAAAGACACGGTCCACCCCCAGAATTGTTAGGAATTCTGACAAAGTTTAAAAACACAGTGACAGTTTCTTGCTTAGAAATCATTCCTGCTTCCAGAACTTGCAGTTGCACCTCTGGTTCTAGGACCACCGCATCAGGTAAGGGAGAAAAAAAAAAACAAGACATTTTTCTGAGATGATTTGGGAAAGAAAGAAAAAAAATACATAGTTGTTGTACCAGTGTATTCCTCCCATAGCAAGAATTGCAAGGTCATGCCAGCATCCTCCCCAACCCCTCTTCCCCAGAGCAACCAGGGAAACAGTCAAAAATCTAGTAGGGACACTCCTTTAGTCCCACACGTGTTGAGTGTGAGCACAGACTAGTGAAGGTGTGTAAGGCAGCCTTCATGCTTTTATCTCCCCATGTTTTAGACCAGGGGTCCCCAGCCCCCAGGCTATGGACCATGGCCTGTTAGGAACTGTACTACAGAGCAGGAGGTGAGTGGCGGGTTGAGTGAGCAAAGCTTTATCTGTATTCACTTATATGACCATCTGAGCTCTGCCTCCTATCAGATCAGCAGAAGCATTAGATTCTCATAGGAACGGGAACCCTATTGCAAACTGCTCACGCAAGAGATCTAGGCTGTGTGCTTCTTATGAGAATCTATGCCCGATGATCTGTCACTGTCCCTCATCACCCCCCAGATGGGACCATCTAGTTTCAGGAAAACAAGCTCAGGGCTCTCACTGATTCTACATTATGGTGAGTTGTGTAATTATTTTATTATATATTATAATGCAGTAATAATAGAAATAAAGTGCACAATCAATGGAATGTGCTTGAATCATCCTGAAACCATCCTCCCTCCCCCTGTGATAAAACTGTCTTCCAGGAAACTGGTCCCCAGTGCCAAAAAGTTTGGGGACTGCTGTTTTAGACAACCAGTGTTTCAACTGCCCCTTCTACCCCTCTATCAAACTGTTACTCTAAGGATGATATATCTGCCCTTTGTTGGACGTCAAGGGCTGTTCAGTATACCTTGGTCTGAAGAAATGATGTTTGGCCTTCTAAATCCATGCAATACCTTCTGTTGAGATTTTTTTTTTTTTGGCACTCTGAGCGTTTTCATTTTCCCCCAGGTAAACAAAGCCCAGTCCAGAGTCCGTGTTTATTCCAGGCAAGACCCATTTTTAGTCCCCCAAGGCAGCCAGCATCAGTCCCGCTCGCCAGCTGTGCGCAGGGCCCTCCCACCAGTGAATCTGCCCCATAGCCAGTGGCAGTCTCTGTCTCCCTTGTTGACAAGCAAAGCAGTTCTTCCTGGCATTATGCTCCTGAGAGGGTGCCAAAGGAACATGTCTAGATTCAGCCCGTCTTTGCACTGCTGCATTGAGTGCCCCCATATCCATTCATTTCATGGACACAGGCGGCCACCTCGAGGGAGCACATAGGGATCTCTTCTTGTCTATTCCAGCCACCTTCTGAAACTGGAAGGGAGCTCTTCTGATGGGCATTGACTTGTTCTCTTTGAATACATCCCTCAAATTTCCATAGCGCTGTGCTGCCTGTGGGCATTCTTTTAATAGGCCGGGTTTTCACTGCCCTCTCTCCTGACTGTATGGCCAGGCAATTGGTCACTGCCTGTGAGTCAGTAAAAAACCAACACAGGGGCTTCTACGTGCTCAGTTCTTGAAATAAGTATCTAAATGGACTTACATAACAACTTCAATGCAGTCTTTATTTTTATGGCTACACCCTGTGCTAAGTCCTTTTCCTGACTTCTTTCACCCATCCTTACAGTCCCTTTAGAAGGTAAGCATTGTTCTTATCCCTATTCTACACTAGAGGAAAGAGAAGATGCAGAGAGGTAAAATCAGTTGCCCAGGGCTCTGACCACCCTTCCCCACCTGCAGCCTGTGCATTTCACCTGCCTGCAGATGCGATACTGGCCTCGCCATCCACTCCTCCCTCCTCTGAAGTCATTGTCATGGAGTGTGGCCATAAGACAGAACCATAGATCCACATGCCCCCTCCACAGACGTCAGTCCCTGCAATTGTTTATTTGTCCACTGGGATTTTAAACATAGAGATGCTGCCCTGTTAGCAGAGGCAGCACGTGGACTGGTTCCACCCGTAGTTCTCAGGTATTTGTCTGCATCAGAATCACCTGGGGGTAAGAATTTGCTTTCTCACAAGCTTCCAGGTGAGGCTGATGTTGTGGGCCCAGGGACCTCACTTGGAAAACTGCTGGTTTAGAGGAAGCACAGGCTTTGCCCTGAACCACCTGTATTTGTGTCTCAGCCCAGCCAACCAGTAGCTGTACACCTTTGCCCACATTCCTTCAGCTCTCTGTGTCTCCATTTCCTCGTCTGCAACATATATACTAGTGCTACATCACAGAAATGCATGCAGGGTTACATGAAATACTATGTGTAAAATGCCTAGCACCTTAACTGGTAGTCCAAAACAATGGCAGCTTTTGTTTTTATCATCATTTGATTATTGAAAGGGCATTTTGCTAAGGCTTTGTGATGAAGGAGAGCTGGCTTCTCCATTATGTACTAGCTCCATGGGTCAGCCCCTTCCCTCTCTTATACTTCTGTTTCTTTAAATGTAAACTAGTTTCAGCATTTCATTCTAAAGACCACTGGGTACTGGACCAGATGATGTTTAGCCTTGAGGGCTTCAATTCTCTGCTGTAGTTGAAAGGCTCATGCTATGTGATTTTAGGAACTATTATAAAACTATAGTAACAAAAACAGTGTGGTATTGGCGTGCAGTTAGCCATATAAAAGAAAGCAGAGTCTAGACTCAGGCCCACACTGAAATAGACAACTGATTTTTGATGAAGGTGCAAAGGCAATTCAGGGAAGAAGGGATAATCTTTTCACCAAATGGTGCTGGAACAATTGGATATCCACAGGTAAAAACAAAAGCTACAATTTGTACCTTCTACCATGCACAAAGATTAACTCAAAATACAGCTCAGAGCTGCCTGCATAAGTCAAATCTTTGTGACTAAGAGTAAGTCAAAGATTTCTTAGACGGAACAACGTAAAAGAGCAAATGGATACCTGTATTCCACCAAAATAAAATTTCTGGGGACCACTGAGCCATGCTTACACTCCCATCCCACCTGTTCACGACCTAAGACAAGCCAGAGACTTGGGATCTCAGAGAGCATTTGCTAATCTTCACTCAGCAGGGATCCTGTGGCCTCCAAATCCCAGTTGGAACTCAGCTCAAGGCCAGCAAAAACAGAGCCTAGAGCCTGGAGCGCACAGTTTGGCAGGTGCAGTGCGCAGCCCCAACCCCAAGTGGATTTTCTACCTGCAGAGAATACCTGCTCTGGGTGACCACAGCTGCTGAGAAATCTTCCCAGAAGAGGTAGGTCTCTGATGAGAATAAGACCAGGTGGGCAGTGCTATCCAAGGGGGGGGTTGCTGGAAGAAACACGTCACAGCATTTACCTTCTCCCCCTCTGAAGCTCCACTCTCCCCCTGCACCGCTGGTGTGGGTGCTGTGTGAAAACACAGAGGTGCAGGCCACGTCTTTGCCAGGGCTCAACTGGCCAACCCCCATGGAGAGCACAGGCACATGTCTGAGGCTGCCAATTACAGAATGCAGACAAGGCTGCTGTCACCAGGTCTTGCCTTGCCTCTCCTGGAGGCGGAGAACCCATTTTTTGTTGTTGCCATCCTGGTTCCCCACGGCCTCGTACGAGCCATTCTGCGGTGCACAGGAGCACAACTTGGTATGGACGTGGGGCCCAGCGATGCAGCCTACCCCCTCAGAGGGCTGATTTAAAGCCCAGACCTGCCCCTTAGCTGCCTTGTTTTATCGGAGAACAGGCTCTTTGTCTGTGCAGCAGAGCCTATCAGGCAGGTGAGGGAGAAAGTGCTCTAACGATTTTCAGCAGGTTTATTTTCCTGCCAAGGCGGCGTGTTATTTTGGCCCAGATGGGTGGGTTTTCCCTCAGCAACAGAGAAGTTTTACTTAGAAATAAATACATGAATTCACTTTAAGCTGTCTTTGGGAACATATAAATAAATTGCCAACTTACCAATTAGGGAAAGAGAATATGAAACCTAAAATGGGGACCCAAACTCTGATTCTCCAGAAAAGGTCATAGCTGCAAATACTAGAAATCGTGTCCATTTCACAGATGAGGGGACTGAGGCCCAAACGGGTGGTGACTTCCCCAAGACCTCACAGCTGCTAATTGGCAGAATAGTTCCCTGATTCTCACACCACTTCCAGCACTGGGCAGTGCGCTGCAAGCTCTGCGGAGATACGGTCACCAGATTTAGCAAACAAAAATATAGGACAGCCAATTAAATTCAAATTTCAAATAAATAATGAAGCATTTTCAACATAAGTACACCCCATATATTGCATGGGACATATGTGAAAAAACTGCTTATTGAAATTTATCATATCAATGTATGATATTATTCAAAGCCTCCGTTTATTTTTGGTGCATTTATTTTACGTCTTTCCAAAAGGCAGGATGGGATGGAATGCTGGGATTACAGATGAACTTTCCTGGCCACCCTGGATAAGCAGAACCTGAATAAAGTAAATCATGATCACACCCCAAGGCAAGACAGAGGCCTCTGGCATGTAAGAAGGCTCCCCAGTGGTCAAGACAGAAGCAGGCTTCAAGAAATGGAAAGTATTGGTGGGCAGAGTGGGGTCAGTGAGGGATGAGGGTGCAGGAGCACTCAGAGAAGCACACAAGGTGTCCTTCTGAGCTGGATGCTTGTGATAACTGGAGAGGGAAGTGAGCAGGGACTTGTGTCCACGCAAGCTGCAAGCCTGCCTCAACATTTGCAGGCTATGGGCTGCTTTACTTCCCGCGACCCACCAAGAGATGTGAATCCATGACCTGGAGCCAAAACACTCTCATCAAACCCCACACGATGTTCTCATCTCATTCTCAAGCTCCCAAAGTGTTCCAGATCTTCCAAACTAGAGTCACATCAAAGTCCCTGGAGCAGTCAAAACACGATATGGCAATCGTGGACCAACAGGGCCCTTGGCTGGACCAAAAGCAGAGACGGTCCAGCCTCTTGATTCTCAAATTCAGTATTTGCAAGGTCGCCTACTCCATAAAATATACTTGAAACTCCAAAATCAACACTCAAGGAGCTTTAGTGGTCATTTATGGGCATGTGCACGGTGGCAAAAAATTTGAGCAGGAGTATGTTCCCAGCTGAGCTGCAATGAGGCATTGTTCTGCCTTCTTCCGTCAGCTCTTCTACCGTAAACAAGTGTTCTTTTCACAGTCTGTTCGATGCCATGTTTTTCACATTTTTGTGTTTTTCGTCAGTGATTTCATTTTTTAAAATGGCCCCAAGCACAGCGCTGAAGCGTTGTGTGGGGTTCCTAAGTGCATGAAGATTGTGACGTAACTTGCGGAGAAAATATATGTGTTAACCGCATGTTCTCACTCATAGGTGGGAATCGAACAATGAGAACACATGGGCACAGGAAGGGGAACATCACACACGGGGGCCTGTTGTGGGGTGGGGGGAGGGGGAAGGATAGCATTAGGAGATATACCTAATGTTAAATGACGAGTTAATGGGTGCAGCACACCAACATGGCACATGTATACATATGTAACTAACCTGCACATTGTGCACATGTACCCTAAAACTTAAAGTATAATTTAAAAAAAGAAAAAGAAAATATATGTGTTAAGATGAGCTCAGTTCAGGCATGTGTTATATAGTTCTGTTGGCTGTGAGCTCCATGTTAATTAATCAACAATATATAATAAATAAGTAGTCTTTAAACAGAAACACACATAAAACAACGTTATGTATTGATGGGCTGACAAAGATATTGTGACCAGAGGCTCGCAGGAACATAATCCTAGATTTCTCCTGGGAGCAGAAGTTCAGTATTGACTAATTCAGTTTTCTTTTTTTGGCAATGTTACAGAACTTAACTGCTTGGAATAATGAGAATCGATTGTACAAGTAGAAAGACAGGCCTAGTAATTAAGTCTATGTGAGAGAATATGGGGGATGGGAAGGAAGCACATCTCCTATGGGCCTAAACCAAGGCCAGTATTCCCTCTTCCCAACCCATGTGCCACTAACACAGTGTACTGCATATATTTTTTAAATAGATTTTTCTTTTTTAGAGCAGTTTCAAGTTCATGGCAAATTGAACAAAACATGCAGAGATTCCCCATATATCCTCCACTCCCTCCCATGCACAGCCTCCCCCACTATCAACATCCCCCACCAGAGGGGTGTATTTGTTATGATGGATAAATTTTACACTGATTGTTTTTTAACATTCACACACACACACATACACACACACACACACACACACACCCCACAATATATCAAGCAATATGGAGAGGACAGATTTACCTAAACTCAGTCCTGTTAACCTCTTGAACTCCAAAATCCAGCCAAGTCCCATCTAGCCTTGAGTTTCTGAATCTCCCCCACAGCCACCCTTGGTTCCTTCAATCCCTCTCCTCCTAAAACAAAACCAAAGCATGTTCTTTTGCCATTAAAAAATAGCAAAAGTCAGCATGCATCACGGAGTGCAACAGCCAGGAGTTGTCAATGTTGAGCGTCTGCTGCTCTCCATGCCTCCATCACACAAAACCCAACCTGACCCATCACTATCCCCCAGAGTGCATTCTGTGGGTTTGAACAAGTGGCTAATGACATAGATCCATCATTATGGTATCACCCAGAGAATTTTCACTGCTGCAAAAATCCTCTGTGCTATGCCTATCTATCCCTTTCTCTACCCCAACCCCTGGAAGCTACTGATCTCTTTACCGTCTCCGAAGTTTTGCCTTTTCCAGAGTGGCAGGTGGTTGAAATCGTACAGCATGTAGCCTTTTCAGACTGCCTTCTTTCACTTAGTAACAGGCATCACTGTGAAACATCAGTGATTAAATTCCACATATTTGGGCCAGGCCTAGCCTTGTGTCTACAACCGAGCTGATGATGCCTGTTTGCCTGAGAGGTGACAGACAGCCACAAATAAACCCCATCACAGGCTCTTACTCTGATGGCCTAAGTGCAGTATAAGCTACTTTTCTAATGCAACCTGGGAGGATAATTTCTCCAGAAGAATCGAAGATTAAAGATAGAGTTTCCAGTGTTGTTGTTTTTTTAAAAATAGATTTGAGGAAGAGGTGGATATTATTTAAAACACATTATTTTCTTGGTGTTTCAAGTTGAGCCTTTCCTGGCATTTTTCAACAGAGCTGCGTGGTCTTTGGAATATGTTTCCTCCCCCACAGCAAGACAGGGCCGCCCCTTTGCTATCAACCGTCCCATGCTCTGCTTAACAAGTAAATGCTGCTTCACCAAGCACCTAAAAGTAGAACATAACACAGGGTTAAAACTGGGAAATTTTAAAATTAAAGTCCTAAGCACCTGAACAGCCATGCCACGGAATTTCAACTCCTTGCAATCTTCATCTTCCCTGCTGCCTCACTATTCTGAATCATGCTGGAGATGACAACGGCATCTCTGCTATTCTTGAAGACTGAGCCTTGCTTTTCCTCAAGATTAGTGGGGTCACGGCTGCTCTTCATTTTGGTTTTGTCTGCCTCGTATTAAGCTTCCAGGGTCTCCAGGCAAAGCTAACTTTGTGATGACTAATTTTTAGCCCCATTGCTTTCCAAGCTTCAAGGTTCAGAGACAAATTCTTGGGATGTCTGCAGTGGGGTACGATGGTGATAAAGACTCCTCCTTGGCCAGACCTTAGGCAGGCGTCTTGGAGCCCTCTTCTCCACTAATCTTCCGCCTTGGCCTTCCTTGTCTGTCCTTGCAAGTCCAGTTTTAGCAAAGAATTTTGCTAGATGAGTTTAGAGAAGATCTGCCACCCTTAAAGTCCGGGTCCCTGGGTGCCTTTAGCAAGAATCCCATTAGGCCAATTTAGGAAGAATCCCCTCCCCTACCTGGATGTCTCCTCTTTGAAATTTTTCAGGTGTCAACCCCCCTCACTCTGCTCTTGGCTTCAATCTTGCTGTGTTTGCATTTGAGTTCTGTCTGTGTCCCCCAATTGCAATAGTCTTGATAAAGTGTTCCTTACCATTTTAATAAGTGTCAGAATCATTTCTCTTTAACAATAGCCAAATGCTGGTTTCATGACTGGCTTCATGATTGGCTCCGCCTCCCCATCCTCACTCCTCATGAGTTACAGGCAGGAAAGCTGTGCATCAAAGCCCCATAGGGAAGAATCTGCATCTGTATATTGTTGGCTTCTCAGGTAGAGGTTTCATCAAATCAAAGCCCATCTTACTCAACTTGAAAATATCTTTTAAGGCTTTGGTGAAAAGAAGGTCTCTTTTCTATCTGAAATGCTACAGAAGTAATTTTTTGCATAAAACTAACTGCAAAACAGTAATCTAAAAATTTAGCAATCAAATGTGGAAGCTGCAAAGTATTCTGCAAATAATAATAATAATAATAATAATAACATAGTCATTGAGGGTATTAGTTCCCAGAAGATGCTGAACAAATAATTTTTTTTTCAATTAAAGCAACCAGCATTAAATTGAAGCAACTCAAAAGGCTAGAACTTCTCAGGGAACTGACAAAAGTACTCTGCACTGTTTTAGATGTTGTTGGTGCCCCTTTGCCCAGGCAGTGCACCCTCCCAACAGGCGCTGCCTGACAAATGCTCACAGCTGACCTCTCTCTGGAGCATTGGCCTTGGCCATCAATGCACCGCCTCACCATCACCCTTCCTCAGCCTGCAGCCAGTAACTGACCAATTCCAGGTTCAGAATGCCACACCCTTTCCTACAGGCAGGACCAGCTCTGTAGTGGGGTCTCCCTTCAGATCTCTTGGTAGGGTCAGGCTTCAGCAGGCTCCAGCTGAGACCACAGCCCTGCCTGGCATCATCCCCTGCTCCACTGTGCTTCCATCTCCTGAAAGCAGCCCTCTAGAAACCACATGCTTCTGAACCCTGCCCAGGCGCTGCCTCTGTGCTTCTGAACCCTGCCCAGACGCTGCCTCTGGGGAGCTCCACTTGAGACAACTTCCAAAGGCTTAACCAGGTTTACAGCCTGACCTTTTCTATCAGGTACCACCTCCCTAAATATCATTCAGTGGGTTGCTAGAAAAATAACCCAGAGCCAGCTTTCTCAATGTGGTGCTCAAGGATCTCCATGATCTGTCCCCACCAGATTCAGAAATACAGAACTGCTCATATTCCTTGCTTCCACCCCTCCTTTGCCAGTCTCACTGTGAAGGCATGCATGCCCTCACACACACCCACACAGATGAACACATACACACATGTACACATATACAGATACATACACACAAACACACATGCACACACAAATACACGAACACACATGCACACACCCACATATACACATATAGACACAAACACATATGCATACCTGCACACATACATCCTGTATTAGTTCATTTGCATTGCTATAAAGGAATACCTGAGGCTGGGTAATTTATAAAGAAAAGAGGTTTATTTGGCTCATGGTTCTGCAGGCTGTACAGGAAGCATGGCACCAGCATCTGCTGGGCTTCTGGTGAGGTCTCGGGAAGCCAACAATCATGGCGGAAGGCAAAGAGGGAGCCAGAACATCACATGAAAGAGAGGAAGCAAGAGAGAGAGGAGTTTTAAAAAACAGTTCTTGCATGAACTAACTGAGTGAGAACTCACTCATTAACTAGAGGATACTCTAAGCCAGTGGTCCCCTACCTTTTTGGCACCAGGGATTGGTTTCATGGAAGACAATTTTTCCACAGACCAGGGATGGTGGTGGGGGGATAGTTTCAGGATGAAACTGTTACACCTCAGATCATCAGGCATTAGATTCTCATAAGAAATCTGCAGCCTAGATCCCTCGCATGTGCAGTTGTGAACCTTACAATAGGGTTCATGCTTCTATAAGAATCTAATGCCACTGCTGATCTGACAGGAGGCGGAGCTTAGGCAGTAATGCTCGCTCACCCACCACTCACCTCCTGCTGCTTGGCGGGTTCCTAACAGGCCACAGAGCGGTCCCAGTCCCCAGCCCCTGCACTAAGCCACTCATAAGGAATCTTCCCTCATGATCCAATACCTCCCACTGGGCTCCACCTCCAACACTGCAGATCACATTTCAACATGAGATTTGGAGGGACACACATCCAAATCAAATCACATCCACACACCCACACATACAGACATGCACACACAAATACACTTTTGCACACATGAACACATGCAATAACACATCCACATATGCACATGTACACACACATAAATATGCATGCAGTAACAAACACATGTACAACCTATGAATGCACAGACACAAACACATATGCACAGACATATACACATTGCTATTTCTTGCCTTTGTTCCTCTGTTCATACCTTTCCCTCTCCCTGAAATGTCTTGTCCCCATTCTGAACTAGTGAATACTATTCATATTTCCAGGCTAATCCCAGGGGCCACCTCCTCCAAGAAGCCTTTTCTGATTGCATTAGATTTTCCTCTGTGCTCCTAGACCACCCTGAACACACACGTATCCTAGTTCTTTCATATTATATTAAAATTGTCTGTTTATCTCCAATTCTCTGGCTAGATTGTGAGCTATCTCAGCTTCCTGAAGTCACGGACCTTTCTTGTTGATTCCACGTCACAGTGCTCGGTATCCAGGAGACATTCATTAAATGCTTCCTGAATGAATGGGAAAAAAAAATTTAAAAACTAAAAGGACTCAAGGTAGTCTGGGACAGCGGCCCAGGTTAACTTTTACCATCAGAGTAAAAGGAATTTTATTTTAAGCATATATAAATTCTTTCCTAGAACAAAAGGTCTAGTATCTTCTTTGAGAGATTTTCCACAGCTTGCACGCAGAAGGGAAATGGGAAATTGGTAGCTAGATCATAAAAGCAGGAGCAGGTGGCATCTGCTGTAAAGGGAGGTGGAGCTGAGCACAGGATCAAGGCCCAGGTGGAGCATCTGGGGCCTGTGTGTGGTCCTCAGTGAGAGCTGCCAGACACAGAGAGACTCGGGGGCTAAGCCAAGACTCTATGCACCTGCCTTCCCTCCCAGGCAAGGAGTTCTGGGAGCTTCCCCACCTGTGCATCCTAACTCCTGGGGATGGGCTCAACCTTCTCCATTTCAGCAAGGGCCAGATGTCATAACCAAGGCAGCAGGCTGCCACAACTGCTAACAACCTACACCAGTTCTTTAAGGTCCTCATGCTAAGAGAAGTGGTCCCGCTTTCTCACAGTCCTGAGGTCTTCTCTCCTGCAGCAGGGACCACCAGGAGATCTGAGGAGGCAGTGCGTGTCTATGAGCCATTCCATTTCTTGACAATGATCAACTGGTTAGCCATACAAGAGGCCCGCAGTAGCAAAGAACACCAAGGCCGCAAGCAAGGAATTGTGTCTTTCATTTACAGTCTTGAGACACAATCCCTGCATTGTATCCCAGCAGCCCCCTGCCCAGACTCCCTGTAGACAACGGGAGGAGGCTCTTCCACCGTTATTTACTGCTCACTCTTTAGTGTGAAGCTTCTCTCCCTGTGCCCATGGTAACCATGGTTACCAGACGCAAAGCCTACACACATTCACCTATTTGAGACATTGTTCCATAGGTAGTTCTAGCTTGTGACAGTCTATGATCTCAGGATTGTGACATTTCTGCAGCCTCCTCTTTCTTCCTTCCTAAGGCCTCACCCTGGACCTAATAAATCAAAAAGTCTAAGAGTTGGGCCCAATAACCTGTGTTTTAACAAGCCCTCCAAGCAATTCTGATGGTGATTAAAGTGTAAGAGCCAATAGATTACAAGACAAAAAAATCATAATATTACTATCGCTTGCTGACTGTCCAAGGCTTGTCATATTGATTGGTAGGAAGAGTCCTGGAAAAGGAAAGACTGCCACTGAAGATGGCAAGGGAGACGGGGTATCAGGGAGAGGCGCTTTTGCTCATTCTGTCTTCAAGGGCAGCTTCCCTCCTGTGTATTAAGTAGACCAGACACCAATATCAGCTGACATTTCCTTCTTACCTCTTTGGACTAATCAAGATTCCTAATTCCCCAGGATACTGGATTCCAACACAAGGATGTTCTCATTTTCTCCCTAGCTTTTCTGACTTTAGAAAATACCAGAATTTGCATGAGAGCTGTCAAAGATCCCCAGGGACCCAGGAAAAGGTGAAGGAGACCAAATACAAACAAGACTATGGATTACGAGGAAAGGGCATGAACAGCTGAAAGTTTGCATTATCACATCTTAGAAAAGGCATCCAAATAAAGTAGTTGGGGATTGAGGTCAAAGAGAACTGGTGAGAATGAGGTGAAAATGTGCACATTGCAGGAAGATGAGCTTTCTATTCTGGAAGAACTGGAATTGTCCACTACCCCCAGGCTCAGGGGAGAGATGGAGGGGAGCTTCAGGAAATGACTTACAGGCTAGCAATGCCCCTGAATAGCCCTATATAAAAAAGAAATTAAATTTATATTTTAAACCTCCCCACAAAGAAAACTCCAGGCCCAGATGGCTTCACTAGTGAATTCTATTAAACATTTAAGGAAGAAAAAAAATGCCGGCCGGGCGCGGTGGCTCACGCCTGTAATCCTAGCACTTTGGGAGGCCGAGGCGGGTGGATCACGAGGTCAGGAGATCGAGACCATCCTGGCTAACATGGTGAAACCCCGTCTCTACTAAAAATACAAAAAATTAGCCGGGTGTGGTGGCGGGCGCCTGTAGTCCCAGCTACTCGGGAGGCTGAGGCAGGAGAATGGCATGAACCAGGGAGGCAGAGCTTGCAGTGAGCAGAGATCGTGCCACTGCACTCCAGCCTGGGCGACAGAGCCAGACTGCTTAAAAAAAAAAAAAAAAAAAAATGCCAGTTCTGTATAAACATTTCCAGAAAATTGAAGAGTAGAAAACAGTTCTCATCTCATTGTTTCAGGCCAGCATCCCACTGATACTAAAGTCACATCACAAGAAAAGAAAACTATTGACCAATATCCCTCATGAACAAACATGCAAAAAAAATTTTAAATAGCAAATCAAATTCAATAATGTATTAAAATGATGACATATTGTGACAAAGTGGGATTCATCCAAGAATGCAGGATTGTTTTCATATTCAGAAAACAATATAATTCACTATATTAACAAACTAAAAAATAAGAAAAAACATGATTATCCCAACAGACACAGAAATGCATGTAACGAATTCCAACACCCATTCCTGGTAAAAATGCTCAGCAAACTAAGAACAGAAGAGAACTTCCTCAACTTGTTAAAAAGCATATACAAAAAATCCCACAGTTAATGTCATACTTAACAGTGACAGACTAGATGCTTTATCCCAAAGATCAGGAACAAGACAAGGATGTCTGCTCTCACTGTTTGATTCAACATTGTACTAGAGGTTCTGGCCAGTGCAATGAGGCAAGAAGAAATCAGAGGCATCAACATTGGAAAGAAAGAAGTAGAACTGTCTTTATTCACACATGACAGGATCATTTATGTAGAAAATCCTTAGAAACATACAAAACAGCTACTAGAACTAAGTGAATTTTCAAGCTTTCAGATACAAGAAAAATATACAAAAAACCAATTGTATTGATATACACCAGCAATGAACAATAAGTTACTGCTTTTTTTTTTTTCTTGTTTGAGATGGAGTCTCAACCCTCTGTCACTCTGTTGCCCAGGCCAGAGTGCAGTGGTGGAGCTCACTGCAACCTCCACCTCCCAGGTTTAAGCAATTCTCCTGCAGCTGGGATTATAGGCATGCACCGCCACACCCAGCTAATTTTTGTAATTTTAGTAGTGATGGGGTTTCACCATGTTGGCCAGGCTGGTCTCAAACTCCTGACCTCAGGTGATCTGCCTGCCTTGGCCTCCCAAAGTGCTGGGATTACAGGCATGAGCCATGGCACCTGGCCAATACTGCTTTGGTTTTAATGTTTGTCTCCTCTGAAACTCATGTTGAAACTTAATCCCCAATGTAATAGTATTAAGAGGTTGGGCCTTCAAGAATTGATTGGGTCATGAGAGCTTTGCCCTCATGAATGGACTAATCCATTCATGAATTAATGGATGGATGGGTTATCACAGGAGTGGCATAGTTATCACTAGAAGATATCTGTTATAAAAGTCAGTTTCACTCTCTCTCATGTGTCCTCTTGCCCAGTGATGCTTTCCACCATGTTGTGACACAACAAGAAGGCCCTCACCAGATGCAGACCCTCCATCTTGGACTTTCCAGCCTCTTCGACTGCAAGAAATCAATTTCTTAATTACCCAGTCTCAGGTATGCAGTTATAACACCAGAAAACAGGCTAAGAGATATTTAGGGACGAATATGACAAGCGATGTGAATAACTTCTAAACTGAAAACTAAAAAAAATCCTGACAGAAATTAAAGAAGACACAAATAAAGGGAGAGTTAAACCTCTTTTATGGGTCATAAGACTCAATATTTTCAAAAAGTAAATGTTCCCCAAATTTATCTGTAAAGTCAAAACAATTTCAATCAAAATCCCAGAGAGATTTTTTTGCAATAATTGAGAAAACAATCCTGAAATTAATTTGGAAATGCAAAGAACCTAGAATAATCAAAGCAACTTTGAGTATGAAGAATAAAGTTGGAGGGCTAACACTATGTGATTTCAAGAAATATTATAAAACCATAATAACCACAGCAGTGTGGTACTGGCAGGTAGATAGATACATGAAGGAATGGAGCAGAACAGAGAGTTTGGAATCAGACCCAAACAAGAATGGACAACTGATTTTTGACAAAAATAAAATGCAAAGGTAATTCCTTGAAGAAAGGACAGTCTTCACCAATGGTGCTGGAACAATTAATTGGTTATCCACATTCAAAAACAAAAATAAACTACAAATCATGCATTTCACTATGGACAAATTTAATTCAAAATGGATCTTAGACCTACATGCATAACCTAAACTTAAAACTTCTAGAGAAAAAAAAATATGAGGATAAATCTTTGTGACTTTGAATAAACAAAAGAATTTTTAGATAAGACAAAAAAAGCACAAACAAAACAACAAGTTGTTAAATTGGGCTTCATCAAATCAACAATTTCTGCTCTTCAAGAGACTTCAGAGAATGAAAAGACAAACCACATGAGAATCAAAATAGTATGGCCCCTTTTTTATTTGATGGCTTCTTAGAAAGCTAAACATAGTCTTACCATACAATCCAGCAAGCTTACTCCTTGGTATTTATCCAAACAAGTTGAAAACTTACATCTACACAAAACCCTGCACACGAGTATTTATAGCAACTTCATTCATAGTTGCCAAAACTTGGAAGCAACCCAGATGTCTTTTAATAGGTAAACAGCTAAACTGACTGTGGTACATTTATACAAGGAAATACTGTTCATTAATAAAAGGAAACACAGGAAACTAAATTGCATATTGCTAAGTGAAAGAAGCCAATTTGAAAAGGCTACATACTGTATGATTGCAGCTATACAACATTCTGGAAAAAGCGGACAGTAGACAATAAAGGCAGACAATAGATACTGGTTACCAGGGGTTTGGGGGAGGGAGGGATGAAGAAGTAGACCACAGATTTTTAGAGCAGTGAAACGACTCTGTATGGTATTATAATGGTGGACCCATGTCATCACACATTTAGCCAAACAGATAGAATGTACAACACCAAGAGTTACAAATGTAAACTACGGACTTTAGTTAAAAATAATGTATCACTATTGGTTCATCAATTATAACAAATGAGCCACACTAATACAGTATGTTAATAACAGGGGAAATGAAAAAAGGGAGAGTATATGAGAACTCAGTGCTTTCTATTCAATTTTTGCATAAACCTAAAGCTTCTCTAAAAAGTAGTCTACAGTTAACAACAAAAGATAAACCATAGATTCAGAGAAAATACTTGTAAAGCATATATATGTGATAAAGCCCTTGTATCCAGAATATATATATATTTAACTTTCAAAATTAAAAAATAGAAGACAGACTTTTAATAATGGGTAAAATATTTGGACAGTTCATAAAAAAGATGTGCAGATGGCAAATAAACACATGAAAAAAAATACTCAACATCACTAGTCGTTAGGGAAGCAAATTAAAATCACAATGTGATACGTACCCATTTGATTAATTAAAAAGACTGACCATACTAAGTATTGGCAAAGATATGGAGCAATTAGAACTCTTCTACACTGCTGGTGGGAATAAAATGGTAAAAACAAAACAAAACAAAAACATTTTGGAAAAAAGTATGGCAGTTTGTTAAATAATTAAACATATACCTACTATATGATCCAGACATTCTACTTACTCCGAGGTATCTATCCAAGAAAAAAATTATCACACGTCCCTAAAAAGACTTGTACACAACTGTTCGTAGCAGCTTGATTTATATTAACCAAAACCAGAAACAACTGAAATGTTTATCAATAGAGAAATGGATAAACAAATTTGATATGTCCATGCAATAGAATAATAGGAGGAAGAAAGGAATGTACTATACACAAAACAGGATGAATAAATCTCACAATGTTTACACAGAGTGAAACAAGTCAGTAAAAAAAAAAAGTCTATACTGAATGTTTCATTTATATAAAACTCTAGAAAATGCAAATTAATCTAAAGCAGCATACCACAGTCAGTGGCTGCCTGGTTAAGGGAGGGTAGGGAGAAGGGCAAGAGAGAACAGCTGCAAAGGTGCACGTGGAAACTTTCCAAGGGTGATGTGTAGGTTCACTACAGGATTGTGGGGCTGGCTCACAGGTATGTAGCTGTGCCAAAACTTATAAAATTGTACACTTTAAACATGAGTCATCTGTGGTAGGTCAATTATACCTCGATATAGCTATGAAAAAATATCTTGGCAGCAACTTGCAAGCAGGGTATGAATGGGGACAGGCTGGTTCCAGGGTGGCCATCGAGAGGCTGTTGCAGCAGGCATGGCGACAGCAGACAGCCCCACGATGCCGGTGCCGTGAAGCATGGGGAAGGAAGAGTGTCACAGAAGTAGCGCCTACCAGGTATTGGGTGTTTATTCTGTGACACACATTGAGATAAATTCTTGAACATGCTAAAAAAATTCTCATTTAATCTCACATAGCAACTCTAGGCAGTAGGTGCTATTATGAACCACATTTTATAAATGAGTATGTTGGATTCATAGATATGAATGTATTTGCCAGAGTTCACCCAACTATAGTAGCATAGCCCGGATTTGATTGTAAGAGCTACGTTTATAGCCACCTGTGTAAGGAAGTGGTCAATATTTTTTTAATTTCAATAGTTTTTGGGGTACTGGTGCTTTTTGGTTACATAGATAAGTTCTTTGGTGGGTATTAAAATCTCAGGATTTTAATGCACCGACTACCCAAGCAGTGAACACTGCACCCAATATGTAGTTTTTTATTCCTCACCCCCTCCCAACCTTCCCCTTCCTGAGTTCCCAAAGTTCATTACATCACTCTTACCCCTTTGTGTCTTCAAAGCTTAGCGCCTACTTATCAGTGAAAAAATACAATATTTGGTTTTCCATTCCCGAGTTACTTCACTTAGCATAATGGCCTCCAGCTCCATCTAAGTTGCTGCAAAAGACATTATTTTGGTTTTTTTTTATGGCTGAGTAGTATTCCACAGTATATATCTACCACATTTTCTTTATGGAAGTGGTCAACATTGGATGACCAGCTAAATAACCATAGCATATCATATATCTGATTTGCTGAGGTCCTTGTCTTACTCTTCTTTTTTTTTTTTTTTTTTTTTTTTTCTTCTGAGACAGAGTCTCGCTCTGTCTCCAGGTTGGAGTGCAGTGGCGTGATCTCAGCTCACTGCAACCTCCACCTCCCAGGTTCAAGTGATTCTTGTACCTCAGCCTCCCGAGTAGCTGGTACTACTACTGGTGCCACCACTCCCAGCTAATTTTTGTATTTTTAGTAGGGACGGGGTTTCACCATGTTGGCCAGGATGATCTCAATCTCTTGACCTTGTGATCTGCCCCCTTCGGTGTCCCAAAGTGCTGGGATTACAGGCGTGACCCACCATGCCTGGCCTGCCTTACTCTTTAGTTTTGTGATATTGTAATCATTTATACAAGTGCAGGTAGGTGTTACCTATTTTCAAAAATATATATATATATTTTTAGGAAAAGTAAAGATATGCTTGGAACTAGCTGCTGTGCCCAGCAGTGATAGTAAAGTGGGAAGAACAGGCATCGACTCCTAACATGACGTGGGAATTTTGTACAAGACTGGAGAGGGATCTGCCAGGTGAACACTCACTTCCCACTTCGCCCACGCATAGCCTAGTTGCGGAATTCAATCTAAAATCCACCAGGCTGGTTTCATGGCCTGCATGTTTACTTATCCTGCTGCCCTCCTAGACATTTGTGTGCTCTTGTTCTCAGCGGAAACGCAGCCAGCCTAATCCAAAAGCATATTCGTCTTTCCTGCCTTCACTGCTCAGTGTCCACTCCCAATAAACTACAGGGGAATCCAGCCCAAGGTCAAGGCTCTCAGTCTCCCAGGGGCGCCCTTGGAAGTTGTGATTCTGCAGCAGGACAGGAGTGGTTTGCTGCCTTTCTCAACAAACTGACAACTCAGCCTGCAGCTTATAACACAGAGTACTTGGGACTAGTGACAAATCGTCCCTCACACATTACCTTGGCAGATAAGTTTCTAATTGCATCTGATCATTCCACTTGGCATTTATTATTCCCCTTCTGTTTTCCTGAACAAAAGCCCTACTCTGGTTGGAATTTTATAAGCAGGAACAATGACTAGCATTTTCCATCACCCTTTCTTTTCAAAATCCGCATACTGTCTGAGGGAGTTTTCTGCAGAAGACCTAAAAAACACCTGCTACTGTAAAAAATACTTCCCAGAAACTTGGCTCTAAAGGCAGATATCTATTATGCAAAGAAATTGAGCAGCATGAATAAATGTTTACAAAGAAGAAGAGGAAAGAGGTACATGTCCCAGATTAATACCTTGGCCATTAGGCATTATCAGCTGCTGTTACATATGAGTTATCTCCAGCTAATCAAACTTTCTTATCTAGCATGAAAATTAATTTAAATAAACTATTTTAATGGAAATTATCCTAAAATGCACAGCATAGTTTCTGTCTTTCTAAAAAGAGAACAATGAACATAATTTAAAATGTTCTTGATGAATCATAGTTATTTAATACAGTGCATGAAATAAACACAGTGGGCTTTTTTTTGGTGTTTTTTGTTTTTTTTAGTCAGCAGTATTTCTGCTCTTAGTGGGTATTTTCACCAAGACCTTGCTTATTCTCACTTGCCATGGCTGGAAGTGTAAATAATCAAGTTTGTTAGGGTTGCATGTAAAGAAAAAATCAGTAAGAAATAAGCAATAAAGTACACGGCTTTAACCCCAAAGACCTTGGGAAAATTATTCCTCATATTTAAAGACCTTTTATTTTTGCATTTAGTGGTAGGTTCTAGAAAGTTGGTATGCAGGTAAAGAATATTACCTCCAGATAAATGGGAATATAGGGAATATAACAACAGTCATCTCCTGGAATTCTGTAATAAAAGTGCTGCTCACTCAGTCATCTCTTAAATCCTCACAGCTGAGTCCTGAGGCCAATAAGTCATACTCTCACAGCTGAGTGATAGAACACTGGCTCAAAGCCTACATATGTAGGAGATGAAACCCAAAACCTTGCAAATAATAACATTTTAGATACTTATTAAATATAATAAGTTTTCAGAGACTTCCGTGCATTTGGTGCTGATTTAGGTCAATGCCTCCATACATCTTCGCTGTATTTTGCAATGAGATTTTTTTACATGGGGACGAGGTGAAGCTAGAGCACCTTATGAACCATCAGATAAATTATATTCATCACATTCATTACAACTATGATGACAAGGTCTCTTATTGTACTCTAACACCTTGGCCCTAATAAATTACATAGTAACCAGATACTTCTTAAACACAATAGTCCATGACTACTGTAGATGAGCAGGACTTTATGCAAGGGTGGGCAAAGTATGACTCATAGACTAGTCACCTGTTTTCTTTTCTTTTCTTTTTTCCTCTTTTTTTTTTTTAAGACAGGGTCAGGGTCTTGCTCTGTCACCCAGGCTGGAGTGCAGAGGCACGATCTCAGCTCACTGTAGCCTCCACCTCCTGGAAGCAAGCATCCTCCCACCTCAGCCTCCCAAGTACCTGGGACTACAGGCATGAACCACCACACTGGACTATTTTTTTGTAATTTTTGTAGAGATGGGGTTTCTCCATGTTACTCAACTCAGATTGGTCTCACACTTTGGACTCAAGCGATCTACCCACCTCGGCCTCCCAAAGTGCTGGAATTATAGGTGTGAACCATTGCGCTGGCCCCACCTGTTTTCATAAAGTTTTGTTAGAATACAGACACACTCATTGATTTACATATTAACTATCTTTATTTTTGCCCTACATCAACAGAGTTGAGTCAACTGTTGTGGGCCAATAACGTAAACTGTTGGCTAATAAAGCTGAATATATTTACTATATGGTCCTTTAAGAAAAAGTTTCCCTGCTCCTGCTTTATGATATAAATGTTGACATTTCACAAACCAACATTTTGGAGATGGTCTGACAAATATAAACATACTCATAAAATAATACTTCATTCATTCAACAAATATTTACAGAGTGTACACTATAGGTCAGGCAGCATATACGTAGCTATGAATAAAAAAGACAATATCCTTGATGAATGAATGAAGAATGAATGCACGTGATGAATGAAGACAATATCCTTGCCAATTAAGATAAACACATAATCAAAAATCAAAGCAAAATTACAACTCTGATCAGTTTCATGGGACAAAATAATAGTACATGTGAAAATTTTGCAAGAAATTGGCTTATCTAATTGTGGGGCTGACAAGGCAAGTCTGAAATTCATAAGACAGACCATTGGGGAGGGCAGGCTGGAACACTCTGCACGGCTGAAGCTGCCATCAGCCTCCCTTCTTTAAGGGAGACTCAGCTGGGCTTTTGAGACCCTTTGTTTGAGTCAGTCCAGGTTACCTAGGATATCCTTCCCTACTTAAAGTCAACTGATTATGAGTTTTAATCACATCTATAAAATGCCTTCGCAGTAACTCCTGGATTGGTGTTTGAATAACTAGAAACTATAACATAGCCAGATTGACACATGAAAAGATCATCATGGTGCTGGACTATTTTTTGTTTTGTTTTATTTTCATTTACTTTATTTTATTTTACTTTATTAGAGATGTTTATATTTTTAACAACTCGAGTTATAATTTACACACAATAAAATTCACCCATTTTAAACGTACAGATGGATGAGATTTGGTAAATGTACACAGGTGTGCAAATAGCATCACAGTTAAGGTTTAAAGCATTTTCATTGCCCTAGAATGTTCCCTGTGTCCTTTTACAGTCAATTTTTGTTCTTATCTCCAGCCCCTGGTAAACATTGATCTGCCTTCTAACATTTTAGCCTGGCTTTTCTGGAATTTCACATGAGTGGAATCATACAGTATCAAGTCTTCTATATCTGGCTCTTTTATTTAGCATGCTGTTCTTGAGATTCTTCCATGTTGTGGTATGTATCATTGGTCATTCCTTCTTAGTGCTATGTAGCATCCCATTGTGTGGATATACCACTTATTTATTTACCAGTTGATGGACACTGAGGTTGGTTGGTTCCATTTGGGGAGTATTATGAATAATGATGCAATTAACATTCATGTACAAGTCTTTGTGTAGACATATGTTTTAACTTCTTTTAGGAAAGTAGCTAGGAGTAAAATTTCAGATCATCTCTTTGTGAATGCTTATGAATGTATGCTTTCAGAAAAGGCCAGGTCATTTCTTGAACGCTTTGCTGCTTAAAAATTTCTTCTGCCAGATACCCTAAATCATCTCTCTGAAGTTCAAAGTTCCACATACCTCTAGGGTAGGGAAAAATTCCACCAGTCTCTTTGCTAAAGCATAGCAAGAGTGACCTTTGCTCCAGTCTTAATAAGTTCTTCATCTCCATCTGAGACCACCTCAGCCTAGACTTCACTGTCCATATCATTATCAGCATTTGGGCACCTATGAGGGAGGCTGGGAGGAGGGAGAGCATCAGGAAAAATAGCTAATGGATGCTAAGCTCAATAACCTGGGTGATGGGATGATCTGTGCTGTAAACCATCATGGCACACAGTTACCTATGTGACAAACCTGCACATCCTGAAAATAAAAGTTGAAAAAAAAACCCGTTAGACAAGTCTCTAGGAAGTTCCAAATTTTCCCACATCTTCCTGTCTTCTTCTGAGCCTTCCAAACTGTTCCAACTTCTGCCTGTTACCCAGTTCCAAAGTTGATTCCACATTCTCAATTATCTTTGTAATAGTACCCCACTCTCAGTACCAATTTTCTGTACTAGCTAGTTTGTACAATGCTGTAAAGAAATAGCTGATACTGGGTAATTTATAAAGAAAGGAGGTTTAATTGACTCACAGTTCCACATGGCTGGGAGCCCTCAGGAAACTTACAATCATGGCAAAAGGCAAAGGGGAAGCAAGGCACATCTTACATGGTGGCAGGAGAAAGAGAGAGAGTAAGGGAAACTGCCACTTTTAAGCTATCAGATCCTGTGAGAACTCCCTCACTATCATGAGAACAGCATGGGGGAAACTGCCCCCATGATCCAATCACCTCCCACCAAGTCCCTCCATCAACTTGTGGGGATTATAGTTCATGAAGAGATTTGGGTGGGAACACAGAGCCAAACCATATTATGTGCCAAGTCCTTCTCACATTGAATCACTCTTCCTTTCTCTTCTGTAGTTATATCTCCCTCTGCCTTCATGTGTCCCTTATGGAGACCGTTATGATTCCATTGGGCCCATCCAGATAATCCAGGATAATCTCCTCATGTCAAGGTGATTGACGCTAATCACATTTGCAAAGTTCCTTTTGCCACTTATGGTAATATGTTTGTAGGTTCTGGGGATTTAGGACATGGACATCTCTGAAGGGCCATTATTCTGCCTTTCACATATGGTGTACTATACTAATGACATTTGGATGTTAAACCAACCTTGCATTCCTGAGATAAAACCCAGTTGATCATGGTGTATTATCATTTTTACATATTGCTGGATTCAATTGGCTAAAATTTTGTTTAAAACTTTTGCATCTGTGTTCATAAAGGATATTAATCTCTAGTTTTCTTACGAAGTATTTGGCTGGCTTTTGTAGCAAAGTAATACTGTCCTCATAAAATGAATTGAAAATTATACCTTCCCCCTCTCTTTTCTGAAAGGATAATTTGTATTATTTTTTCCCTAATGCTTGGTAAAACCTCACCACCAAATCCGCCTTAATATATTTTGCAAAGATATTTTAAATTACTATTTAAATCAGCTTGCTTTGTAAAGAGATATTCAGATTTTTTGCAGTTTTTTTTTTCCTTGAGTCAATTTCAATAGTTTCTACTTTCTAAGGAATTTATCTATTTCACATAAATGCATAAATTTTTGGTATAAAGTTGTTTGTAACATTCTGTTATCATTCTTTTAATGTTTGTAGGGTCTATAGTGATCTCAATCATCCAGATATTGATCATGATTTCTCTTTTTTCTTGATCAATGAGCTAAAGGTTATTCTACCTTATTAGTCTTTTTTAAAAGCTAACCTTGGCAATCTTGGTTTCCTCTATTGTTTATCCATTTCACATTCCACTGATTTCCATTCTGATTTTACTTTTTCCTTTTTTCTACTTGAATTTAATTTCTGTTTCTTTCTAGCTTCTTAGAAGCTTAGATCACTTGTTTTGGATCTTTCTTCTTCTCTAAAGCTAAATTTCTTTCTCAAAGGTTTACTTAACTGCATTTCAAGTTTACTTAATTGCATTTTTTAGCCAGGTACAGTGGTGCACAGATGTAGTCTCAGTTACTTGGGAGGGAAAGCTGAGGTGGGGGATCACTCAAGGCCAGGAGTTCAAGGCTGCAGTGAGCTATGATTGCACCACTGCACTTCAGTCTGGGGAACAGAGTGAGACCTAGTCTCTAAAACAAAAAGGAAAAGAAAAGAAATTTTGTTATACTTACATGTTCATTCATTTTATCATTTCCACATACTTGGGGTTTCCCACGTCTCTCTCTTTCTCTTCTTGATTCCTAACTGACATTGAAATCAGAGAATACATGCTGTGTTATTTCAGTATCTTTAAGTTTTTAAGACATATATTATGGTTTAGTACATGGTATACCTTAAAGAATGTTCCAAGTGCATGAAAAGAATGTGTTCTGCTGTTGTTTGGTGAAGTGTTCCACAGTTATCACTATATTTGATCCAGTTGGTTGATAATGTTGCTCAAGAGGCCAGTATCCTACTGGTTGTTTATTTACATGTTCTATCAATTACTGAGAGAAGAATGTTGAAATCTCCAACTGTAATTGTTGACTTCTCTATTTCTCTTTTCAATTATGTTTCAATATTTGCTTCATATATCTTGTAGCTCATTGTCAGATGCATTTATGCTTGTTTTCTTTCCCTACTGTATTCAGCCTTTCATCATAATAAAATACCTTTCTTTGTCTTTAGTAATGTTCTTTATATTAAAGTCTACTTCATCTGATTTTAATACAACCACTCAACCCTTGTATGTTTATATTTGTACAGGATACATTTTTCTATCCTTTTACTTTCAACCAATTTGTGCCTTTGAAATTAAAGTCCATCTTTTATAAGCAGCACATAATTAGACCTTGATTTTTCATTCAGTCTGACAATGTCTGCCTTTTGATTAGAATGTTTGGCACATTCATATTTAATATGATTATTGACATGATTTAACTTAGGCCTGCCAACTTGCCATTTGTTTTTTCTCTTCCTTTTTTTGTCCTATTCTTCTTTTCCTACTTTAATTGTGTTAAATATTTCTTACTATACAATTTTAACTTTTCCAACTATTAGTTATATTTATTTGCCTTCTTTATCTTTTCGGTTGTTGATTCCTGATGAAAATATATATATTTAACATATTACAATATTATTCAAGTTAATATTTACTTACTCCAAGTAAAATATAGAAATTTTGCGACAAGTTCAGTCATTCTCCCCACATTATATGGTCACATGCATTGCACACATATACAATATGAACCCCAAAATACAGTCATATGTCTTACAAATAAATTAAGAGAGCGAAATACACACATGCATAGACACACACACACACACACACACGCACACACACACACACTCTATTACCATTTCCAGTTCTATCGATTCCTTCTCATAGATCTGATTTACTGTCTGATGTCATTTACCTTCTGCCTAAAGGACTTCTTGTAGCAATGTGGCACAAGCGTATTACCAATAATTTATTTCAATGCTTTTTCTTTATCTGTAGATGTCTTCATTTTGTTCTCATGTATTTTAAGTCAAATGTTCTGAGATATAATTTATATACATTCAATATTATCCTTTTTAGCTGCGCAGTTCTGAGTTTTGATTGACAGAAATAGTCCTGTAACCATTTCCAAAATCAATATATAAAATTAAAGAATTCTCAAATTCTTTAATACCTCTTTGCAATAAATCTCTCTTCCCATTCCCAGGCCCTGGCAATCATTGATCTATTTCCTGTTTCCATGGTTTCACCTTTTTTAGAATGTCATATAAATGGAGTTGTCCACTATGTAGCCATTTGAGTATTGCTTATTTCACTTGGCAAAATGGAGTTGAAAATCTTCCATGTTGTTGGATTATCACAGGTTGTTTCATTTTATTACTATGATACATAGTATAGATGAAAACAGTTTGCCCATTCCCCCTATTGATAGACATTTGGATTGGTTTCCATTTTCGGCTCTTATGAATAGAATTGTTCTAAAAATCCACATACAAATTCTTGTGTGAACATAAGTTTTCATTTCCTTTGAGTAAACAATAGTAGTTGGATTACTGGATCTTGTTGCAAGCATGTGTTTAACTAAAAAATGGCCAACCTGGTTTCCAAAATGGCTGCATCTTTTGCATTCCTACAGAAATATGTGATCATTCCAATTTCCCTGTTTCCTTACCAGCACTTGGTTTTGTCAGGTGTTTTTTTGTTTTTGTTTTTGTTTCCATTTGCATAGGTATGTAGGTCTACCTCATTGTACTTCAAATTGGATTTTATCTAATTTCTAGTGATGTGAGCACATTTTCGTGTGAGTTTATCATCCATGTATCTTCTTCTATGTAGTGTCTACTTGAACTTTTGCACATTTAAAATGTTCATTTTTAATTGAGAAATAATAATTATATATATTTATGTTGTACAATGTAATGTTTTGAAATATATATACATTGTGGAATGATTATATCATATCATTAACACAAGGTTAACATCAAACTAGTTAACATATCCAATATGTAAGAAACTCTCAAAATGTAATAATAAGAAAACAATCTTATATATTCTGAATGCAGGTTTTTATCATACATATTTTTTGCAAGAACTTTTCCCTTTCTATGGCTTGTCTTTTCATCTTAACAGTCTTTCAAAGAACAAAAATTTTCAATTAATTCAAATTTATCTGTATTTTCTTTTATGAAACATGCCTTTTAGAATCATACTTAAAAATTTTTGACCTATGCCAAAGTCATGATTGTCTTTTATGTATTCTTCTACAAGTTTTATAGTTTTAGATTTTACATTTAAGTCTGTAATCTATTTTGAGTTAATTTCTGTATATGGGAGAAGGTAAGGGTCGCTTTGCAAGCGAGTGATGAGCAAAAGTCCTTTAATGATGTGAACCTGAGTCTGCTTGCACTTCACCCCCTAGCAATTTATATCACATTTTATTTGGCTTAGAAATAGTTACCTAAAACAGTGGGACTGCTTATCTTTCTCATTTTTCTTCAAATATGGGTGCTTCAAAATTACTTCTATAATTATATTAAATTTATTTATCTGAATTTATTAGTTAATGATTACAGTTTAAATGTCTTTTGACGTCTCACTCTGAGTTAAAAGCTGTAGTCAAATAAAGAAGCAGGGGGTGCATCCTATTTCTCTCCATTCTCAGGTATAAAGGCTAACAAAGCCAACATAAATAAATAAATTATAATGCACACTTTTGAAGACTGTCCTATTAGAGCAAAGATCTAGCTGCTTTTGTAGCTGCATGAATCTGGCATCCCCCAAACCCTTCAGCATTTTCAACATTACTATAATAAAATTCCTTACCTAGTGTCTCTTGGTATTGGTAACTCCCTGTCTACTGAGTTTGTCATCTTATAATTAAGCATCAATTCTTCCAGGATTCCTCCTGCTTCTACTGCGATAATCAGGCTACCTAGGGTTCCCAGAATCCACCAATAATAAACATCCAAAATAAAACAAATGAATTAAAAATCTACATTGAAATGGCAAATGCTTTGGAAGCCATAGCTGAACTTCCATTCCATAGTATGCCTCAAGAATGGAGTCGTGATCAATGTTTTGATCTGCAGGGATCTGACTGGTTATGGGACCTCCAAAAATGAAATAAATGCTTCCTCCTGAGGTTATTGCTCTGCCTGCAAAATCAGAAAAACGAATCTGGCAAGTGGGTCTAGTCCTAACTCAAGTTGCCTTCCTGGGATTCACAGTCTCGGTCCAGTTCCCGGACCTAAGTCCGTTGTAGACACGGAGTCTTTATGGAGGAGGAGGTCAGTTTCCTTGAGGAAGAGCCCTGTAATGTGGCTGTTTATGCCAAGCAGGGAAGTAAGTGTATGGAGACTCTGGCAAGTCCCCATAGGAGAATCACAGAACAGACTCTTAGGCTTTGGGAGTAAAGCCATGTTCTCTCACGCTAACAGTAATTTTCCATTTGAAAAGCAACTTCTTGCTTGATTTCAGGATCTGGTCAAGATAGAATGTTCACCGTGGATCCCTGAGTGACCATGTAACTAAACTGTTCTTCATTAATTGGATGTTATCTGACCCACAAAACCATTAAAAATGGGATGTTCATAGCAGCGTTCCATTATAAAATGGAAATGGCATTCTACACTCTATCAACTGTCCATTGCTACACTCTTCTGCTGATTTTGCCTGGGCTCACAAGGGTACAGTGGGATTCACTGGGAGCCACTGGTGTAACAATGTACCATGTGTCCATATAAGATGGGTCCGATCAGGCCTGGAAAGTATGAGAAATCTGCTTAAGCAAGTGGCCAAAACTACTACAATAGTTGATACTTCTCTTCATCTCTTTTCCATCAACCACATCTATGACCTCACCAATCTTTCAGTCCTCCCCTAATCCAATGATTCATACGCTTCCCACATACAAAATACACTCACCCCCTCCAAAGGCCTCCAGAGTTTCACCCAATCATGTCACCAGGCTACAGACTTATAATCTCTTTATCTTTATTCAGGTTTAGACAAGACTTTTTGATATCAGTAACTCTTTCTTTCTTTCTTTCTCTTCCTTCCTTCCCTCCCTCCCTCCATCCGTCTGTCCTTCCTTCCTTCCTTCCTTTTTCTTTTTTTTTTTCTTGAGACAGGGTCTCGCTGTCACCCAGGCTGGAGTGCAGTGATGCCATAATGGCTCACTGCAACCTCAACCTCAAACTTCTGGGCTCAGGCAATACTCCTGCTTCATCCTCCTGAGTAGCTGGGACCACAGGCATGCACCACCACGCCTGGCTAATTTTTTTAAAATTTTTTTGTAGAGGCAAGGTTTTGCTATGTTGTCCAGTCTGGTCTCAAACTCCTAGCTTCAAGTAATCCTCCTGCCTCAGCCTCCTAAATTGCTGGGATTGTTGGTGTGTATCAGTAACTCTTAATCTAGAGATATGTGAACAAAAAGTCAAATTATCTGTTCCCACATATCCAACACACCATGTTGAGACAAGAACAGGGTAATTGCAGTCAATGTTCCCACTTAAAATAGAAAGCAATGAGAGGCATACAGTAGTCATTGGCCCATAGCAATTCTGAAATACACCCAGTCATGCACCTCCAAGGATCCTGAAGTGTTCCACGATTAAGGCTTAATTCTGCTTTCTAATAATTGTTTGCAGTTCTTGGTTCCTTCCTCTAGAAGTTCTCAGCTTTGCTCTGTGAGAGCTTTTTCCTTCCCATAAGCAGTGTCTTGCACTTGCATGCGAGCAGTTTTCTCTTCCTGTTTCCTGCGCATAGAAAGTCAGGGAACCAAACCCTCGTTGCCTTTTGATTTGATCCTGTCTCTTTCAGTTCAAGTTGGTAAATCCCTTTAAAGACATTGTGAGCTCTTTATAGAATGTTTGCAGTTTACCCTGTGTCCCAATCTAAAACCATCATTTCTTTCAAGACAGATCACTGTACTTTGGGCCTCACCTAGAACTTCTAGAGGACAATTCCCTGAAGATTCTTTAAAGTGCTTTTTTTTCTAGCTGAGGAAGTAACCAGGCACCATCTTAAATCTTCAGAGATCTTGCATATCTCTGAAGCCATATAGATGAAGCCATATCCTTCATCTGATCCTTATCCTGTGACTATTTTTTAGTTTGAGACTTTCTCACTCTAGGAAAGACTAGGGATAATAAACTGTATTATTTTCCAAACAGCAAGTTGTATCTCTGTTATATTTCCCCTAAATTCTGCTTACAAACAGAACAGTTCTCTCTTTTCCAATGGTTATTATACGCAGCTAAGAAAGCCATTTGGCACTTTCAACATTCTACCTGGAAATCCCCTTAGCCAGATCCATACGTTCGGGTACATTTTCTAACTTCCAAGTTACTGCAGGTGACAATTCTGCAAATTGATTAGCTGCTACAAAACTCAAAGTGCCATCTTTCCAGCTTCCAATAGCAGTTTCCTTGCTTCTCTTCCAGCACCTGCTCACTACCTGGTCCCAAAGTCAAGGCCTCGTGTTTTACTTTTATTACAGCAGCACCTCACTTCTAGATACTGATTTTTGTTTTGATTACCTATTTCTGAATAACAAACCACCCCAGAACATAGAGACTTATAAGAAAAGCCAAAAAAAAAAAAAAAAAAAAAAAAAAAAAAAAAAAGGATTTACTATTTCTTATGATTGTGTTGATTGGCTGGAAGTTTCTCCTGTTGAGCAACAGCTGCTTGGTGGAATGGTGGAATGGTCTTCTGAAAACTCTTTTATGACACCAGCTGGGAGACAGCACCCTGTGAGGTTTGGATCCTGCCTTACAAGGTGTGGTAAATGCCATAAACTGGCAACCAATGCATGTGATGTCACTTATCCAGAATGCATATAATGTATAGCCAATAACCAATAGGGCAAAGGGGGTTTGGCCCCATCACTATTTTACCAAATAATGTTTGCTTCTCCTTCCTACTACCTTGGCCTGATGGGTTTAGAGGTCCTAGTGTTTCAGGGAGGAAAGCGTCTACCAAGGAACATACAGTAGTCCTGATGCATTGGAAGCTGAGATTGCACCCTACCCTTTTGGGACTCCTTATGCTACAAAACCAATAGGCAGAAAAGGAGTCCCTAACTGTTGTGATGATTACCAGAGAGAAATTGAGGTGGTGCTCTTTAGCATGAGCAAGAAGACATATTTTTGAATCCAGGAAATTCTCTAAAGCATTTCTTATTAGTTGTTCAATAATCCTGGAAAACTGGCAACGTAATAATCATACCACCAGGGTCCCTCGTTCTAACCAATGAAAGTTGGAGTCACCTATTCAGGTAAAGAAGTTCATCCTGCTGATGTGCTGACAGAGGGTAGAGAGAACACAAGACGATAATAGAAAATGGCATCTACTACTATGATCTTAGCCCTTAGGAGACCAGCTAGAAGTGTAGGTACGATAGCAGTGATGTAATACGGTACAAACAGGCTGGAACCCATAAGCATGTGCTGAAACACCACAAGGATGAACTGAACCTTGTGTCAATTTTTATTGTCTCTGGCCTTGGTGAGAGCCCTTCATCACAGAGCTAAAATCACACACATCTGGCTGGGCAGTTGGAGAAGCTGGAGGAAGATCCAGAGGAAGGTGGAGCAGTTGCAGGCCCAGCTGCTGCTTCACACCAATGAAGTGATCCAGCAGATCAGCAAAAATACATGTTCCTTAGTGTTTCCAACAAAACTTAACTTTTAATACACTGTTTACCCATGTATTATCTCATTTAGTAAAAGATCTATGAAGTAGGTATGTGGCAGCAGAATTCCAAGATGCCCCCAATATTCCTATCCCTTGTGTACACACAAGATAGTCAATCAAACGTTAACCTAAATAGTGCTGTGAAGAAATTTTTCAGACATAATTAATGTCCCAAATCAGTTGACCTTAAGATAGAGAGATGATCTAGGTGCGCCTTACCTAACCACATGAGCCTGTTTAAAAAAGAGAAAGAGAGTTTTATGTAGCTGGTAGCAGAAGATGTCAGGGAATTAAAACATGGGAAGGATTTGATGTGACATTGCTGGCTTAAAAATGGAGGGACCACATGGCAAGAAATTCAGATAGACTCTCAGAGCAAAGGACAGCCCCCTCACTGACAGCCAGTAAAAAAATGGAGACACCAGTCCTACAACTACAAGAAACTAAATTCTGTCAATAACAAGAATAAGCTTGGAAGTGTATTCTTTCCCAGAACCTCCAGACAAGAACCCAGCCTGGTTGACACCTTGATGTCAGTATTGTGATATCCTGAGCTGAAAACCCACCCACATCCTGCTGGGACTTCTGACCTACAGAACTATGAGCTAATAAATGGCTACTTTTAAAGCTGTTATGTTTGCAGTAATTGTTTAGCAACAGAACACTAATACTAGATATTATTGTTATTACTACTTTAGAGGGCCTAAAAAGTTAAGTAATTTGTCCAAGATAACTTAAATTCTGAAGGTTCTGCTATTATTTTGTTACTTCATGAAATATCTTGGGAAAAATTTATCCTGGCATTATTGTATTATCTTATATCCTTGTTTTCTCCTGAATTATATTTGTTTGAAAAGGATCACATAACTTCATGGAAAATAAGTGTGTGATTTTCATTTTTATGTTACTATAAATAGTAACACAAAACATACCATCATGTTTAATGCATAAGACAGAATTGTATTCCAGTAGGCTCAAAGATAAGGAAGAAGCTAGAGATTTGAGAGATGATGTAAAAGGCTTTCACATGGTGAATAATAGACAGGCTATCCAAGAGTTTAAAAGTAAGGGAGACGGAAACAAATCAACATGTTTAGGAGGTAAAGGATGCCTTGGGGTCTTAGTTGTGGGTCAGAGAATGGCTGATAGAAGTTGAAAAGGAACCAGATAATCTCTAAGGGGACTTCCAGCTCCTACGGTTTCTGGTTCTATGATCTTTATATTCTTTTTTTTTTTTTTTTTTTTTTTGCCAGTGTTCTCTTTCCCACTACTAAATGGGTCTTGAGCCAGCAGATAAATTCAAGTAGGCACAACAACTCAGAGAATTGAGGCCACAAATAAGATCTGTTCTTCTTTATTTGCCACAGCAATCAATTTCATGGATCTCAGTGTTAAACTGTAGCATCACTCCATCCTGGCTGGGATGCTTGTTTCCCTTGTGGACTCTTTGGAATTTTTATTGATTCTACATTTTATTTCTTCCACTTTAGTTCTAAATAAAGAGAAAATAGGAGGAAATACCTACCTAAACAAATCACTGAGTGTTGAGAAATACTGTAAGAAGAGAAAGTGAATCCATTTATATGGTTACCAAAGTTTCTTATGAGCCTAAAAAAGATAATTTGCCACTATCTGTTTTCAACAAAAAGAAAGAAAACCAAACTTTTCTGTGTTGTAATTAGAGGATTATATAGTATTTCTTGAACATTTACTATCCACTAGGCCCCTTCCCCTTCAGACTGAAGGAGAAGCAATTGATGCCAAAGTCTTGGGTTCTTTTTATTCTGAAGAATGGTGTATTCCTGAGTCAGGGCACCAGAAGTAAGTGGAAATATATGTCAGGGTCCAACAGACCATATCTAGCATTCCATCCTTCTGGCCACAGTAATTGATTCAGAGATGGGGTTTATTAACTAATCAGAGACAATAAGAACCATTTTTGGTATTTTACTGTTACTAGAAGAGGGGGATTTGCAAATGTCCATCAATGATAGACTGGGTAAAGAAAATGTGGCACATACACACCATGGAATACTATGCAGCAATAAAAAAGAATGAGTTCATGTCCTTTGCAGGGACGTGGATGAAGCTGGAAGCCGTCATTCTCAGCAAACTAACACAGGAACAGAAAACCAAACACTGCAGATTCTCACTCAAAAGTGGGAGTTGAACAATGAGAACACATGCACACAGGGAGGGGAACATCACACACTGGGCCCTGTCAGGGGGTGGGGAGCAAGGGGAGAGAGAGCATTAGGACACATATCTAATGTATGCAGGGCTTAAGACCCAGATGATGGGTTGATAGGTGCAGCAAACCACGATGGCACATGTATACCTATGTGACAAACCTGCACGTTCTGCACATGTATCCCAGAACTTACACTAAAATTTTAAAAAAAGAGGGGGATTTGAAATTGGATTGAAGTCCCAGTGGACTTGAAACTGGGTGGATACAAATCTGGAACCACTTGAAAATACACAGTCTTCAGTTTTCTTAATCTTACAGATGATTAGCATCATGAATTAATAAATATCTGACATGTATTAAGTGTTATTATATACCAGAACCTGTGCTCCACTGTTTCTATGGGTTATTGCAGAACAGCTTTCTGGGTGGCCTTGAACCAGTTCTTCCTCCTTACACACTTGTTTCTCAAGAATAACTGTAGTATATGCTGGGAATGCAACATCCTGAAATTAAAAAAAAAAAAAAAGTAGTCTGGAATAGCCTGTACTCTCCTGCTCCCCCTGCACATAGAATATCTTTCAATGCTTTAGCTCAGCAAATCTTGCTCTGAGGTATAAAACCCAGGGCAGGGTGATTTCTGGGGGCACTCAGCTGCAGCGTGAAGTGGAGCACATCCAGATGAGATTTCACCCACCCGGGGCAGCTTTCCTGAGTCTTGGGAAGCCAGCTCACCCTGGTCCTAGGCTTCTCTTGTCCCTTGCTGCCTGTCTGCAGGTAATAAACCTACTTCATGTAACTTGCTGTGTGTATGAGTATTCTATCTCGCCAGACTCAGACAAGTAGTAAAATTGCCACCCAAGATGGGCTGAAGTGGTAACCAATGCACAATGAAGCTGCTTCACAGTTACGGTATGTAGCAGTCATAATAATCCTATGCAGTAGGTAATGTTATTATCCCCACTTGTGGTGGGCAATGAGATATGCCCTCCGGATCCCCCTTCCAGTAAGGGCTTGTTGACCTAGCTGCTAGAAGGCTGTTGTAGACTGCATTTTGCTATCAGGTGCAAAGAGCTGCCTGGCCCAAAGTCATGCCCTTGCCCAACTGAGGGACATCCAGTGACTGAGCTGGTGGAGGCCATTTGGAACCAAATCAGGACAACTCCAATGGGCCATTTTAGCTCAGAGCTCCCAGTGAGATCAGCCAAGGCAAGGGTCCTGTGCCCAGTCCTACTTCATTTCTATCCCTTCCATAGGTGTTGATCACACAAACATTACATCCTTTAGAAACGTCCCTAATAAACATTAAGCACACAAAACTTCATCTCAGAGTCTGCTTCCCAAAGAACACTATCTACAACACCATTTTTCAGATAAAATGATATAGCAGAAAATTCTTGCCTTAACCCATCACTTGGCATAGGTGCTGGGGGCTGAGACTGCCTAAATATTTGCATCTGGCTTAAGATCACCAAGGATGACCTGGAATTTGGAACTGGACTCTGAACTGTATTTCTAAGAGGGAAGGTAGGTAACGTCCTAGCAGGAGAACTATGTAAGCTTGGGAATGCGGAGCAGGAGCTTCACTTCTGCTGAAAGCAGACAAGATCCAGTAGGTTAATAATTGCTTGTTGTCCAGGGTGGCTATAGGAGGTGACTCACAGAGAGTTGCAATAGCACACAAAAAAAGGAACTTTATCTGATTCTCTCCACCTCATATCCTCATTCCTTAAGAATTTCAGTAGAAAATAAAGAATCTAGGCATTTTAGCAAATGAATGAGAAAGAGCAACGTACCAATTTAATTCACTTATTTTGGCCTTGAATGTTTTTGTTGTGCAGATGTCATGCTAATTAGAATTAATTCCAGTAAGAGGTAAAGGAAGATTAACTAGGTTTCATTTATGTAATTTTTGTAATTGTCACCTCCCCTGGTCTTTTGAAATATTATATTCAAAGCTATTATAATTTTCTAAATTGCATTTTAATACATTTTTGGGGAGAAGACTATGATTAAAAAGGATATACCTGCTAAACAATGAACTAATAAAACATCATATAAGAAAGAATCTATCAAATAGTCTTCTGACTGCACTTATTTATCAAGCCATGAAATTAAAATAAAAATATATGATTTCAGGACATTCATAAGTATTTATGACTTAAGATTAGTAGAAATGGTGAACGTCATTTTAAAGTGTTAGTATCGGCAAGTCTGTGTGGTCTGCAGGATCCTCAATTCTTGCCTTCTCAGAAGAAAGAATTCGACTGAGGGGCATAAGGCAGAGTGAGAAACCGAGGCAAGTTTTAGAGCAGGAGTGAAAGTGTATTAAAAAGTTTTAGAGCAGGAACAAAAGGAAGTAAAGTACACTTGGAAGAGGGCCAAGTGGGCGACTTGCGAGATCAAGTGCACTGTTTGACCTTTGACTTCGGGTTTTATGCGTTGGCATACTTCCCGGGTGTTGTGTGCCTTCTACCCTGATTCTTCTCTTGGGGTGGGCTGTTTGCATGTGCCATGGTCTGCCAGCACTTGAGAGGGGCCACATGTGCAGTGTTTACTGGAGTTGTATGCATGCTCACTTGAGGCGTTCTTCCCTTACCAGCCAAGTGTTCCTAGAAGAAGGTTAGATGACAGTTAAACTGTGCCATTTTGCCTTAGTCCACATGCTTGAGCCCACTCACCTAAGTCCTGAGATGTCATCAGGAAGCTGCTGATCACCAGCTTCGGTGTTTCTGTCTATTGGGAGACCACTTTTTCTGGTGCCAGCTGTGACCAATTATTATTGTAGACGGACAGTTTAACAACTGCCTGACCATCACCTGACGGTCTCCTGGCATGCCTGGTGGGGAAGGCCCTCTTCTGCCCTGCTCATGTCTGACTAGCTACCTACTGTAACAAAAATAAGGAAAACACGTAGGAGATAAAAGTGTATCAAGGGAAAAGGGCATAACTCAATAATTGTTCTAAATTATCCTAAAGTTCTAAAGACCAGCCCCAAAATGCCTCAGAGCTAAAACCCCTCTGAAACCCCCTCCTTAGCAAAAATTCTTAACTTTTTACACCTAGAAATATTTCTTAAGAATTAAGATGTATTTCTTAATACATCTCCAAATTTATAATCAATCAAAGAAATACCAACCGCTGTTTACAGATATTCCCTAAATAAGAGACATGAATGAAATCCATCTGAAGTGGCTACTGCTGTCTGTGGTATATACCCTGGGGTTCATTGTCATGCACTGAGAAAGAATTCGGCACACAGACACAGGTGAGTGGGTTAAGGAGCAGAAAGTGTAATAGAAGAAAGGAGAGAGGAGGGGAGAGCAGCTCCTCACGAGCAAGAGACACGTGGAAAAGGGAGAAGGTAGAGGACCGCAGCAGATTTTATACGCAGGCTGGAGAAGGCGGTGTCTGATTTACAGAGGGCTCACAGGTTGGTTCACTCAGGTATGATGTCTACATAGTGTGCTGGGAAGGCTAGTTGCCCCACCCTAATCTTCTTATGCAAATGGACTTTCCAGTTGATTGGCACCATCTTGTCTGCTCGTTTACAGTACACGTGGCTAACAGAGACGGGAAGATGGGACCGCCATATTTAACATCTTTAGTCCTTAGTTCCTGCCCGCATTCACCTGTGCAAGCTCCCAGCTTGCAGGCTGCTTGCTCTCTTAGAAAATTATTTGGGGCTGATTTTCATTAAAAAGAAAAGCCTTACCTAGGACTCCCATACCCTTACTATCTGCCTAAGTAATTGCTTCTTAACTCCTATATCACATTCAGTACACTGGAAGTACAAATGTAAAATAGAATAATTTTAACACTTATCTCTTGATACTCTTTAAGATGTCCTTTTATAGACAAAATAAATTTTTTAAAATTTATGTTCCCATCTCTGCATTTTAAATATATTGTTTATCTGTGGTAGGGTTTTTGTGGAGAAAGCAGGCAGGGGAGTGAAACTGAAAAAGAACTAGGTCTCTTAATAGTTAGACCCACAACAGCTAAGGTCTTAAATCTAAAACAAGTACTGGCCCAAGGGTGGAGACCAAAAACTCCCAACCATCTTAGTTCTGGTGTCAGCCTGTCTAAGGCAAGGCCAGATCTACACATGGGCCAAGAAGATAGAATGGTTTATAAATTGCCGCAATCAATGACAGAGAAAAACAAGATTACCCAAAACAAATGACAGCCCGTCAAGATAATTCAGTTTGTTAATTTTACTAGCTAATAAGTCTCCATTACAGCTTTATATGTGGGAGACAAACCAGTCTCATCTGTATGACATAATCAATCAATTATAAAAGTCACTGTGAGATTTGGAGCACTGATTTACCCTGAAAGATCTTCTCCCCCAGGCCTTGCCTTCACCTGAAATCATAAAATAGATATATAAGTGAGATTTCAGACAAGCTAAACACAATGTAGTTTGAGAGACCAGGCTCTCAGGAGCTCAGAGGAGCCACAATTTGCAGCTCTGAAGCACAGCTCGCCTGATTTTCAGATGTGGCTGCAGTCTCTTAGTTACACCCATGCAGATCACTTTATCAGAACTCTACGGAATAAATGAATGAATTCAGTTAAGCCAATTGCTCTTGTCTCTGGTGTTTATCAAATCCCAGGCTGTGTTAATGGGATCCATCTCATTCAACACGTGCTCTTATGCCATTCACAAAGTGCTATTGCCCACATCACCCCGGCAGCTGTTTCAAGTAGGGGAGTTTTCAAAGTATTTGAAGGAGACAAATAGGTTACTTCCAACTCTTGACTTTCTTATTTAGTCTAATATCTTGTAAGAAAGATACTTTGTGAAATCATTCTACTGGTAAAAGTATATATCATCAAAATTAGCAGGCATACCCATAGCAGCTTCACAGATTAAACAGAATGCCCTTTACACAACTATAGTCAACATGGGTTGTTCTTTTAATGTTCTAAGGCTGTGTCCACCGAAATCCTGCATCTTGCATTTGTATTCCTGGTCTCTCAGGGATTATTTGGTTCAGTTGTTCTTTGTTTATTTGTAACACTATCACTAGATCCAGCAGGCATTGTGGAGCACGTATTACACATACTACAGATATTACACATACTCATATCTTCTGTATATGGGATATATGACTCAGAAGTAATAGCAAGTCAGATTACAACCTCTTAGGGAAAATCAACAGCAAATACAAGCTCACAGGCCGTGTGTACGGTTGACTTTTACATGACTTTGGATGCAAATTGACACAAACACCTCTCCATATTACAGTCATTTTTAGAGGGCAGACAGCATTCTTGAGGGGACCTGAATTGCTAGGTAATTAAAATGTATGTATGTAGAATAAAATAATCTTGGAAATAAGAGGTTTCCGTAAGCCTTCTCTCTAAAATAAGGTCACCTTCTTTGAGGTAGAGATTCTGTGCCTTGTGGAAGGAAAGCCACTTCATAAAGCAGCACAAGAATAGCCAGTTATTGAAAGGGCCATTATAAAATTACTAGCCAATGGTATTCGCTACTCTTACAATTTGTCAATCCATTCATCCCTAGGAAAAAGACAGCATAAAAGAGAGTTCTGTTCATAGGTAGAAGCAATTTATGGGAAGACTTTGGAAATGTAGAACCATTGTTTTTGATGACCATAAGAAAAAGAGGGGGTGCAAGAGGGGAGCACTATGAGGGGCCCCTGGAATAACAGCACAAAGCAAGTTAGATTCAAAGAGTGGAGTAGACCTTTGTCTAAGGGGCTTATCCTGACAAATTCAACTTTGAAGGCAGCCTGGGTCATTCTTGGAAAAGGCCATTCTTTGTCTCCAGTGACCCCAGAGACATCATATAAGGATGGGGTGATGATGCAGCAGCCGGGACCAGGTCCCAGTTGCAGTGGACAGGACAGAAGGGACTGAATGGGGCAGCAGGCTGGGGCGCCACCAGGTGCAAGCAAAGCTCAGGGATAGGGCCCCTCCCCTCCGTCCCGGCCGCTCGCTGCGCCCCCTCTGGGCGGTGCAGGCTCCGGCTCCCGCGCCGGGGCTGCCTCTCACGGATTTCAGCCCGGTGGGAGGCAGTGCCCAGAGCCTCTTTTTCCTTATCTCACAAAACCCTAAAAGCCGAACCCCTACAACCAGCAGACAAAACTGCTCCCCGAGCTTCGGCTCTTTCCTGCTTTCCAGGCGTTTCTCCGGGAATAACTTACTTAGTGGCACTGGGAGAAAGGTTGGGACTGGGGGGTCGGGGACCGAAACCCAAAAGATTCCCCCAGCATGGAGCACCCACGTTTCCAGTGGCGGGGGATGCACGTTGGTTTGTGCCCAGCCCGCCCCCACCAAGCCCGGTCCTCGACGCGCTGACACGCTAGCTGGCATGGGCGGCGGGGTGGGCGTCTCTGGGTCTGTGGCTCTGTCCTGCTCGCCCCCGCCCCTTCCTCCCGGACCGCGCCGGCGCTGTGCGGCTTTTTCCCCAGCACGCGGCGCTGCACTCGCTTTTATCTCGGAGCCGCGTCGCTTCGTGCGCTGCCAGCGGGGCTCAGCCAGTCGGCTGGAATTGAGTAGCATTCATTGAATCTGCGGATTTCATGACGTCTCTCTGCGTGGTCCACCACTTTTCTCCTAACCGGGGATTTTTTTTTTCTTCTGCCACTCTTATCTTTCCCCACTTCATTCCACCCAGTCTCCCTCCCCCGTCCCTGCCCAAACGCGCGCCCCTCCGCCCCTCCCTTGGCCCCAGCGCCCAGCCCTGCTCTCCGCGCTCGGCCAGAGGGAGCCAGTCCGGAGACGGCCGCACCTGGCTGGAGAGGCTGGGCGGGCGGAGGGGTGGAGACCCGCGGACGCCGGGAAGCCGGACCTGGAGCCGGAGCAGCCGCGAGCAGAATGGAGTCTCCTAACAGCCTCTCGGTGCTGATGTGAAATTTGACCATCTGATTCCAGTTTTTTTCTTTTCCTTTTCTTTTTTGCATTTCCTTCCCTCGCCATCCGTCGTGTAGTGAATTGTTCAGTCTTGCTCCGTTTCAAGAGAGGAGATCATGATTGAGTGAAGCCACCCCGTCCGCAGCCAGGTAAGCGGTGCGCTGAGCTGCTCGCAGGCGAGGAGCTGGCGTCCACCTGGGCGAGGCGTTCCGTGCTCTCGGGTCCCCGCGTCCCCTTCCCCAGCTCCGCCGTCGCCGCAGGCATCTCCACTCTCATGAGAAACATTGTGCCCAAGTCAGCCGAAAGGCGAGGGAGAAGCCGGTTACATAACAGAAGGGGAATCTGTTTCATACGGTTTTCATTAGCGACTGAAACTCGCACGGGGGGCGGGGGAAGGAGGGGTCTGCATCCCTGGGCTCGCAGAAACCCAGTCAGTTATTGCAGACATCATTTCAACATCCGCTGGCAAAGACTTAAATGCACTGATTAACTGACAGGTGCGGCTTGTGATGTAGTCATTTACAGTTGGGAAAAGCCTATTGTCTTTGTGGAAGGCAGTCTTCTTGTTCTGCTTTGCATGGAGAGGAGAGGAGACAACACGAAAGGGAGGAAAAGTGAGGGTTGGGGAGAAACATGCGGAGAATGGGAAACAGAATACTGTAACTCCTAACTGTTCTCTATCCTTAAAACCGAAGATGTGCTAGCATGACTAAAAACAGTGAATAGGAAGATCTTCCTAGGAGTAAACTGAATTATTTTGTAATTGGAAGGGAAGAAAAAACACTTTAGATAAAATGAGATGTGTGTGGCATTTAGAGGACTGGGTGGCTGTGGATATTTGCTTCCCTGTGGATATATTTTCATTTTCATCAAAACATTAAGCTTGGATTAGTTTTTAAGTGAAATAACATCAGTATTCCCAAAACCCAATAAAAGCCCAGTGGATCCACAGGTACATCTGTTGTACTAGGTGCAATATGGAGAGATTGTCAGGGGGAAAATATATCTTAATAGAAACAGCCACAGAGGGTGAGGTTAGTGGAGAAACAAAATACCAGAATTTTCCAAAGAATTCCGCCTCCAACCCCCAAAAAAAGGAAGAGAAAAAAAAAAAAACCCCACAACTCCAGTGTTTGGGAGTTGGAGATGTATTATATGTTTAGAGTGTTTCCCAACTGCTGTTATCCAAAGTCTGTCGGTCCCGGGGAGCCCTACGGTACAGGGAGCAATGCCACATCCTGCTAGCCCTGTTCCCTGCCTGCCTTTCTTTTGCTGAAAAAAAGAAACGGAAAAGGGTGATGCCCAGGAACTGCTTAGGGAGAAAAAAGGGCTTGCTACAGTCAGGGCTGAGCTAACTGAGCTTCGCCCATTTTGCCTGGAGAAAGAAAAAGAGCTCGAGTCTCCATGGCGACCCAGGTGGGAGGGGAGACCGCAGCTCCAGTTATAGGGGAAAAAAATTGGACAAAACTTTCCCGGCTCCAGGCAAAGGAATACGCCAGCCGCGTGCCCTGTGGCGGGTCCCAGGGCATCGGTTGTGCCCAACTCCCTGACGGCGACGCTCGAGAGGGCGCCCAGAGCTGGCCGGGTGCCCCTGAAACCTCCCGAAAGTTGCCTGGGGGCCGCCGAGGTGGTGGTTCCTCAGCGGGTTCCGGATTCAGCACCAAGGCCAGAGCCCAGGCGCCGAGGGTGAAGCCTCACCTGTCTGCAGCCCCCAGCAAGCAGTACCCACTCCTTTGGTCGCTGGAGGTCAATCACTTTCTATAAATAAATGAGTCTTTGGCTCGTGCAGAATCTGGATATCAAATTACCCACGGAATTACGTGAGGCAAAGAAGCTTGCAAATCATCCATTTTATGCATGGCGGTGCATCAGAGGACCTATTCAGAATCAAGAACACTGGGACAGGGAAAGACCTGAGCTGAACTGAGAGTGGAGACAGGATTCTGTCCTCAGGGGGAGAAAAAGGACGCGCGCGCGCACAGACACACACACACACACACACACACACACACACACACACACACCCCGATCCGCCTCTGACGAGGGTTGCTAGTTTCAGCTGAGTCCCTTTGGCTTTCAAAAGCATGCATCCCTTGCCCTCTCACGCTCTTCTCTTTAACTTTTTGTTGGGCATAGATGGCAGAAGGGAGCTGTGGAAGCACCCTGGTCAGCGAGAGGCCAGCCAACCAAGTTTGTTATTTCTTTCTTTCTTTTTTAGACGGAGTCTCGCTGTGTCACCCAGGCTAGAGTGCAGTGGCTCGATCTCGGCTCACTGCAACCTCTGCGTCCCGGTTTCAAGCGATTCTCCTACCTCAGCCTCCTGAGTAGCTGGGATTACAGGCGCACACCACAACACCTGGCTAATTTTTGTATTTTTAGTAGAGACGGGGTTTCACCATGTTGGTCAGGCTGGTCTCGAACTCATGACGTTGTGATCCGCCTGCCTCAGCCTCCCAGAGTGCTGGGATTACAGGCGTGAGCCACCGTATCCGGCCCAGCCAAATTCTTTCTAAGGGTCCTAGGACTGAAGAGGGTGGAGATATAGTTTCCTCTCGGTCTAGAACTGGAAGGAATCAAAACAACACTGGTGAGCTTCCGAAAAGGAGAGAGAGTTTGTTAGCAAGATGAGAGCCAGTGATCACATCTTCAAGCCTGCGTGTGAGCAAGGTGGCTACATTTCCTAGGTTGCAGTCGTAGGAAACCGAGAGGAGTCACTTCTCTTAATACAAACAAGGAAGAAACTGCAGGAGGGGAGGATTTATTACCATTCAAGTTCCATTTCAACATTCATACAGGGAAAACAGGTAAGTCCATCAAGCCCTTCTGCTCTCACTTTACGAGAAGCTGGTCTTTGCCCTGCTCTCATCCTTGGTAGTAGGTCCCCCACCACCACAACTGTCACTGATATGAAGAGGAAAAATAATACAGGAAGGTGACAGTCATATTTGAAATAGAATGCCTGTCAGAGTGCCATCCAGGTGTTACAAGGTATACTTTGAATTGCAGAGCCCAGTCAAGGTTTGGCAACTGGTTGGAAATGTTGATAAAGCTTCAACAATATCCCTGGCTGCTTTCCTGTTTTGTGGATGCACTTGTGCATGAGGTCTTGAGCTGGTTCTGGTTTGTTATTTTTAATGGTAAACAAGATATGATCCTGGTTTTCCTTGCTGGGCTTTCCAAGTGTGACATGTTGTTTCTAAAGATATTGCATGCTGAGCACTCAGGATGTGGTTAAAGCAGTGTGTTTCTACCTTCCAGTCTTTTCAAATGATTGCTAGTGAAGACAGAGCAATCTATTTCAAACCTAAGCAAAAGGATGAGTTATTACACTATTTCTTACATTTCAGTTCCTGATAGGTATTGACAAGTTTATCCATAATTTAGTTTATGAAAAGGTTGCTACCTAAAGTAGACAGAAGAAGTGACACGTGGAGTATTAAACAACGCAGCTGTTCCTTGGCCTTGTTCCATCTGACATTATCAGCAGAAGGGAAGTAGACGTTCATTATGAGGATGAAGCTATACGAGAATATAGACTGTTAGATAAACAAAGTAATGTATTTCTGAGTTCTAAAGTTCAATTTCTCTAATAAATTAAAAAGGGGGGTGGTGTCAATAATCTAGGTATATGAAATTGTTCAGTCAATAATCTTTACTTCTGGTAGTTTCCATGCTCACATATTCAGTGCTTATTCACCGAACTATGACTTGCTTTCTTCCTAGGTGGCTAATTGATTAACAAAGTGTCACTATGCCCTTTTCAGTCAATAGCATACTCCAAAATAATTGGTTTACTCATTTCAAGTAAGATTTGTTAAGGAGAGCAACTTGTGAAAATTCGCCCCCATTCACTTGGTTCCATTTTGCTATTTTAAAAAATCATTTTGATACCTCTTCTAGGTATTGCCTAAACAATAGTTACCTCATCTAGATATTGCCTAAACATTAGTATGTTTTCCTTTGTGTGAGACAGGTCTTTATTTAATACATAGGACTTACATGAACTATTTTCCTTGAGAATATAGAAGGGCTTTTAACTCAGTCTCATATTCCTCCCTATCATCTCAGTCTACCTCTACTTTATAGGGAAAAAAATTAGAATAGTTATTTAAGAAGTTATAGAAAAAATTCATTGGAGATTAAAAATAAAATACCCTTATGGAATCTTAACCCCATTCACTGATTTTCACAGGTAGAAAATGTTGCTGTTCTCAAGGGTTTAATGTTGACCATGTAAACCTTAATGAAAACAAGATAAATGCTCTTTATGGAAAGGCAGGCAGATAAGGTGAAGCTCTTCTCTTTTTCACCAGTTCTTCCTTTATCAAATGATATGTAAGTAATATGGAAATGGAAATGGACCAGAAATAGGCAGAGTAGGAGGAAAGAAGAAAGTGAGGGGAAAAGGCAGTTACTTATTGCTACCAGCTTTAAACTGACAATACTTTTCAAAGTGAGGTTGGTTTTTCTAAGTTCATTGTATTAGAACTTTAAGTTTGGTGGAATTAAGATGTTTAAATTCAGTGAATTTGGATTTATAGCTTATTGAGATGGCATTTCTTGTTTCTTCATTTTATCTTCAATAATTGGCATTTAAGTACCAAAAGATAATTGATTCACTCTGGAGTTTTACAAAATTATTAACTTTGGTAATACCAGTAAGGGGGAAATTGGCAGTTAAGTTGAAAAATCATCAAAACACTTTTGTTGAGTTAGTTTTCTTTTTAATTTTAGTGAAAGTATTTGGAGAGATAGAAGAATAAAATGTAGCTGTTTAGGATAAAAATACATTTTGAAGTGCATTTTAAATAATTATTTCTAGAAATAATTAGGCTCCAATAAAAAGAAGAGATAATCACAATTGCAGTTAGTGCTCTAATGGTATTCTGAATTTCCTCTGGCAAAGTACTAGAATATACATATACTTGCTATCATTTTAATAACATTAAATAATAGTGAAATTATTTTCCTCAAAGAGCGGTCTCATCATTAAAAGAAGAGTCTGTATCCTCTCTAAACTATAGCTTTGATCTAATCATACCTGCTAATCAGTTGTAAATATTCATTTATTTATTTGTTACTAAATTGAATCATTGTTTAAACAAAACCTCAGAGAATGATTTTGTGCAGTGTGCAATGTTCAAATGGTCATTCAGATCTGATTTTATATGGAATGCAGTAAGGCCATCAATCAATTTTCCCAATTACAATGTGTAAAGTTAACCCTAAATTTTAACCAAGTGACTAATTTATGTCTATACAAATGTATCCAAGTCAGATTAAACCCATTATCTCCTTGAGTCTCATGCTTCTCATTTTTTCTGTATGGCTGTGCTTAGGACCAGGAATCATACAGTACTGGTGATTCTTTTAGTGAATAGATTTTGGCTAACATGTATCACCGGTCTTATTCCCAGTCACAGAGATGTGGTTTCCGACATGAAATCCTTACAAAAGGAACCAGAAAGTGCATCTGTGGCTAAAAAGATCCATGTCCTTGCCAACAACTGTTCTGTGGGACTAAATCTGAAGGTATTATATGCAATGTGAGAGACATATCTATAAATTAAGTTTAAATCCTGTGGCAGTTTCCTCTTTAAACTTACAGACATCTACTTTTTTCTTATCCAGGATAAGAATTGATTTTTTTCATGATGCTTTAAATTTCTCTTGTATCATCTAGCAGGAACTTGTGCAAGTTTGACAATGTGCTTGGTAGGCGGTGTTGCTCCGTGATTAAGAGCACAGGCTCCGGTGTTTCTTACTAACTGAATCTGCATCAAGGTCTAGGTGTATCTGTCCATTTTTGCCAAGTTTGGGGCAGTAACAGCAACCCCAGCATCTCAGTGGCTTACAAAACAAAGGCGTATTATTCTCTGGAGCGCTATGCCTCTGCTGGTCAGCTGTGGCTCTGCTCCTGTGACTTCATTCTGGAATTCAAGATCAAGAATTGGTCTGGAACACTCTATCCCAGTATCAGAGGAAAAGGAGACTCCCAAGTTAAGCAATGGCCCTTAACATTTCTGCTCAGACATGGCACAAGTTATCCACTCACATTCCATTGACCGGACAATTCACATGTCACATCAGTGTCAATGATCAATGGGAAGGAGATGTATATTTCTCCCACAGTGAAGCACTGCAAGCCGTGCAGCAACAGGTAGAGACATCTAATCTTTCAGAGAGGGAAGAGAATAATTGGAGGCAATAATATAATCCACTATGCTAACTATGTGACCTTAATCAACTTTATGCCTTGCTTTCCCTATCATAAAATAATAACAATAAGAGTAATAATAACAACATATACCTCAGAGATGTTATGAGGATTCATGTGATAATGTAAGTAAAGTTCTTAGCACAGGCCAGGAGCGGTGGCTTACACCTATAATCCCAGCACTTTAGGAGGCCGAGTCAGGTGGATCCCTTGAGGCCAGGAGATGACTTGAGACCAGCCTGGCCAAAGTGGCAAAACCCCATCTCTACTAAAAATACAAAAATCAGCCAGGTGTGGAGGCACATGCCTGTAGTCCCAGCTACTCAGGAGGCTGAGGCACAAGAATTGCTTGAACCCAGGAGGCAGATGTTGCAGTGAGCTGAGATCACACCACTGCACTCCAGCCTGGGTGAGAGGGAGACTCTGTCTCCAAAAAAAAAAAAAAAGTTCTTTGTGCAGTGTCCAGCACAAAGTAGGCACTTTAAAAATAGCAGATGTTTTTATTCATTTATTGCAATGTGGCATTAACTTCAGTTCTTGATGAGCCTGTGTATACTGTATTAATTAGAAAGTTCTTGAAACAGAAAATATCTAAATCTCACTAATTTAACAAAATAGAAGATTTCTTTCACATAAATCTAATTGGTTGATGCCGTACAAGGACCCAGGCTGAGGGACACTTTGTCATCTTTAGTACATGGCTTCTAAGATCTGCTGAGTGGTGATATCCAACTAGCAGACAAGGAAAGAGGGAGAGTAGATGATTATGTAGAAGATTTTAATGATCCGGGCCTAGAAGTAATGTATATCACTCCTATTCATATTCTATGGTCATACCTAACTGCAAGAGCAGCTGCAAATTGTAGTTCAGCTCTATATCCAGGAGGAGGGAAACTGGTAGGGTGAACACACTGGAGTCTTTGGTATGCATGCCCGATATAAATGTCTGGCAGCAAAGAAATACAGCTAATGTGAATCAGGATAGAGTAAGGCAGAGGAAATGATTTGTCCCAGTGGTGAAAAGATTCCTGGTAGAGACAATATTTCCTGGTGCCCTTGAATCATTCTTTAGTGGTGTATTTTTTTAAAATAAATTAGTTGGGATATGTTGACTTTTGGAGTAGGTGTAGATGATTCTTAACAAAAGAGATGCAAATACATATTGTTTGATTTCTGTTAGCTGATCTGTTAAAGTAGACACAAAGGAGAAAAGCCAACTTCACAACCCATGCTCAAAAGCAATGTTCTAATCTTGACAATTACACCCACATTGTGTCTAAGAATGCTGAAGAATTAGATGCTGTCTTCTAATATCTGGCACTTGCTGTTGACTAGCAATTTGCATTTTGTTTTAAATCCCCTAAATGTCCATAGGCTAGATACATGCTGTAAGTTTAGGTTGAATTAGTCTACTAATAGTCATTGTTTTCCTGAAAATAGACCATGTAATTTGTAAGCAGTGTTTGAGAACCTCTGCTTCCCTCAAGGAGAAAACTTGGAAACTAAGTTCCATACCTTTTCACTAGAAGCAAAAGAACAGCTTTAATGCCAAACTTACAACCTAGAAAAGAGAAATGTCAGGGAGAAATATCTGAGAAGACTATGAGAGGAAGAACCAGAAGAAACAGAGTGGTGATCCATAATACTTCCGGTTCTCTTACATCGTTTCCATTTCCCTAACTCAGATATCACAGCCACATACATTCATGCAGGGGAAAACATTATCAAAATGAAACAGTAAATACCAGTAATGCATGTTAATCCTTCCATGGGGCAGTAATACTGGATTAGAAAACTCTTGACCTCTTCAAATATCTTGCCATTCCAAAGTAAATAATGTCTCATAGTGGAACTTCTGTTTAATGAAGAGAATGTTTTTGAGGACAGGATTTATTTCACTGCCACATTCAATCATTTCAATTTAAAAGGGATATAATCCAACAATCTATGTGCAGAAGGGAATAGGCAGGACAGTACCTGAGTCCAAACCATGTAATATTAGAGTAGATGAAAGAATTAGGAGTGTTTTCCCTGGAGAATATGTGGGGGAGGAGGCATGATAGTTGTTTTCAGGTATCTTGATATTTGAAGATGAAGGAAGGATTATAATTGTTCTGCTGGGCTCTAAGGGATAAAAGTGGGACCCAGCAGTGGAAGCTACAAAGTGACATATTTTGGTTCAATATAAGAAAGCATTTTCAGTAGTCAGAGCGGGGCAGAGGTAATGTGATCTGTCTTCTCTGCATTTACACAGCTCTGAATTCTTTGTCACTAGAAGCATAAAGAAGCTGAGAGAGCTAGGAACTGGGGTTGGAGTGTATGTATTTCAAAGTCTCTGCAACACAGAGCACTTCTAATGGCTATGAGAGAAGCGATGCCCTTCAGGCTCAGTCAACAAATCAGACTGGACCTCACCACTCTATGGGGCCATTGCTTTATGACTGAGGGAGCCATCATTTCTCTATAAAAAAAATGAATCACATTTAACCAAAAATGATATCTCAGTCCCTACACGAACCTTGTGTCTATGAGAGCAGGTCTGGAATGCAGTAATCATATGACTAAGCAGCATCACATGACTAAGAGGAAGGGTACAGGACTCACTGCTCATGGAAAAGCTTTACCCTTGCTTTTTGTTGTCAACACACTACCTTCAGTCAAAAGACAAGGAATGAAATCTCTCTTCGGAGGTTTTTGCATCACCTTACAACATTTTCAGAGCCAAGACTCCATGACGAGTTAGGCAGAGCACACTTCAGATTTTTAGACATCTCTAACGTGCAAAATATAGTGCTACTAACATATAATTCCTCCTCTCAAGAAATCTAGTTTCAATAATGGCAACGAATGGGGTAGATTCCTTCCTCTTCAGCTGTCTCCCAAGGTCTCACCAGTCAATACCCTAAACATATTCACCCTCTTAAATTTTCATTAGCCCTCCTGGGGTGGCTGGGCCCACAGTAGTAAAGCATATAAAGAGAGGGCAGAAAGAGGACGGCAAATAAAGAACCTATGACATTATGTGTTGTCATTGGAAGAGAGGCCGCATTAGGTGGCCCTCTTTTTTAATCAGCACTCAAGGAGTGTTGGGCCCAAGCCCACACTCCACATGTCTCCTTGACTGGCCACTGTTGGGGGTCTCTGTGGACAAAAGGAGGCATCAGAGCTGATGAAAGTCAGCTGAGGTCAGTGGTTCCCATAGTGTGTCCCTGAACCAGCAGCAGCATCACCAGGGAGCTGGCTACAAATGCAAATTCTCAAGCTCACCCCCCGATCTACTGGATCAGGAACCCTGAGGACAGGGCCAATCATCTGCCCATCCCCTCCAGGGATTCTGATGCACTCTAAAGGGTGGGAGCTACTGGCTTAGGTTTTCCTCAGATCTGCTTTAAGGAGGAACCCAGACACAATGCCCCTTCTCACAGCCTTCTTCCCACGATAGAGACCTCCAAGTCCAGGCTCATGCAAGAGCCAGGTAGGGTCACAACTAGAAATGGAATGCCAGAATGCCCACTGCAGAGGCAGATTTAACCTGGACTCAGTGTCTAGGGGGGAAAAACAGCAAAAACAAAAAGCTTTTGGTCCATCAGAAAAAATACTCATGATCACACTAAGTTGCAAAGATTATGAGCACAAAGCAAGGGCTTCTCTGTTATGCAGGTTATTTAAATAAACTGCTTAGTATTTTGGAATTATAGTTAATCCATCCTGAAGTTTATTTGTTCTTTTCAAAATTAATAGTCTCATTTATTATCCTTTAAATAAAAGATGCTATCAGTGAATAAGAATGTTGTACTCTTGAGAAAAGCCATATTAAGAAAATTGAATAGAGGGCTTATCACAGCAGACCTTCATGCAGTCAAGTGAGGAAGAGTTATAACTATATAACATTTACTTTCATTCTAAACATCTCCTGACCACCTTCATATTGCCAGAAATTGGCGCTTCATAGCTATGTCCAGAATTGTCTTAGCTTCTTGGGTTAGTCAGTTGACAAATCTCTGCTAAGTACCTACTACCTAAAGAAGACAAGGGGACATAGAGAAAAAAATGCCCTGACTTCAGTTCCCAGAGGCCTTAAACTTAGAAAATGAGAGTATTGATGAAACAATAATGTACACAAAGAAGCATAGCATTACACAAGAGAATGGTGCTAGAGTTTAAGTGAGGGAGGAGAACATTAATAAGGGCTGGTATCTGCAGAAAACATCCAGGGATGTGGGGAAATGTGAAGGAGTCTTGGAAGAACAGTAGCGTTTTGGTGCTTAGTAAGGTTTTCCCAGGAGAAAGAGGGCTTTCCTATGAGGAACCCACCTATAGGTTGGTGCAAAAGTAATTGCGGTTTTGCCATTACATATATATAGGGTGTATTGGCAATGAGGATTGATCAGGCAGGGGTATGGTCTACCACACCATGGAAATCAGAGCGCCACGCATCGGCATGGTACATGAGCTCATAGCTCTTGGAAAAGTGACTGCTTTGATTGGGGGCAAGTGGGAGGAAATACAGGAATTTTAATCTGGCAGTCATGAGCAAGACAGAGTTAAATACTGGGATTAGGACACACAGCTAGGACACTGATCAGAAGGCAAGAAGCCCTAAGCATGTGTGAAGCAGTAAATGAGTAATAGAAAAATGGACCTGCTTTAGTGTCATCAGTGGTGCTGAGAGCAGATAATCACTCATGAGCCAAGAGAGCAGGCTGATGATGGATTCCACCCAAAGAAAGCTCTCACACCACACTGCATGGGCCAGAGGGAGCGCACGTGGCTGCAGTCCAGGCGCAGAGTGTTGAGGTTGTTCCAGTGAATAAATAGCGGTGCTGGGCAGAGAGCTAGGTGAGCTGCTGCAGCAGCCAGATAGGGGCTGTGGTGTCTTGTCACTTTCATGTGCAAGGTTTTGGCTGGCAGAGTTTAAGAGCATGTTTTTGGGGATTTGCTGTGAATGGGAAACTTGTTCATCCTGAATATGATGAGACCATTTTATTTTGTGATCTGGAGCAGAGAGTAGACAAGACTCCTTTTTTTCTCCTGTGCAAAAACAATGTTGCTTGATGTTCATCTCCTAGTCATTCAGCCATATCTGTCAAACTACAAACCTTCTCTCTGCCCATGAAGTAAAACTCACTTATGCTTTGATAGAAGTCACTGGGAATTTAGCCTGGCTCCCAAACAGCATGAATGGAGACCCCATGAAAACAAGGAGTCTATAGTAAAAAAATAAAATGGGGTTTATGTGGAACTTAACCTTTATGGCACAGCCCACTACTTCAGTATAGTGATAAGTGTGGGTCAGTATAGAACTTCTAAGTAAGTGAAGATAATTTTTTTTCAAGACCCCAAAGTGATACCAAAAAAAAATGAACAAAAATACTTTGCTGTCAATGAATTTTATTTTTCAGGGAAATTGTTTATTTGGCTTGCACCACTGAGATAGTCTTCTCTATTCCTGTCGTGTGCATAAGTGGAGTTTATTTTAAGTTAGCAAGGCTGAGTCTTTTGTGAGATTCAGCTCTCATGGGAAGTACAAAGTGGTTATCTTGGCCACTGGGATAATAGCTAGAACATGGGATCCAGCATCAGAAGGTATATTTCACCTGAAAATCCTTGGGTTATAAATCACCCAAACAATACCAAAGTCATTCACAATAGCCCACCCACAAAAAGTGTGAAACCTGGACTTTAGAGCAGCTAATAGAAAGGATCACATTGTGGTTTCAGCAACACAAAAAACTGTTGTGGGATAGGAGAATTTAATTAAACCCCACCAGCCATTTTCAAATAAACCCACAATATTTTCATTGCATTAATAAGGTTTTCTTAAAATGATCAGTTACTCAACAATATCTGGATGTTTTTTGGTTACTCTCTACCAATATAAAGTAAATTGTCCTTTTATTACAAAATAGGTGTCAGGAGGCTGTTAGCACTAAAGACAGACCCTGGGTGTCCTGGTGAAAAATCATAACCTCATTTGACTACTTGAGCCCTTGCAATGTACAAGTATTGTTGCAGTTCATTTCTTTCTTCAGGTAAAGAATCTGGACTCAAGTTGCTTCTTCGTTTTTTTTTGTTTTGTTTTGTTTTGTTTTTAATTTCCAGAGGAACTATTGATATTGCTAAAATAAGGCAAGACTTATACATGGAGAGTGATAAATAGAGTGAGGAGCCCTGTGTGTCTGTCCTGGCTTCTTCCCATGTCATTTCAGACACCGGTAATCTGATTGAGTCATCTGTGCTTCATATTCCAACCACAAAACAGATCCAATCACTCTGTCCCCTTAAAGCACCCTAAGATTCCATAAGATGGCCAATTGCATTACATATTAGTCCATTCTCATGCTGCTAACAAAGACATACCTGAGACTGGGTGATTTATAAAGGAAAGAGGTTTAGTGGACTCACAGTTGCATATGGCTGGGGAGGCCTCACAATCATGGTGGAAGATGAAAGAAGAGCAAAGGCACATCTTACATGGTGACAGGCAAGAGAGCTTGTGCGGGGGAATGCCTCTTTATAAAACCATCAGATCTCATGAGACTTATTCACTACCATGAGACAGTAGGGAGAAACTACCCCCATGATTCAGTTATCTCCACCTGGCCCCACCCTTGACACATGGGGATTATTACAATTCAAGGTGGGATTTGGGTGGGGATACAGCCAAATCATATCATGAGAAAAGGCAAGAGGGGTCTCACTGAGTTGGCAAAGAAAGAGAAAACACTGAGTAGGAACACTGAAGCTCTTAGCCCCTGAGAACAAATCGCAGACAGCATGGAGAGGAAGGGACAATTGTTTCTAATAAAGAGAGAGGAAAAAAAATGGGCTTAAGATATGTGCAAGAGGGACTTGCTGAAAACAGAGGTTCTCACACCCTGGCATTGTTTTAAAAGGAAGGAAGGGTAATTTATATGCTGTCATGTCAGAGAAATCAAAACAATAAACTAGGTGGCTTCTTGAGTTAGATGTCCAGGTCATTGAATTTGAGATGTCAATTAAAAGTATATTTGAAAATGCCACCAAAATGCAAAGTCATGTTCTCAGGCTTGAGCTTTTATCTTCTCACCATGGGCACTGTCTGTGGGGTTTCTTCTGCAGCCACCCTGTAGGCCGGTGCCTTCCTGCACACTTCTTCTCTCTGCCAGATGCAAACTTCTTTGCCAACGAGGGTCAGACTACACATTATTGTATCCCCTATGTTTTCATGGAAGGGCCATTCAATATATGATATTTGAATAATATTTCTATAATCCTTAAAGTGTACTGAGAACTACCAGAAACTATTAAAACTATTGAAAATAGTTATCTTTGGAAAAATAATACAGAATCTATTATTCCATGTAGGCACATTGTAGCCATTTCTATGAATGCTGTGAGGACCCACTGTACAAGAAATAAAACACCAAAATACTGTTATGTAGGTCAGAGGGGAGATGTCACATGGGAAAGAGCTTTCTTCTTTTCTTAGTAACTTGTACTGGCAAAAACATCCATTCTAGATGTCACTCAGATGTGATATTTAAACGATGGAGGAGAAGGAATAAATTTGTGTTTCAGATGGGACAAGGGAAGTAACATTCACTTCTCTAAGCCATATAAAAATTGAAGCACAGTCCAGGTCACTGATTTCTGGTCTTCCTGTATTGACATTGTTCTTCTGGGTTGCCTTAAAGATCTTCAGAACCTAAGTCCTCATGCCCTTGGGCATAATCATATTTCCTTTCTAGGAGCCTGAGAGATTGGAGTTAACCTGGAGTCATGTGGTTCTATGGGATGAGCTTTGACAGACACTGAGCTCTATTAGATGAGTTATTTTACTTCTCTCTATATCAGGTTTTCTAGCTACAAAATTGGGATAATTAAAAAAAACAAATTAGTTAGCTGGTTTTCCTGTCCCCTGCTTCTAAGAGGATATGAAAAACTGTAATAAACAATTTAATGATTTTATAATTTTTAATGCCAAGCATATGTGTTACTTCAGAAGGCAGATATGCTACTTACACTACTCTTCTAGGACTTTAAAGGAGAAATAAATGAGTTTAAGACTAGAATAATGACCCAGTTACATCCCAGGGCACCCACATCATCAAAGACTGAACTGTGTCCAGCACAGCACACTTACCAACATAGAGAAGGGAGCTCACTTTTTAGAAAGATTTTTAACAACTGAATTTGAAATCCTAACTTGAACGTCTGTTTATTCCTGGTTGAGTCAATTATCCAAATAATTCAAATTAAACTGGAACACTCCAGTCCTGAAGCATTCTCAATCATCAAAGTTTTACGGTAAAGTCAAGGTCAATGCTCTTATGATTACAGATGAGTTTGAACATGTCTGTAGATACATGTGTGGGGGTGGAGGAGCTCTCTACCTTTATCCCTCTATTTCCATGTGGTTTCCATACACTGGCACTTTTCAGATTCACCCTGGGGAAATTTCACCGATAGAAATGCAGAGAAAGTGTATTTTGGGTATAGCCTAACTTGTGGAAACCAACCTACTCTTTCTCTAAGACAACACTCACCTTTAAAGTAACTTCCCAATTTGAGCTCTTCCACTGTTTTAACCTTTCTACAAAGCAAATAGTGTTTATTGCTAATTCAGAAAAGTAAACACATTTTAACATTGGTGAATTCTGTGCTCAAACAGCTTGACCAAAGACAATAAAATACTGTCAATTTATTTTACCTGAGCCTTTCTTATTTGTTTGTTGCACAAGTATGTTCACTGTAGAAAAATGTGAACATTCAGATAAGCTAAATTTTTGAACAAAGAAAGGCAGGAAGGAGAGAAGGAAGGGGGAGGCAGAAGTGGGGGAGAATATAGCACAGACTGTAAATAGGAGGGTTTACTATGTTTTATGTTTTATAACTAAAATTGGATCATATATTGTTGACTGATATTGTTATTTGATAATTCATCATCAACTTCTCTCCAAGTCAGGAATGAGGAGTGGTTTGCAGATTTCTTTGGGCTCATTGTCTTTTACTGTGGGTCTCACTCCCTGCTCTTCACGCACCTTGCTGATGGCCTCATGCTGTTTCTCTAACATGATGGATACTTGCTCCATATGTCCAGGCCTCCTAACTCACTCCTTCTGCTGCCTTGGATGTCCTTTCCCCAGATTTGCCTTTCTCCCATCAAATCCACCCAGAATTGCCCCTTCTCAGCAAGCGCCTTCATTCCCACCTCCTTTAAGTTTGTGCTGGCACCCATCCTTCACCTCTGCTGCCACCTCCTCCTTCCCGATTAAACTTCCTCCATAGTATGCGTTACCTTCTAACACGCCACGCAAATTGCATGTGGCTTTGTTTATTTTCTGTCTCCTGCAATAGAAGGCAAGCTCCTAGGGGTAGAGTTCTTTTGTTCGTTTTGTTCACTGATGTTTCCCTAGTTGATGTCCTGCACATAGTAGGTACTCGATATGGTCAACGAAACATAGACTATCATTGTGGTGGCTGCATTGTGAGTGATTCTAAAACATACTTCCTGTGGATTTATAGCATCCTATATTTTGGACATTTGGGTTGTTTTCCCTTTTTTTGTTGTTGTAAACAGTGCTGTATAAGCATCTCCCACACACTGTGTCTTTCTACACACTATATCAGAATGCCTTTTTAGTATAAAGCATTATACATATAATTGCTGGGTAAAAAGGGTAGGCACTTTTTTGAAAGCTTTTGTTACATTTCACTAAATTGCCCTTCAAAAAGGCTGTGCCTATTTACATTCTAACATTTCCTAGTGAAAGAACAATCTGTAATCCCTCATCCATTGACCACAGAAGCAATCTGATTTGACATGAAAACATTCAAAGAAGCTGGACAGGTCATTCTCAGCTGCCAGAACCTGTGCCCAACCTGAGCCTCCCAGCCACACGAACTGGGCGAGTTGTAAAGGAGGAATTAACATCAGACACCAAGCAAACACCTTTGCATAGTGGAACTCATATGCTACTAGCTTTCAGCAATAATGTCCCAGTCATTAAGCCAGTTGGTTCTCACAAGCGCCCAGGAAGGAAGGGAACTTACTGTTTTCCCATTTTGTAGGTAGGGAACTGGAAGCCAAGTTCACAAGGTTAGGTTGTACCAGGTAGCTAGGATTTGTGATCAGGGTCAGGAGACTCTGGCCCTGCATTTTGGACATCTGGCCTTGAACTCTTCCCACCTCTGGTCTTTTTCAGCATTCTCCCAGACACTACCAAGGTCCACTCTTCAATTAACATTCACTGGCTGTGAGGGTCCAAGGTGTGTTCTTTACAAGAGATTTTAAGAGTGTCAGCAAAAGTGTGGTAGTGTATTAGCTTCTTGAAATGCTGTTATAATTTTTAGACTTGAGGGTGAGACAAGAGAGCTGGAGAAAGAGAGAGAAAGAAGCAGAGTGAGGGGGAGTGAGAGAGAACGAGAAGAGGACAATCCAGCTAAGGACAGTTTCCTTAACAATCGCTTTTCTAGTCCAACTTGGCTGTATTTCAGGGCAAAACTGGTTTTTCCCTCTGGGCTCACAAACTATTATTAGTTTCACATGTGCAAGAATATCATTAAAGCGATGTCATGATTTCTACCGAGATTATACACAAAAGACAAAAATCTCTTCCTCTCACTGTTCTTCCACCTTTACCCAGGAGAAACTCAAAATCACATTTCTCAACAGACGGAGCCGTCTCTCCCTTTCTTAGCTGTTTTGCCCCCTGAAAACTTGAGAAAAGTATACTTATTAAAGGGTTGAAAGCCTTTACTTCTTAACAGAAGGAGGGAAATATTTGCATTTTTACTATGTAAGTTCTTTTTAACCTTTCTTATTTTAAAACATTGGATAATATTTTCTTGTTAAAGCAGGATATTTAAAACTTTTTTCTGTATTCAAAGCTTCAACAAAGAAATATAGCAAAGAGAGGGTCATCATCATAAACAACTGTAAATTACACCTAAACTAATGAAAAAGGAAATGTTTTTCCCTGGCTATGCCTCCCTTTTAAAAAGTACAATTTCACAAATATTATAACAATTCAGTTCTTCTAATACCTCTGTATCCAGTGCTTTGATATTACCTGCAGATGGAAATACTGAGGCTGAAAGGGAAGATGTCTTATTGCCCAGGATGCATAACATCTGTGGAGCCTGGTCTGCAACTCCACCCACCACCTACAGCCTTTCTAGGGCAATAATAGAACAGTAACACATTACTGACTTTTTCTTTTTCTTTTTTTCTTTTTTTTTTTTTTCTTTTGAGATGGAGTCTTTGCTCTGTCAGCCAGGCTGGAGTCCAGTAGCGTGATCTTGGCTCACTGCAACCTTCGCCTCCTGGGTTCTAGCTATTCTTCTGCCTCAGCCTCCCAGATAGCTAGGACTATAGGCATGTGCCACCATGCCTGGCTAATTTTGTATTTTTAGTAGAGATGGGATGTCACCATGTTAGCCAGGCTGGTCTCGATCTCCTGACCTCGTGATCTAGCCACCTTGGCCTCCCAATACTGGCATTTTTGAAATTTAAAAGAAATGAAATCCAATGGGAACAATCCTTGACAGACACTCTGCAGTGGCCTACCTGGAATAGAACTTTCCATGACCGGTAAGGGCACTAGAGCCCATTTCATGGCCACTCAAATGTACAAATCAGATTCCACAGATGCCAGGCTAGCGTCAGCAACCAAAGCTGCTCAGACACACCATGTGTGGTGGCCCCCATCACGCTCTGCCTTCCCCTTCCCACACGGATACTTCATCGAGCCTCCCAGATGGTTTTAAAGGGCGGTCAACATGGAGAACCCACAGTAGTGAGCACACACAGCCCAATGTCCAAGGTTCACTTGAATAACAGTCATTTAATAGGAATCTTCCCTTCTTCTTTCTCATGATCTCCAACTCAGGAGTGATTTCCCATCTCACTTAATTTTTACTCCCGTAGCAAATAGGGGTTGGATCCCACTGGGTCTTAAGTGCTGTGGCAACTTTGGGAAAACAGATGCAAAAGACTTTTTATACTAACAGGTGGTACAGAATACAATGGCTGTGATGATAAGCCTGTCCCTGAGATGGACACATGCGATTGTCCAGTCTGCACGGACCCCTGGTTGAGCCAGGACTTCAAAGGCAGAGACTTCCCTGATGGATGCAGGAAATCCGAGGTAGCCCTGGGGACAGAGGCTTAGAAAAGTGAGGGACTAGAGGGCAGTGTGACAATGGAGTACAATCCCAGGGAGAGAGTGTGAAGAAAGGTCTGCTTTGGGGAAATGGGGACAGGCCACAGGGCACGGAGAGCACCAGGATCAGGACCATAGGTGGCCTCTCAGAGCCAGTCAGCAGCTAAAGCAAGATTTTAGACAAGGCAGTGGAACAGACAACTTTGCTTCTAGAAAGAAAGTGTTGTGTGGTGGGTCATTTCTCCCAGCATGGGAAGCTTTGGGCTGAGGCTCCCTCTGCTCATTGCCATTGCTGTACCTGGATGGATTTGGCTGTCATCGGGGGTCACTGTGCACACACCTTCCAGCCAGGACTGAACAACACTGTTCTGTCTCCCTGCTGGGCTGCACCTTGGGTGGGGCTCCCACACTAAGCAAGGGGAGGAGTCCACGCACCAATGGGGGTTCTGTAAGGTAATAGGAGAGGGGACTTCTTTTTAGAGCTGCCTTCTTAGAAGCCAAAGTGGCCTTGTAGAATGGAGAGAACCCAGTTATACCCAAAAACTGTCAGCCCAGCATTGAGATGCTGTTTAAATACCTTAGCAAGAGCAGCCACAGTGTTTGTTCCTACAGGCAAAGCTCAGCCTCCCACACGAACCAGCTACCAGCTGCCCTCCTGGCTCTGGCAGGAGCCCCGGCTTCTGGCCCTCCCCAGCAGTGCCACAGCTCCTGGATGAATTCCCAGCAGCCTGGCTGTGGGCACTCATTTCTTCTTTTCCTTTTTGAAGCTCAGGTGCCTTTTCTGAAGCAAACCGTGAGCTCCAGGCACTGTCAGCTTGCCTCTGTTTTTGGTGGAGGTGTGTCTGTCAGCCTGGGGTCCTCCGCTGCCTCTGGGGCCCGGGTGTCTTCTCTGTCAAAGGCTGTCAGCTTGTCTCTTCCTCTGACAGACACTGGCTCCTGCCAGAGAAACCCTGAGTGTTCCTACAAGGCTTCCATGAGTTTGTTCATCCCCAAGCCCACGTGCCACCCTTGAGTCTCCCCCAGGAATCGGGGGTGACAGCTCTGCCCTCCTAGTGGTAACACAGTCCCAAGGTTCACCTGGAGACCCAAGAAAAGTGGCCTCTGCACCTTCACGGCCCACAAGAAAATGCATGTTCCGTGCCCGTAATGTTCCAGGCACCACTAGCAAAGACACAGCCGAACCCCATGCCAGGCAGGTGAGAAGCAGTCAGCCCCACATCAGCCTGGTCATCTCAGGTGGAAACAGGTGTGTGCACGATGACCAGACAGGTGGCTTCTGGCACCCTACGAAGGGCTTCAGAAGCCTCAGCAGTTAGCATGGGTGATACAGTTTAGGTCTCTGTCCCTGCCCAGATCTCATGTTGAGTTGTAATCCTAATAATGGAGTTGGGGCCTGGAAGGAGGTGATAGGATTATGGAGACGAATTTCTCATAAGTTGTTTAACACCATCCATGCACTATCCTCGCCATAGTGAGTGAGTTCTTACGAGATCGGGTTGTTTAAAGGTGTGTGGCACCTCCCCCTCTGTCTCTTCCTCCTGCTCTTGTCATGTGACGTGCCTGCTTCTCACCTCTTCCTTCCGACATGATTGTAAGTTTCCTGAGGCCTCCCCAGAGGCCGCAAATGCCAGCATCATTCTTCCTGTGCAGCCTGCAGAACCGTGAGCCCCTTAAAACTCTTTTCTTTATAAAGTACCCAGTCTCAGGCATTTCTTTATAGCAGTCCAAGAACGGCGTAATACAATGAGCCTGCAGGCATTTATCAGACTTGTGAGAAAGTTTCTGATTTTAGGGGTGAGATTTCACCCTGGGAATACCTGAGAAACTGCAACATTTTACAATAAGGCTTTGCCTCAGATTTCCAACTTTTAAAAATGGGGAATGGGGCACCACTGTCAGGGCAGGAGAGGGAGGGAGATGGCTCTGAAGCCCTTTGTCTTCATCACACAGCCTCCCTGATTGGGGTACCTTCATTCCAATGTTCCTCTTTACTGAAGTAATCAGGACAATGTACTTCACCCTGAGGGCAGGTTAATGGGAAAGTCTGCCTCTTTCACCAGGTGGGAGGGACAGAGGAGGAAAGGGCTGTGCATCTTTTATTTCAGGTGCTTCCAAAGAATGACCTCTATGGGGTCAGTGAAGGTAGCTAGAAATGGGGATGGGTCAAGGAGAGAAATGTTGGATCATGGAGAGGAGGATTTACTAAAGCAAGGATGTCATCTTCAGCCAGAAACAAAGCTGGTTCTATTCAAAAGTCTGGTCATACTTCTCCCACTAGGAGCAGACACCTCCAAAGGTGCTACTAATGGGGTCATATTGAAGCTAGCTGCACCCCACTCAGCCCTGGCTGTTTCTAAGCCCTTCACATTTCTAGGCAGCTAAAGTTGGCAAGATAAGGCATGATCATTAAGGTCTTTAAGGACAAAGCCGTGTTGCCTCCTGAATCCTTAAGAAAAGCCCTTCTCCTGCTCATCTCTAAATCCCAGGGCTATTATTTGGGTTTTAGAAAGAAGCTGAACTGCTATAGCTTGGAAGTTCTGTGTATTTCTCTCCCCTGCTTAGCATATGTCATTTTAGTTAGAAAATGGAAAATATGGAGCTGGGCACAATGACTTGCATCTGTAATGTCAGCTACTCAGGAGGCTGAAGCCAGAGGATCATTTGAACCTAGGAGTTTGAGACCAATCTGGGCAACATAGCAAGATCCCATCTCTGAAGAAGAGGAAAATAGAAAATATGACACTGTGAACATAATTTTAAAATAAAGTGGACATCTCTAGATTCTTTAAAAAAAAACTGGTGAGACTGTAATTATCACTCTCACATTAACAAAAGAAATTTGAAGAAAATGCTTGTATCATTGGTGCTTTTTTTCCCTAAAACTGCCTCACCTAGAGGGGACCTAAAAGCAGCGTCAAAAGTAGTAAAGCCACATTTTCTAGGCAGGTAAGTTAATGCTGCATGAGGGAGCTGAGTGGTACAATGTTGATTTTTTTTTTCTTTTTTTTGAGATGGAATCTCACTGTCGCCCAGGCTGGAGTGCAGTGGCACGAACTCAGCTCATTGCAACCTCCGCCTCCCGGGTTCAAGCAGTTCTCTGCCTCAGCCTCCCAAGTAGCTGGGATTACAGGCACCCACCACCATACCCAGCTAATTTTTTTGTATTTTTAGTAGAGACAGGGTTTCACTATCTTGGCCAGGCTGGTCTTGAACTCCTCACCTTGTGATTCACCTGCCTCGGCCTCCCAAAGTGCTGGGATTACAGGCGTGAGCCACCACACCCAGCCAAGTGTTGATTTTTATGCTGTAAGTTAGTGTTTCTCAAACCTCAATGTGCACAGCAGTTATCTGGGGCTCTTGTTAAAATGCAGATCCTGGTTCAGTAGATCGGGGGTGGGGCCTGGGATTCTGCATTTTCCAGCAAGCTCCCTGGTGATTGTGATGTTGCAAGGCTGTACCTAACTTCCACATATCTGCTAAGTGACTTGTGTTCCTTTGTATGAGTTTAGACAGATATCAAAGAAGGATAAATAAGCTTCTAGAACTAAGCTTGCTAGACCATCCCCTGATATGTTTGTTTTGTTGAATGGTTAAGCAAGAATTATAAGGCTTCCTGAAGTTATAAGTGATGGAGGGTGACAGGGTTTTGATTATACCATAATTTAACAGATCATGTTAAGATTGCAGAAGGCAGGATGTTGAATAGAATCAGTGAAAAGAAAGAGAAAGGAAGAGGCCAGAATTGAGCAGGGTTCGTTTGTGTCTATTTTTGACATTGCTCTGGGTTATCTGTCTATAGCATCTCTCTGCCAAAGTGAATCATGGCAACTTGAAAGTGGTTATTTATTGAAGTATTTTAGAAGTCAATTCTACCTTTCTCAATCTTTTTAAAATAAATATTTTCAAATGGAAGGATCAAAGAAATGTCAGCTGCTTCCGTAGAATATAATCCAGAACCCAAGGTAGTATTTGTTGGACAGAAATGTCAAAAAGCATCAACTCCAAATAAGGAAAGGCAGAGGAAAAAAAAAAAAAAAGGCTTCTCCAGCCGTAGGTGAGAGAGGGCACAGGCTGCCATTTATACACACAGTGCTGGAGCCGAGTGCTGTTGCAAGAAGGTATGGACCAAAGAAGTCAACATTTCCCTAGAAAATAGGGGGAACAGGCTGGGCACGGTGGCTCACACCTGTAATCCCAGCACTTTGGGAGGCCAAGGCAGGTGGATCACAAGGTCAGGAGTTCAAGACCAGCCTGGCCAAGATAGTGAAACCCCATCTGTACTAAAAATACAAAAATTAGCTGGGCACGGTGGCAGGTGCCTGTAATCCCAGCTACTTGGGAGGCTGAGGCAGGAGAATTGCTTGGACACAGGTGGCAGAGATTGCAGTGATCCGCGATCACACCACTGTACTCCAGCCTGGGAGATGGCGTGAGACTCCATCTCCAAAAAAAGAAAAAAATAGGGGAACATTCAAAAGGGTACCCAGGAATGTAACATAAGACTATGAAAGAAACCGGCCGGGTGCGGTGGCTCAAGGCTGTAATCCCAGCACTTTGGGAGGCCAAGGCAGGCGGATCACAAGGTTAGGAGATCGAGACCATCCTGGCTAACATGGTGAAACCCCGTCTCTACTAAAAATACAAAAAAAATTAGCTGGCCTGGGTGGCGGGCGCCTGTAGTCCCAGCTACTCGGGAGGCTGAGGCAGGAGAACAGTGTGAACCCGGGAGGTGGAGCTTGCACTGAGCCGAGATCACACCACTGCATTCCAGCCTGGGTGACAGAGCAAGACTCCATCTCAAAAAAAAAAAAAAAACTATGAAAGAAGCCATATGGGGACAAAGAATGCTAAAACTGGGACTTCTCACTCTCCTGTATAGTGATTTCTTCTTAAAAACTCCTCAGTGAAAAGATTTTACCTCATTGCCAGGGTCAACAGTGGACAACCTGGGGTTGCCATAGACATCCTAAGCCCTATGCCCATTCTGCACCCCTTTTCCCAACTTGCCTCCCCATCTTTGCCCAACCTTAAGTCTCTACCATTGCCTTCACCCTGTTGCCTCACTTATACTAAAGTGCAAATGACCCAGCAGGGACCTAAGTGAGCAGCCTGTCTTCTCAATACATTTTGCCCAAAGGTATCCCAAATTTCCCAACCCAGTCAGAGCCACCAGATTTTTTTACAGCTGTATTTTCTAAACTAATAAACAAGAAATATAGCCAGATACTAACAGTCATTAAACCTGGAGGTCAGAGCATAGAAATTCCATATAATTTCCTGAATGCTTGAAATATTTTGTAATAACTATTAAAAACTGAGGTAGGTGACTTTACGATCAGCCAGGACCACATCAGTGCTGTTCCTGCAGAAGAAATGGCTGTGCCCAGGGCTCCCTCTCACTCTTACTGCTGTATTGGGATGCCCCATTTGACCTGAAATGATTCAACGCCCTGTCTGCACATTTGCATCTCCTGAAGAGCTCCTCACTCTAAAACCCTAGACTGATTAAATCAGAATTACAATGGGGAACAGTCTCTGCACTGGTATGTTTCAAAAGCTCCCACATGGTTGTAGCAGGCAGCCAGGGTTGAGAACCATTGATTTAAAGAAGAATCACAAGAATGCTTTAAAAAGATACCTGCAAATTCTTCAGTGTTTAAGCTCCCAACATGAAAATCTTTGTCTTCTTATTGCCAAGAATCATCTGAGAGTCATGTGATGCGTGTCTCCACCCCCACCATCCCACACCCCTTCCCCATCCCACACTTGAGACCATCAACCCACACCCAGCCCAGCACCACCACAACTGCCGCCAGCATCAGCACCAATGTCCTTGCTACCTCCAACAGGAACAGCAGCTGCAAGAAGAAAGAGTGAAATGCAGAGCTGAGGCCCTTATCTCAAATGATCGACTTTGGCACTTGGATATTCAAGCCTTTAAAATTTATATATGAGGGGGTCACTGAGAGGGCTTGGTATCTGGTAGTTCAAACACTTGCAACCTGGGCCCCCTAGGTTCAGCTGGGTCTAAGAAAGCCTGGAAATGTTCTCACCCAAACAGCCTACAAGTACTCAATTCATAAATCCCCTGTTACACAAATTAAAATACATATTAAGGGATTTTTTTAACTTTGTAGATTTTAGGGACACATTTCTAAGCAGTGCTTAATCATCCATGGTTTTCTAGCTAGTCGGAACCATTCATAGATATGAGGCAAAATTTTGATCTCTATATAAAATTATTCTCACTACACCTAAAATGACATCGTGTACAGTGCAGAGTGTACATGCCTGTGTCCGTGCATGTGTGCCTGTGTGTTTGTCTATGCGTGTCTGTGTTCGTATCTGTCTCTGTGTCTATGTGTGCATGTTTATGTGTGTCTGTACCTGTCTCTGTGTGTGTGTCTTTGCCTGTGTGTGTCTGTGTGTGGTTCCCCTAACCTGCCTTTGCAAAACCTGCTCACCTTTCATCCATCCAGCACACAGCTGAGAGGCCCACCTGTGAAAGTATCCTATGAAAGCAAGGAGGAAAGCCCGTCCCCTATGCCTTCCCTGCTTCCCAGTCCTTCTGTCACTCACCTTTCTGAGATAGGTAGGTGAGCATCGTACAGTTAGATTCAGGAGATCAGAGTAAACCCTCAGGATCCCTTGTGTTTAACTTTAGGGAGAAATTTCCAGAATTTATAACCTGACTTTCAATGCGCAATATTTTACAGGAAAGATTTTTATTAAGGTTGCCCCCATGTGCCATCTTGCCAGATTCGATTCTGTAAAGGTTTTTGGAAACCCACAGTAGGCTACAGCTTCACTGGGGCTTGTTTTGTTTGTTGGCTGCTTGCTTGGATGCGGGGGAGGCGGGCAGAGTCAGAGGCAGTGTTCTCCTGAATTGTACCGATGTGATGCACTCCCCATGTCTGTGGGACTTGCAGGGGAAAACCTTTTGACACACAGAGCCGCCATGTTTTATTCCTTTGTACATGATTTACAATTGCATGGTTCTTTTCAACTCTCAGAAATCAGAAATCTCAGCATGTGTTTCACACATAGAAGGTTTGTGTCAAACCTTGAGTGGGTTTGCTGTACAGACATGCAGCTGAAGGCAGGTCAGCCTTCTTGCAGGAGTGTCTTCCAGGGCAACAGGAGGCCACGAAAGCAGAAGTCTTTTATGTCGTAGGTTAAAATAGGTCTTAAGCTCTTTTACTTAGAAATGTGAATTGACTGTAAAACTCTTTTGAGAAGTTGATGTGATTTGGCTGTGTTCCCACCCAAATCTCACCTCGAATTGTAGTCCCCGTAATCCCCACTAGTCATGGGAGGGACCTGGTGGGAAGTAATTGAATCATGGGGGCAGTTACCATCATGCTATTCTCATGATAGTGAGGGAGTTCTCATGAGATCTGATGGTTTTATAAGGGGCTTTTCCCCCTTTGCTTGGCACTTCTCCCTCCTGTTGCCGTGTGAAGAAGGATGTGCTTGCTTCCTCTTCTGCTATAATTGTAAGTTTTCTGAGGCCTCCTCAGCCATGCTGAACTGTGAGTCAATTAAAGCTCTTTCCTTTATAAATTACCCAGTTTCGGGTATGTCTTTATTAGCAGTATGAGAAGACTAATATGGAAGTATATAAATTTTTCAGGCTGATTTATCTAAACCCAGCATCCAGAAATAGGAAGAAAAAAAATGAATTTGTGCAGGCTAGCTCACTGAGTTGAATTGTGTCCCTCAAAAAGACATACTCAAGGCCTAATGCCTGGTACCTATGCATGTGGCTTTACCTGGAAATAGGGTTTGTGCAGATGTAACCAAGTTAAGATGAGGTCATTAGGGTGAATGTTAATCCAGTATGACTGGTGTGCTTAAAAGAGGAGACAATGGGATGGCCATGAGAGAGGAAGACCATGTGAAGATGGTGGCAGAGATTGGAGTGATGGGTCTGTAGACACATCAAGGAATGCCAAGGGTTGCTGGCCAGTGAGAAGCTCAGACAAAGGCATGGAGTGGATTCTTCCCTGGAGCCTTCAGAGGGAGTGTGGCCCTGCAGACACCTTGATTTGGGGCTTCTGGCCTCCAGAACTGAAAGAATGAATGTTTGTTGTTAAAGCCACCCAGGTTGTAGTACTTTGTCATGGCAGCCCTCTAGGAACACCACCCAAAACCTTCTTCTCAGGGTCAGCCGGCCCTGGGCAAAATGGTGAACCACACCCACCCCTTTCCCCAGCCCAGCCCTCCCCTCTTACCCTGTTCTTCTGCCGTCACCTCCTCCTATTAAAGCCTGCACCAAGGAATGCAGCATGGGGATTCTGGAGGGCTCCTTGCTTGTCAAACATTGAGGCTCGTTTCTTATCATAAAATGATAGGCTCTTCTGCCTGTTGAGACAATTTGTGAGGGATTGCAGATAGGAATCTCACAAACACAAACCTCAAAACATCCAGAGGTAGAACCTCGTTTCTTTAGACCTGAACTCCACTTAGCTCACAAGCCCCCATATCTAGGGAGTAGCAGAACAACTTGCCAGTTTAAGGTTCCCTCAGTCACGTGTGGTTCACATCTGATTTTGAAGCCACCACCCACACAGGTCAAGGTTTCAGGATGCCCCACCCTCAGCATCTCCTACCTTCCTTCTTGCAGACAGCAAGTGGGTTTGGGGAAGGCTGACATAGCCTTATGGTGTCAGGTGGAGAGAGGAAGCAGGCTTCTGGCCTGAGGTCTCAACTTCTGTGAACTCCACTGAGGTGTAACTTGATGGCCTCAGGTTATACCTTGATGACCTCAGTCTCCCGGCTCTGTCTGCTGCTTAGGCCGCAGCATGGCCTGGCTGCTTGTCCAAACCACACACCTCTGCTGGTGCACACCCCACCTGTCACTCCAACTTTCAGTACTAGGAGTGGGGCTCACTAACTGGTTTACGAGCTCTCTGGGCCACGTATGAACAAATGAGGTGCAGATCTCTTCTGCGTTGTGATCCCCAAACTCACCCATGGGCTCGTATCTCCTGCCCCACCAGGTCTCCAACTTCACGGAGATGGCTGGGCATGGGCCCCATACATCCTTCTCTCCTTGCCAAATTTTATCCACCTTCCTCCCATCCCCATGGTAGGATTCTTATCTTCTATTTGTTGAGAAAACTGCTGTTACAACATCATATCTTCTTTCCAAATCTTTATGCTCTAAGTTTTCCAAGGTCTAGTGCCTGGTTCCAAAGTCAACCTTTGGAGAACTTAAAAAAAATCCATCTGGCCCTTGTATTCCAAAACCCAGACTTCCAAGACTATCTGGGGTGTCAAAGCTAAGAATGTTGCTATCTGTTCTTGTAGTGTTCTTTTTGTTCCTGGGCCAATTAGCTTCAGCCTGTGGTTTGAATGATGGAGAGGCTGAAGGGGAAAAGGGAATTACTGAGAATGATGTGGGAGCAGTAGAAGAAGAGAGAGAGGAAAGTGTCTGAGGGGAATCAGAAAGGGTTACCAGCACCCCAAAATCACACGCACCATGTAGTGAGGCTGCCTGTGTTACACACACCACCTGCAATCCCCATCAACCCCACTAAGTCCAGAATAGCCAGCCTTGGTTTTCATGGGCCTGTCATGGAGACAATTGGGAACAGCCTGTCTCAGAGTGACCAGGAGTCCCATGGCATCTCATCCCACCTTCCCTACACAGCTCCAGCTATGGCAGCAACAAGCCTTGGTCTGGCCAGCCTGGCTGACTGCCTCAGGCCCACACAGCTTCAGAGGCCACCTGCCCAACAAGCAGGTGAAGGCTTCCTCTGATCTTGTCTTCCTTTGCCTTGACCCAGCTCCCGTGACTTTCCTTCCACATTCTGCAGGATAGGAAAAAGAGAAGCTATATTCAATCATTGAGGCATTTTTCATGGTGAAGGGCTGGAAGTCAAGTTTGTTCTAACCTCAGGATCTTTGCACTTACAGATCCCTCTCCAGATCACCTTTTTCCCCAGAACTTTGTAAAATTTGCCCCTTCACATCCATCCTGTTTCTTCTTGAAGGTCATCTCATCAGAGAGGGGATCCCAGACCACCCTAAAATCACCACCACACATCACTCATTATCTTCTTACACATCTTGAATTTACAGCACGTAACATTTCCTGAGATTTAGGTTACAGCTAGAATACACAGCTGTTATTTCTGGCTTTTATCTCCCACCAAAATGCAAGCTCCATGAAGGCAAGGACTTTGTCTTATTCACTGCTGAGTTTCAGTACCTGGAACAGTAACTGGCCTATAAGGGGCACTTAAAAAAGATTTGAGGAGTGGATGCATGATAGCAACCACTGAAAACTATAACCCGACTTGGAAGGGGCTTGGTTTTGCAGGAAGCCAACCTGGGATTCATAACCAGGCATGAGGATGGGGCTGGGGGAGGGTTAGTCAATACAGGACCCTGTGCTAACTCTGGGGTAAGGTATGGCTATAAAACAGAGCAGCCCTACCGTGGTTCTTTACAAGGTTGGTCTAAGAGTTATTTCACTTTGGGAGCCTCCCACACAAGGGTGACTTGACCAAAGTTCTCAGCAGGGGATAACAGGATGCAGGAAACTCCTTGGTCACCAGGAGACCATAGCTGAGCTTCCCAAGCAGGCTCAGAAGCCTTCAGGCAGTGGTGAGGGTAGGAGAGGGAAGGAAGGGCTTTCTTCCTGGGAGTGGGGGTGGATGGCCCACACTACTGTCTGTCAGCCGGAACAGAGGATGAGTGAAATTTAGAAAAGAAAAAAAAAAAAAAAAACAAGGTTGGATCAGGTGGTGGGGGAAATAGTTGAATTTTAACTAATTAAATCAACATTCCCTGAGGGCTTTCTGTGTGTCAGCAAACTGCTAGGGGCTGGGGAAAAGATACCTGAAAGTCACGATTCCAGCCCTCAAAAAGTGGAAGCCAGAGGTTCTAGAAATGGCTCTGAAGCCAGAGTGACAGCTAGGCTTTGAAGGAGGCTGAAGAGTTGCAAAGTGAAAATGGAGAGGCAGCAGGCAGCTCTTCGTCTGTTAAGAGGGGTTCTCAATTTCAGCTTCCTTCAGCGGGCAAATCCAGAGACTTAATCGTAGGTTATACTTAAAAGTAGCCTATATGCGTGATGCCTTATTAAAAGTGCCTTTAGCTACCTCTATTTTTAGAGTATATTAATCATGTTACCTTTTGATTTGAAATTGGGACAGGTTAGCTCTAATTACATGAGATTCTTTAAGGAGCTTGGAAAGACCCAGGATGATCCATCCCCAAACCCAAATTATTAACTCTGTTTTCTTACTTTCGGGGAAAAGCTACTGGTCCATGGCAGCAAGGACCTGCAGGTGGTGCCCAGGTGTCTGGCTGTCACCAGGCAACACTGAGAAACCAAGGGTGTCTCAGTAAGAGTGAGCAGCTGCATACTCTAGTCCAGCATTAAACATGACCCAGGCCTCTGGTGCAGAGTTAGGTTAACTTGGAGCTCTGATAACAAAAGATCAAGAGTTGGGTTTTTAAAAAATATAAGCTTTCCCCTACCCCCAATTTTTTGGAGAGCTGTGGTTAACAGGCTAGGAATTTTGGCAGCAGGTAGCAAAAAGAGTCTTGAGAAGTGGAGGATCCTCATTCTTTCCAGCCCACTCTGCTCTGGGAGAATGTCTGTTGGATCCGTAATAAGCAAATCGTGTCATTTTATCCACCAAGAGATAACAGCCTTCCCAGGACTCCTTGGTGCAATTCATGAGCCTGGTGATGCCATGTGTTAATAAATTATAAAGGAAAATAACCTCGAGAAAGGCAAGTTTGGAGGGCAGAAGGCATGCAGTAGTCATCTACTGCTGCATAACAAGTGACTGCAAACTTAGCATCTTGCAGTACCATCCATTGATCATCTCACAGCTTCCAGATGTCAGAAGTGCAGGCTTGGCTGGGCTTTGCCCAAGGCTGAAATCAAGGTGTTAGCAGGGCTGCATTCATTCCTGGGTCCTCTTGCAAACTCACGTGGCTGTTGGCAGAATTCAATTCCTTGAGGCTGCAGGACTGAGATTCCCATTCTTGTGGCTGTCAGGTGGAGACTGTGCTCCCCTCCTGGGACTGCTGTCTCAGTGCCTCACCACGTGTCCCCTCCATGTGGGCTTGCATGCTTTGAATCCCTCTCATGTTTCAAATCTCTCTTGCAAGGAAGAATGGGGTCACTTTGAAGTGCTCAGGTCTGCCCCCACAGGATCATCTCCCTCTCTTAAAGTCAATTCATTGGGAATCTTAATTGTATCTCTTCTTCTCAGAAGTCTCTGTTTAGCATTTGATTGGATAATTGGGAGCAGGTGTGTGTCCCCCAAGCAGCAAGGATCTTGGGGGCCACCTTTGAATTCTGCCTACCATAAGACACAAGCACCTGTGTCCATGTCTTCCAGGCTTTGGGGCAATACTGACAAAGGTGGCTGTGTCAGACCCTTTCCTCTGCTCCCCACCACTGTACCTCCCCCAAGAGGACCCCATGAGCCCTGCTATGTGATGAAGTGGCCTTTCCTAGGAAATGATTTTCAGTTCAGAATTAATTCTAACCTGTTTCTTCACCAAGCACTCAGGGTGCAGTCAATCCAGGGATAGGATGGACAGAATGAGATAGGACTGGCTAGACAGATGGATCCCAACACAGGGAACCATCTACAGTGCTCAGAAAGCATGGCAGAGAAATAACAGCCATAAGTGCTGAGATAAAAGGAAGAAGATTTCTCTGAGAACAAGAAGCTCTAGACCAGCATTGAAGGCAAAGGAGGCAGAAAACTGCAGCAGAAGGTTGAGAAGCAGGAGGGCAGGTAGTCATTTATAATTAATGCCCTCCATTATTTTATTCTGACTGTAGAAGTGAGACGCACATTATTTAGGACCCATAAGTAGCCTAGCTTGGTTTAAGCAGTGGGTTCCTGCAGGCCACAGCTCTCAGCCCAGTGTCTGCCCCTCTTCCTGACCCAGTGGTCCTAGGTCCCTGGGGATGAGAGCCAGGTGACTCTACTTATAAAGATATTCTGAGATAAAGATAGAAGGGTAGGTTGGGGGCAGATAGACTATGGAACTCTGAGTTTTTGTGAAATTTGACTTTTACTTTGGGGCTTTGGGCAGGCCTGAAAGTTTTCTGAGTAAATGGTAACTTGGGGTAGCAGAAGGCAATGTGGCTTCTGGGGAAGGTTAACCCAGCAACAGGGTAGACAATGGAGTAGCAGTTTTTAAAAGACTACAGATGCGGGCAGAGAGATGATGCTCCCTGGAAGGCTGTGATGGAAACAGAAAGGAGGCAGGAAGCTGAGATGCAGAGAGAAGCTGGAAAGGAGGAGTGAGGGAGACGAGGGTCTCAGTCGTGGTAGCCCGCCAGCCCAGCAAGCATGACCATGAACTTGAGAGGAACAAGGTGAACACCTGTGCCTCCCTCTAAGCTGCAGAAGGCACTGCCATTGCTGCGCTACTTGATGCATTCTTAAGTGAGATGGATGTGAGGTGCGGAAATGCATCCATAGAGCCCTGACGACACACCTGGCTTATAGGCCCAGACATACTAGAGAATCAAGAATCCTGACATGCAGTTCCCCGAGTAGAAAGATTTCTACACGAGCAAAGTAGTAAGGTGACTTCATTGCTTTAGACTTTTTAAACAGATGCCAACCTTCTGGAACACTTTTCAGGAGACACATAGACTTACCACAGATGCATCCCATGATGAAGAACAGGTGAGTGGACGAGCATTCATGCCTCTGTGGATTGCAGCTCAGCTTCTGGCAAACAGGCAGCTTCCTTGAACACCAGTCCTCTGGGGTCACCAACCTGGAAAGCCAACAGGGGCTCACTTATTTCTTAGCCCCTGCAAACATTAAAGGTTTATACCTACCAAGGGATTCAAAATGCTTAACTGTCAAGCATCACTAAGAGTCAATCTGACAATTTCAAATCTGAAAGGAATCTGAACAATTTTGAACACAGTTGTCCAAGTTCCAGAGTAGTGACATGACTTTCCAAGCACTAAACAATCAGAAAGTGACAGAATGAGGATTCAGACCCGTGCCTGTCTGGTTCTGAAGCCCGGGACTTTGGGAGCAGGGAAACTTCAAATGCATTTACATAAGCCTTCCCCCAGGCAGAGAAGCCAAGACGGTGCCCGCCGCCTGGCACCTGGAAACACAGCCATGTCCCACCTGGCACTAGGTGCTTGGTCAAGCAAGACCATCAGATGACAAGCTCCCCAGTAACATGAAGCATGCATGCTAGTGACAACTCATTCATTTAGGCAGGGGCTCAATCCTGCTGGGGCTAAAAGGGGTAATCTGTAGGGGTCTGCAGGCTCTATTCCAGGGCCACAAGACCACTTGTTTTTGTAAGGCTTGAGCTAAGAATGGCTTTTACATTTTTAAAAGGTTGGGGAGAAAATAAAACTATTACAGAGACTACATGGGACTTGCAAAGAGTAAAATACTTAATAGCTGGCCCTTTCTAGAAAAGAGTTTATCAACTCCTAGATTCTGGGGCAAGCCTACATTTTCAGCAAAAACTGCCAAAGGCATAAGGAGGTGAAGCAACTCCCAGGTTACCCAACTACTTGGAGACAGAGCTGGGAGCTAGACTTCAGGTCTCTTATTTCTACTATCTAGAGTGAAGGCCTGCACCGGCGTAAAAGCGCGTGAATACACATGCACATACAGACCCACATATGCATACAAACACACAGGCACATGAGCATACACACATGCATCCACACACATGCACTATCACTCATGAGTGCACACACACACACAAATGTGCATGCCCACTTGTTTGCACACAACACACTCACGCACACACAAGCCCTATGACTATGGAATAATATTGCTGCCTTTTCTTTGTGTCCTATGAAACATTCCATGCATGAAGGCAGTTTGCAAACTCTAAAGTGCCTGTAAGGCAGAGACTGTTTTTATTTTTGTCGAGCTTAAGTCGATTTAGTAGCAATAGGATGCTGGGCATGGCAAATGCACTAAAAGTGCCCGTGGTGACTGGCCTGCTGTGTCCCTGCCTGCCTCCCACCACAGTTGGAGCTTGTCCATTCTCACAAGCCTTACCTCTTGCTGTTTTCTATAAACCATGAGGAATTTGGCCAAAGTGAAGAAACATAGTTATACCTGTCTGCCTTCTTCCATTAATGGGTGACCCTGCAAGAGGAAAGGCTGGGGGCGAAGGGCTGGTATTTGCTGCGTGTAAGTGGCACATAAAGGAGCATTGAAGAGTGCAATAAATCCATGCCCAGTCATGCAGTGGTTTCCTGATGCCACCTGCCCATGTGCTGTAGTTTTCATCGCCCTCTGTGGATAAGGTTTATGAAACTAAACTTTAATAGAGCAGCCCCATCTCCCCAGCACTTCTGTTACCAAGAAACCCAAGCCTGTTGTGTGGATTCTGAGCACACATATTGATTGTATACCCAGCACGCTCATCTGTCAACCCAAGGCTACAACCCCCTCCTGCTCACACTGCTTTGGAAACAGGACAGAAAAACCATCCTGGGCACACAGTAGAGAATTAAAAAGGAAGAAAATGCTTATGGAGTGAACCCACATAAAACTGTAGAAGTGGAGGGTCTGGGAGCTTCTAACTGAATTCTCACCTCCATAGGAATCCCACTTGTAACAACCTTAAGGTGAAAACTGCCAGCCCCTGCTTGGATGCTTCCAAAGACAGGGCACTTGCTACCTAACACAGAAGCCCTATAATGTTTAAGCAGCTTTAGCTGTGAGACCCCCAAGTCTCTGGTCACAAATTTCCTCCTGTTGGTCTTAGCACTGCCCTATTTACTGTCCACCTGAAGGCAACTGTCAGGACCCAGCTGTCCTTTTGTCTACAGACTGCTGTAGACTGAATGTTCATGTCCCCACAAGGTTTATATGATGAAGCCCTAACCCCCAGCGTGGTGGCATTTGGAGATGAGAACTTTGGGAGGTATTTAGGATTAGATAAGGTAATGAAGGTGGGGCCCATCATGAGGGCAATAGGATAGGTGGTCTTAGAAGACGAGGAAGAAGAGGTGGAGACTCATACTTGTAATCCCGGCACTTTGGAAGGTCAACATGGGAGGCTCCCTTGTGCCCAGGAGTTGGAGATTATAGTGAGCTGTGATCGTGCCACTGAACTCCAGCATGAGCAAGATGCTGTCTCAAAACAACAATAACAACAACAACAAAAGAAGCAGAGGAAGAGCACTTTCTCTCTCTCTCTCTCTCTCTCTCCATGCAGAGAGGAAAGGCCAAGTGAAGATATAGCAAGAGGTCTGCCCATCTATAGGCTAGGAAAGGAGCCCTTACCAGGAACTGACCCCTGCCAACAGTTCATCTTAGAGTTCCCAGCCTCCAGAGCTGTGAGAAATAAATGTCTGTTGTTTCAACCATCCAGTCAATTGTATTTTGTTATGGTAGCCCGAGATGACTAAGACACAGACTAAATATATTTACTTTCTACAACTTTCTCCACATCAGAATCCCGGAGCTTTCCACTCCTGACTGCCTTCCTTTGGGTGCATCCCAGCTTGTGCTAGGCTCAGCCCCTGATACAGAAAATAGGCTCAATAAATATTTAGTGAACCCCTGAAAAAAAAGCACAGAGGGAAGGTTGCCTGCCTGCCTCCAGACTCTCCACGTCTGCATCAGCTCAAGTTGTCATGGGCAGTCTTGACTTGAGTTGCCTTGCCCTTCTGCCTCTTCTGTGCCCTTTGAGCTTTTCTTGTCAGATTTTAATTTTCAGATCCTCCCATCCCTCCTGAGCCATCTCTATCCATGGGCTCTTATCCACATGTTCTCTGAATTCTTTTGAAGTTTGCCTTCTGACAACCTAGAGCAGGGTTCTCATCTGTTTTCCTTGGAGGATGAGATTCGTGAGTTGTCAATAGGTCTTCCACTAAAAAGACTCTGATGTCAAGCCAGCTTGGGAAATATGCTTCACGCCTGGAAAGCCCTGGATAAAAACACTTACTTTGTTGATCCCAAAATTTCCTAAATGTATTCCTGAGGAAGTCCTTTGTTATGGCCCATCTATTAACCTTTGAAGGGCGGTAACAGAAAATGCAATAACAGAAAATGCAAAGCCGTCTGATTAACCCTTGCTTGACTGTGCACTTCCTTCTTCCTCCCTCACTCTTGGGAATCCCATTTTCTGAGGCTCCCATCCCTGCCGTTTTATCAATCAGGACTTCTTTGTTTGGGGATCTTACAGAGGAGCATTCCCCACTTCCCTCCTTCACTTGAGTGGGAAGAAGATAGTGAGTTTGGCCCATAGCCCTGGCATGGCCCATGCCCTTTGTAGATGCGAGAGTCTGAGTTTCCCCCAAACCAGGACTAAATTCCAATGTTTCTCTGCAGAGGTGAGAGGTGGTGTACAATGTGCTTGACAAAAGCTGTTGTGACTCCTTTTTTCCTGGACAATGCACATTTTGTTCTTTTTTGAGACGGAGTCTTGCTGTGTCACCCAGGTGCAATCTCGGATCACTGCAACCTCTCCCTCCTGGGTTCAAGCAATTCTCCTGCCTCAGTCTCCCGAGTAACTGGGATTATAGGTGCCTGCCACCTGTAATTATCAATCATACTCGGCTAATTTTTTTTTTTTTGTATTTTTAGAGCCGGGTTTCACCATGTTGGCCAGGCTGGTCTCGACTTCCTGACCTCAAATGATCCACCTGCCTCAGCTTCCCAAAGTGCTGGGATTACAGTGTGAGCCACCATGCCCAGCCAACATTTCATCCATTTGAAATAAGAAATTAGGTGTAAATTTCTATAAAAACCTATAGGTGAGTCAAAGGGTTTTTTTACTTCCGTTTTGGACCCTATAGAAAATAACAGGCCACCTTCAAATCCAAGATTCTTTTTGGAAAATATTTTTATCCAACCTGGAACCATCTCTCCTCCCAATCCGACATGCATGTCTCTCTCTCTGTCTCTCTCTCTCTCTGTCACACACACACACACACACACACACACACACACACACACACACTTCATTTCAAGGCAGACATTGAGTTTTTCCTGATACCTGGCAAGTTCCATAATTTTACTTTGTCTGTAACCCTAGAAACAAACAGGACCCAGTCTTCAGCCGGGGAAGAGAGCAATGTTATTTTGGGCAAATAGGCCTTCCTCTGTACCTGGACATGATCTCGGATGAACTGAGGCACAGTGAACTTAGTGTAGTCCTGGATATCACTCACGCAGGGATGGAGCTGGGAGTAGCCAGTATAGGTCATAGCCAACCCCCTTACCACTCTGCCCACTGAGCTGCCTTTTTCCAGTGCAGAGAAGCCTCATAATCACAAGTTTAGTGCTGGAGCATCACTAGGAATCCAGTGGGAGCATACGTGCTGCAGGGGGTCCAGTAAATGCAACCCACCTTTGTTCTGGAGGCATTTCACACCACCTTTCCCTGTCCTCAGAGTCAATTTCAGCTAACATCCTGACCTGTACAAATTCTCTATGGAGTTAGTCATAAACCTGCCATGGCCCTATCTAGACACTGAGCAATTTGGGGGAAGGGAATATGTCTCATGCATGACCACTCCCATTACTCAGTACTCAGCTCACTACTGTACTTGGCACCTAGCCAGATCATAGCAAGATCACCGTCTGTTGCATTGACTTGCTGTTGAGGATAGATTCCTATGGTCTTTCTCAATCATCTCCTTTACAAACCTCCCTGAAGAGCCATATGCAGGCGTGAATGATGATCAATACACGGTCCCTGCCCTCAAGAAGGTCACAGTCTAGTACTGGATTCAGGCATACGCACAAATAATTGTGAAACTCTGTGGTGTTGGTCTATCAGGAACATCACACGGGATCGCCATTTTCACAGCAAGCATGTGACAAGGCAGACAGCCTTCCAGTGGGGGTGAGTGCTGGTCGTCACATGCCCCTGTCCCCCTCCCACATACCGCTCTACCTTTCCCTCCCGGACCCTCTTTCCCCACCCAGCCCCACCTGTATTTTTCCCTTTGTGATTCAGTGGTAGACATAGTATGTTAGACACATTTGGTACCTTGATCAAATTTCAACCGGGCAAAAAGAAGCGCATGCTTGGAGCACACAAGTTTCCTACTTTCTGGTGCTGGTAAGGCCTCATGCTAAGCTCTTCCATCTTTCATGCCAGTCCTGGTTTCTTGCCATAGGGCTGGGCTGGACTTGGTAACAGGAGGCTGGTAGACCTGCAAGCCTGCTGGAAGGGCAGGCTGGCCCACCACAGGGATGCCTAGAAAGCAGTTGCTGTGCTGAGCTGGTTTCACTACTTGCCTAACTCAGAACACTGCTAAGCAAATCATTGCAATTCTGCAAAGCTATTTGCTTAGAATTTCAATTCACAGTTTAGGGAAAGAGGTTGAATATGAGGATATTGATAAAAAATACTTATTATCTCTGTTCCTCTCTAAAGAAGGTAATTCTTTAAAAAAAAAAAATCCCACAAATGCAGCAGTAGTCACAATGGGATATGACATTACAACTCCATGCTCAGGAATAATTCAATTATGCTTGAAGATTACTTATTTTGAAACTAGCATTTTACTGTGTTTTCTCCCTCAAACCTTGGTTGTTCAAAGCTCAGTGCTTATTGTTTCCACCGTGCAGATTGATAGAGGACAGAAACTCACAAAAAGAGCTGTCTCTAAATGAAACCATTTAGTCATCCATTCCTATGGAGTGTACTCTCAGAATTAAGTCATTTCTTTGACATACACTTTCTTTAAGAAAAGTCTTATGATGCCTTTTCTTTCTCTTGAATTTTCTCTTCTCCAACTTGTGCTTTATCTTGCAAAATGTCAAATAAATTAAGTGTATGAACTTCCGGCATGCGCCAGAAAAAGAGACAGACAATATACACCCACTTTTGTTCTGAAACCTGGTATTCTATTAAGTTCCAACTAAAACAATGGAGTGTTCAAATCCACAGTCCCAGGAAATCAGCCTCTGGAGAGGAAGAAGTGAGAGGGACAAGTGTCCTCAAAGGCCACCTGTGGCCGATCCGACTGTAGGTGGGGAAATACACGTTGAGCAGCAGTATTTCTGTTCTGCCTTCCATAAGGAAGAGCCAACTTAGCCTGCAGGTCTAAATCTCGGTGGCCTGTTAGCCTAGCCAAGATTTAATGTCATTTACTCCACATTAGGTTTGATGCATTAACAGAATATTCCAGCTCTTTTCCTTTTATTTGGAAAGCAACTTGTTCATCTGGATTTTATACTTGACACTCAAGTTTTTCTGTTTGAGGGAAGAAGCATCTCACAGATCAGTGATTCTTTCCCTCTGCACATCCTGCAGAGAGCTGTTTCAACATCATTAGATAAAAACTGCAGGAATGTTCTCATGCGGTCAGTTTTCCTACCAACTGTTGACCTGTGTATTTCATGGTAGAAACTGCAGATAATACCTTTGGCAGGGAAGAATGGTACTGCTGTTTTAGACTTTCAGAGTTATCAGGAGAGACCTGGGGAGAAAAGGTGAGAGGGTGGATTTTTATTTTATCACTGTGATTAAATCAGAGTTTGCTATTTCCCCAATTAGGCGTTGGTGGGTTTGCCTTTTTTAACTTAATCCCACCATTCTGGGTTCACTATAGCACATGCAAATAGTGTTTCAATGACATCCAGGTACAAAAAACTTGTAAAACCATTCGACATCAACTCAAGGGCAGGGCACTTTGGAACATGACTCATAGTAATAAAAATGTTAAGTTTATTCTGACTTGGACCCCACAAGAAAAACTAAATAGTGAAGCTACAGATATTTACAGGGGACTCTTCACTCTTTGAGCACTGGCAGTCCATGATTTTTTGGGTGGTTGAAGCAAGCTTGCCTCAGGTCTTGCCTCAGGTTTAATGTTGCTTCTACTTCAAAGTATGTGATTTCATGTATTACATTATCCCCACAGCCCCTCTGAACTTGGACTTGGCCAACTTGTCCAATTGTTGCTGGGTTTTCCAGCCTGTCTACATGGATCCACCCACGTATGTTTCATAGTGAGCCTGTTTGTTCAACTCTCAACCTAAAGACATGCAATGCTGTAAATGAGGTGTTTAATTTATATATATATTTCATATATACATATATAACATAAATTTGTTTTGTATATAAAATATACTTTGAAAAAAGGACAGAACATATATGCACTGATATCATTATTTTGGGTGATTTTAATTGTCTTCTTTAGGCTTTTTCTTATTTTTTCAAATGTCCTGGGATAAGTAATGACTATGATGATGCAAAAATGAATGTTATTTGTAATAGGAAAGCATGGATAGTAAAAATATTAAAAATATAACTCTTTGAGGACGGCTTCTCTAGGGATCAGACTACCTGGATTTGAATCCTGGCTCTCTTTTTTGTTAATTGGGTGACTTTTGGCAAGTTACTTAACCCCTGAAACCGTCAGTTAGCTCATCTGTAAAATGGGAATATTATGGGTGTCTGTCCCAAAGTGTCTGGTGAGTGTGAAATGAGACGGCCCGGTCCAGTGTGTACCTTAGAGCCTGGCACAGCCTGTGCCCAGACACAGGCCTGCCACCAAGGCAGTTGCACAGGACCCCATGCTCAGAAGGCCCCATGCTTGATTTAATGCTCTGCCATCATTGTCTTGAAATTTGTAACAATTTTTGCACAAAGGGCCCTGCATTTTTGTTTTACACTAGGCCCCACAAATTATATAGCTGGTTCTGAGCCCATTAAATGTTGGCTAATACTATCGATGGTCCCCATTGATTCTTCATTATTTCAAAGCTCAACACAGAGTCAAAACTTGCAGATCTTTACAAATTACTTTTCAACTTTATAAGCCACCCTCCAACGCTGTTAGAGCCCTGAATTATTTAGTACTAAAAGAATAAATGAGGGGCTGAGAGGCCCACCGGAGGTGTTCCTTGTATGGAAACACCTGCAGACTAGCACAAGAGTTCCATTTTCTGGAGGCCGGGTTTGTGGGCACTGATAGTCACTGACCCTGAGATGGCTGCTGTGGAAAAGGCCATGGTTTTCCTTCTACCTTCTGAGCCTGGTTCAAAGAGAAAATTACTTTTAAGTTTCACATAAGTATTGAAGTGTGAGGCCAGCAATAAGGGAAAATCGAAACAGTAAGCTGTTTGCAGCTGCACATCCTGCAGCAGCTTCAGAAGCATAAAACCACCAGCAATTAAACCCCGAGGAACCCTAGGGTAGAAGCCAGGAGCCTCCTGTGACCTGGCCCCCAGGAAGATTAGCGCCCTGGCTGCTCACTCTGTCCCCACCTCTGGCTCTCCAGGTTGGCTTGGGGTCAAAAAGCACTGGGAAGAAGGGGGAGGAGGAAGCAGGATGGGCGAGCTTGGCATTTTGAATTCATAGGAAAGGTGGAGGCTCCCCGCTAAGCACTGTGCTGGGGAGAGAGGGAATAGGCCAACTGTGGTTCAAGTCCTGGAAGGCTTCTGCTTTTCAATTCTTTTTTAAAATAAGATTTTTTTATTTTACAAAAATAATGCCTGTTTGTTGGGGAGAATTATAATTCACTCTGGAAGGGGATAACTGTGTTCCAGAGAGAGCTCCACCAGCCTTGCACATTCATTTCTAGAATCACTTATGGCTGAGGGCAGGGGAGGAGCATGTGTCCCCATGAGACAGCCCTGCTCTCAGGACCTCGCCAATCGTCGGAAACAGACTGCTGGGCATAGAGTGACTCTGGCTTTGTTGAGAGAAAGAGGTTTGGAGCAGAACTGCCAGAATCTGACTTATGTTTTGAAAGGACTACCGTGGCTTGCTGTGCTGAGAATAGTTTTGCAGGGCACAGCAGTGGACACAGAGAGGCCAGTCAGGTCATTGCAGAGATGGTGGCTTGGGTCAGGAGGGTGGCAGTGGTGGAGGTGGAGCCGTGCTTGGATTGTGAATGTGTTTAAAGGGCTTTCTAAGAGATCGAATGTGAACTGTCACAGAAAAGGGACAGACATAGTGACTCTAAGGTTGAGGCCTGAGCAAATGGAAGAAGGCATTGTCACCCTCCCATCATTCCTCCCAGTGTTCATCAGAGAGCCCTGAGGACAGCTGAGTGTAGGCGTGGGTGTGGCTGAGTGGGACAGTGAATAATTTGTTCATCTTTCTATCCTTAGACCCTACAGAGTGGGTTCATCAGAAAGACTTTTGAATGCATAAATACTTATAATTTGGGATAAATTAAATGACATTAAATCCAGACTAGTATCAAAGTTCAGTTTTGGTCAGGTGAATTTTGAGATATTTATTAGACATCCAAATGGAGAAGTCAAGCTGTCAGTCTGTTATATGAGTCTGGAGTTCAAGGGCTGGAGATAATAAATCTGGCCACTGGGTATTGAAAATGAGAATGAGGATAGAGAAGAGAACATGTCCTAGTGAGCCCTGGGGCATCCCAAATAGTGAGAAACCAGCAAAGAAAAGGAAAAAGAAAAGAGGAGTTGGTGAGAGACCAAGTGAAAGTGACGTTTCAAGGGGGAGGGATGATCAGGTGTGGCCTGCGGCTGATGGGCCAGCAAGACAGGCCTCCTCCCCCAGTGATGACATCCATTGGGCTGGGTGCTACTGCGGGCCCAGACAGGAGCAGCTTCCAGGGAGCAGGGAAGGGAGAGGGTGAACCCCTGATTAGGATGAGTTTAAGAGAGATGGAGGCAGAGGAAATGGGAAAAGCAAGTATGGCCGAGTTTTCTAAGGAGTTCTGCTGTGAAAGTGAGCAGAGAAATGGAGATAGAAGTTGAAGAGGGAGTGGAGATAAGACGCAGTTTTCTTTGCAGGGTGGAGTGGTAACAGCTGATGGGAAGGACTGGAAAAATGCTGAGGAATGAGGTAAATGCTGAGCAATGCTGTCCAGTAGAGGGCAAAAGGGAGGGATAAAAGGTACAAGTGGAAGCGTGGATAGATGTGATCTGGTAGTTTGTGGATGTTCCCTTGTAATGGTGACAGATTTCTTGGTGAAGGTGGAAGCTGTGTCTTCAGCTAAGAGTGAGGATGGGGAGAAGATGCTGGAGGTTTAAGAAGAGAGAACAGGGAGAGTGAGAAAGTCAATAATTTGCTCATATTTCTATTTCTAGTCCTACATAGTGGGTTCTAAAAAAGGCTTTTCAGTGCAGAAACACTTATAGATTAGGGTCAATGAAAAGACACCAAGCCTAGACGAGTATGCACACTGCTAGCAATGCTCAGCTAGTTGTGGTTGGTGTGTTTAGAGAGCTGGTTTAAGAGATCAGGTCAATGGACGGTTAGGTACACTGACTGCACTAGTCTGCCTGGCCTCAATCCAGTTATCCCCATTGGCCACCAGTGATGAGATCTTTGGAAAAGTTATTCACCTGGTTTAGTCTCAGTTTTCTCCTCTGTAAACTAACACCAATAATGGTATCTGCCCATAGAGTCACTGTGAGGATTTACTGCAAGGATTCGCGTAACGTGCTTGGCATGTGGTAAGCTGGAATCAATGACAGCCATCGTCGGCAGTCTCAGTGTTATGATATTAATAAGAAACGACTGCAGCGCATGCATGGCTGGGATGGTGATGTTGTGCTGGGTGAGCCTGGCAAGTAATGATTAGTCGTCACTGTGTTCCAGAGTCTCACCTTCAGCCCAGCAGGAGAAACAGCTAGGCTTTGTCAAGGGCCTTGACATTATTAGTCTGTTCTCAACGTTGCTATGAAGAAATACCTGAGACTGGGTAATTTATAAAGGAATGAGGTATAATTGACTGACAGTTCCACATGGCTGGGGAGGCCTCAGGAAACTTACAATCATGGTGGAAGGCACCTCTTCACAGTTCGGCAAGAGAGAGAATGAGTGACAGCAGGGGAAATGTCAGATGCTCATAAAACCAGCAGATCTCATAAGAACACACTATCATGAGAACAGCATGGGGGAAACTGACCCCATGGTTCAATTACCTCCGACCAGTTCCCTCCCATGACATGTGAGGATTATGGGGATTACAATTCAAGATGAGATTCGGGTGGGGACACAGTCAAACCATATCAGGCCTATAGAGAGTATTGATCTTGGAGGCGCAGATTCACATGAACTAAACTCACAGAAGACTGATACATAAACCACAAAGCCAACTTAGGAAACATCACTATTGGGAGAAAAATTGATTGAGGGAGCAAAGTTATGATCAGAAGGTTGGGCAAAGAGCCTTGGGAGTGCAGTTAGGTGAAGCAAATGAGTGTTATTAAGCCATGATCATCAGTCACCTATTCCTCCTGTAGGCTGCACCTCCTGGGTGCACTGAAAACTTCCTGTTGGTGGCCAAGGTGCCCCATTCCCTAACTAATGCCGGTGACACAGAGGAAGCCTTGCCCTTTGACTTTGTAAGATCCAGACTCCAGGCAACTGATTTGCTTAGGTTTGCCCACATATTATTTCTAGGCATGTTATTAGTTATGGCTTCTTGAACATCAGGCAGCCTTGATTAGACTTCTAGGTCTGGGGTGTGCTACTCCATCCTGATAGATATACTCATTCTTGATGACTCCTTCAGATGTCATTTCACACGTTAGTTAATGAATTAACCAGGTAAGCTCCCTGAGGACAGCCTTGTTTTTCTGCCTTGCCCTGTGTTGATGGACCAGAGTAGCTCTTAGGACATCCGTGCCCCATACCTCTTCACTTTGATTTGTGTGCTTACATTTGTTTGTTTAATAACCAACCTTCTCCCACAATCCCCGTCAAAAAAAAACTGAACTGTATTTTCCTGGGAAATTTGCTTCTCATTTGAAAATACACACATTTAACTTATGAAAAATCAAATCCATATGTTTCTGAGTTATTTATTCTAAACCCATCAAAACATTTTAACAGCTGCCTAATGTCCAAGAATCATTTTGTTTCTTAACAGGTTTTTAAAAAGCTTTTCGTTAAAAAATAGAAGAAAAAACAGGTGGTTATACTTTGTGAATGGGAAATAAACCACAATACCAAACTTCTGTGACTCTGGGCACATTGCATGCTGCAGCCTCACCTCTCTCCATCACTGTTTATCTAGAAGTCCACCCATCTGTCTGCCGGTTTACTCATCTGTCTGCAAGAGCACACTGTTCTTCAGGCAACTTCTTCCAGATTTGAAGAGAGAGCCATGAGTCATGTAGGAAGAATACCCCAGAGTACAAATCTTACTGTTATTCAGGAAAAAGTCTCAGAGCCCAGGGTGTGGTTGTGCCCAGATTTCTGTCCTCCTGTCAAGGGTAGAGCTGGCCTCTGCCCTCATCGGGCCCTCTTCTAGCCCTTCACCTGAACATTCTGCCAGATACGTGGGTGGGAGGTGTACAGGGTCTATATCAGCCTTGCATTTCTTGCTTCAATTCCCACCCACCTGGAACACGAAGTCCAGGTTTTGGTTTGAGCTCTGGCATTCGTCTGTGATTACGGTGCAAGGCAGAGCAGAACACCAGGATCAGAGGAGTGGACACAACACATGTTCAATGACTATCATGGCTATGATGTCATGCAAGCTATCTTCATGGCCATGGCTCCCCCCACGGTACAGGATGCAAGGTGTGCCCAATCCAACTATCCTGTCATTTGCCATGATAGTTCTCATCCACTTGAAACTGTCCCCTCCATCCATACTAAGCTCTTGTGTCAATGGCAGTCAGTGGAGCCCTCAACATCAAGAGGAGGGAATGAAAATAGGAAAAAAAAAGGTAATGAATGGGAGAGAAGAATCAGGAAAGTAAGAAAATGCATGATTGTGGCCAAAAAAAATCTGGGTAGATAGAGATAATGGTGCATCTTCCAAGACTTGGGATTGGTGTTTGAGTCTGTAAGATGCACAAAGAATTTCCCAGATCACACCACAAGGCTCACATGAGTAGTCAGGCCAAGCTACAGTTCAAAAGCAGAACCCACCGGGTGCAGAAGCTGTAGGAAGAGAATGAGCCATGATGGACGATGGCATCATCAGATCACCCTTTGATGTTAGCAAGATGACCCCCTTGAAAAGTCACTCAAAAATTTATAGACATCATCAAATATAAATGTCTGATAATAAAGGAACCAGACCATTTGGGCATACATTGTACTGTGTACAAATTTACTTTCAAATGATTTACAGTTGGTTTTAAATGCCTTCCTAAGAGCTGCTTTTGGAAACCAAAAAAAACAAAATTTTGAATTGTTCTAAGTATTTTTAATGTACTGTCTGAAATATCTCAGAATTATTCTAACAGTGCTGAAAGCAAGGCAGAGAGAGAATGTTCCATCCTGATGGACTGGCTATTTTGGATCCCAAGAGGCAATTCTGGGATGGGTTTGGGTCTTTGCCAGTTAGGTAGCTGGGCCTGTGCCAAAGAGAGAAATACTGAGCTTCAAAGAAAACAGATGCTTAAAAGGTCTGTTCCACTCCTGCGATCTCTGTTTAATGCTGGCTATTGATGGCATATTGCTTTCAGATCTTTAATTTATCTCACCAGAGATACAATGCCATGTGCCTATCTGTTTTCAGCAGGCCAGGTGGCTGGGGCCGGGGGGTGGGGGCGGGGGTGGGTGGGAAATCCTCCATGGATTGCATGCCTTCCTGGTCATTGCAACATACATGAGCATCAGAAAAGGGAAAATGTATCATCTGGCTACAGCTCCTGTCTCCCTCTTCCAGGAAATATGTTTCTATGCAAGATGCCCACTCAGAGAAGTGTGTTCTCCTTTCTCCTTCCCTTCATCCTCCCAGGGACCTGTGCCATTCTCTGCAGCAAATGCCTTGTCTTGGCCTACCCTCTGCCTGAGCTGGCCCTTTGCTTTTCACTTCCTACTATCTATAGCACCCCACCCCTTGGGTCTACCCTTGGAAGCCACTCAGTCTTTCCTTTTAGCTGCCAAGTCCTAAAGCCCAGACTTCACTACTTAGCATCTGCTAAAGGGACCACTGCCATCTGGTCAACCAATAGGCCAGTGGTAGGGGATGAGTAGGTTTTCCAGGCTGGCCTCTTAAAGGAGCCTAAATAGGATTTTGCTACCTAATTCAGATGTGTGAATGACAAAGTGGAATTAAATCATTCAAGGATAAAGACACCATGTAGCTTGAAGGGTGAGGGAGGCTACTCAGGGTTAGCTAGAACCTGTCTACTTCCTTCAAATCAGTCCATGTCATCAGCCACCTACATCGCAGGTAGAAATTGTTCCAGCTCCTGACAGGGTTTGAAATGAGCAGGTGAGCTAAACCCAAATTACACAAACATGTAAAAGCCCGAGGCAAATGTTCCTATCAGGATCCAGCTTAACCAGATCCAAGAATTATTGGAACTGACAACTTAGGAAAATGGTTGTACATTTAAAACACAAACTAACTAACTTACCTGATGAGTTTCTCCACTCAGATCTGTAAAAACACCTCTTGGATTATTTCTATGAATTATTACCCAGAAAGGAATGCTTGGCATACAGTAGGTGCTCAATAACTGTTAGCCAGTAGTGTATTAAGGTTAGAAGAGGGGTCACTCATATGAGGGCTCGGCCGTGGAGGCCATGGAAATGGGAGAGCAGCCCCTTGTCAATCAAAGGTGCCTCATGATGGGCATGGCTTCTATCCCTCCATGTCCCCAGAGTGTGTGATTCATGATTGACTCCAAGCCACCCAGGCGATCCACTCACAGCCTGCTTCGATCATCCCTAAAGAATTCACTGCCTAGAGCACAGCTCAGGGATCCACAAAGCCTGGCTCTCTATCCCAGGGCCACTGTGAATTTCTTGCCCAACAGGCAATGGGTGCTCCATCACCATTCTCTACTGCGTTTTTCCCTCTTCTAAACTGTGAGTGAAACACCAAACACACAGCTTGAGAGCCATGTTGTAAAACTGTCATCCACATAAATAGCTTCCAAGAATCTTGTGTACTGTGGATTCTGAAGAACATTTTCATTTTGTTTGATGATTGCCAGCGCCTCTGTCCTCCCCTCTCCACCCAACCCCAGCCCTGCCTGCCCGTTGTGAGAGCCCTTTGTAATTCTGCTTAGAATATTGCACAGGTCTTGAGCTGTGAGAATTTACACAGGGATTGTCCCCTAACTGGTACATTTCCAGGGTTCTGAGGTTAGTCCTCTGATTTTCCGACTAACACATCTTCCCTTTGTGTAAACATGCATGGACCGCTACTTCCTCGGGACCTTTCAAGTTCGATTTATATTTTTCCCACAAATCCCAGAGAGATGTTTCTCCTCCCTTGTCTGGAACTCAGCTTTAATCTGCATCCTTCTCTGAATAGCAGCCTCTAGATGGTAAGAGAATTCACATTTTATCTTAGTTTTCCAAATGCTTCTCTTGATAAGATGTATAATTTACTTGTTGAAGGCACACCATGTTTTATAGGATACACACACATTCAGTTTAATTCTGTGATATTTTCCTTAAAAAGGCTTTCTGGAGAATTTTTAAAAATTATATTCCAGACAGTACAAATCTCTGTAATCGCAGATCTCATACAACTTGCCCTAAACTTTGCAGTAATGATCTCGCTAGCTGTAGTCATGTATATTAATAGGAGAATGTGCTACCCTCCACCGTATTTATTGCATTGTTTGCAAAGTGCTCTGAGACCCCTGACATAGCCATCCCCACTGTCCCCATAGTGCTGGAGGCAACATGGCCAGATACATAGGATGCCCGGAGCAGCCAGAGAGCTGGCCTTCAACTTCATTCTCCCAGCTGGCTGTGAGGTCTTAGGGAAAAGATGGTCCCCATTCCTGCACCAGTGTTTCCATCCACACAAGAACTAGCGATTTCTGCTGCCCAGCCCTGGACCTTTCTGTCCCCAGCTACCTGCTATATAAAGGCCAAGTCCTAATGAAAGTGCAACCACACCTGGCTCTTCAGAGACTGTTGACATATAAACCCAAAGTGCAAGGTACCATTAATATCTCAGAGATCATGACCTTGGATGATCCTTCTGCCCCCTGGCTTTTCCCTCTCTGTTCACCAGTCTCTTCGCTGCCTGATTGTTGTGGTAATATATTTACCGTGTAACCTTCTGTTATTTTTATCATATGGTTTTTCACCATCTGCTGTGTGGTTCTACAGCTGACATCACTCTTTGCAAGGTAAGGTCTGGTCTGCTACACAATCTATTATTGTCGCTTTTATTACCGTTTGGCCCATTTCAATTGTTGTTTTTGGAAGCAGGTAGGATATAAAGTACAAATACGTAAACAAATGTTTATATAAAGATGAGGCAGAGATGGATTTCACTCTTCTTCAAAAAACTATAAAAGCATCTCTTGATATTACTCTCAAAAGGCAAGATAAAGGATCTGTATTTTGCCCTAACTTTTAAAAATAAAAATAAAACAGTTTGCTTTCATTCATATTGTCCCTGCTGCAAGCTTGGCTGCATGGGGCTTTCTGGGGGCCAGTGACCCCTCAGCTCTCCTCACTGGACAGATTTTTGTCCCTGACTCTGAGTGCGATGCTGCCTCTGATGTTGCTCCCTGTAGTACCCTAGACACCTCAGGTGTTATTAAAGGATGATTTTTAAATAGCGTAAAATCATGACTCTCAGGCAAATATAAAACTAACATATGGAAAATATTTTATTACACTTATTAATTAATAAGGAAATCATATAAATGTTACAAAAGATTCAAAGAAGAAGTCAAAGAATGGCACATTTCTATGGAGTTAAGGAATGTCAAGATGGCTTTTTCTATGAGAAGGGATATTATTTGAGCATCCACCTAACAGAATTTATTTGCCAGTCTATACACAATAATCATGTTTGCGTTGCCAATTATAACTGCACTGCCATCAGTTCTCTACAATTTAGAGATTGTAAAAATAGCTGAATGGCAATGAATAGCTAGAATCAGAAAACCTAGAAGGATATGTTCTAAGTAATGCGTAGTTTTGTATTGAAGACATCCAGTAATCTTCATTGCTTATTCATCATTCCCATCCTCCTTTCTCTTTCCAACAGCCGTTGGCCATCTCTAGTTCATCCTGTGGCCCCCAGATCTCAAGAGACATGGTCCTCTTGACCATGGCCTGGTGGCAGGTGAATCTGGCTGAAGTGCTGTTTCGTGGGAATTGCCAATGGACCCTTTTGACATTCTCTGTACTTAGTTTCTGATCCCACACTTTTCTTGCTCATTCTCCCCAGTTGCCAGTAGGCAGGGACCAATGTCCAGCTGGTCATTCCATTTGAATGCAACCCTGGCCTCACTGTCCAGCTCCGGCCAGGTCTGTTCCTTTAGCAAAAGCTGCACAAAAGTATGTGAAAGGTCGGGCTCCTGGTTCAGTGAAGAACCAGCAGCCTGTGCCCACCCAAGGACCAATTTCCTCCTTCCATCCATCTATAGAAACCCAAAGGTATTCTCCCAACTCATCAGATCCACTTGTTAATTGTGATGTCTCTCCTGGTATACCAGTCAGGGTTCAATAGAGAAGCAGAATGAGGAAGTGATATACAGTAAGAGGCTTATTACAAGACATTGTGTTATGTAATTGTGAGGGCTGACTAAGCAAGTCTTAAAGCCTGAAGGGCAGGCCACCAAGAACAGCAGGCAGGAGCTCTCAGGCAGGAACTGAATCCACCATCCACAGACAGAATGTCTTCTTTTCTCAGGGAAGCTTCAAGCCAGCGTTTAAAGAACTTTGCCTAATTGAGTCAGGCCCACTCAGATTATCTGCGATAACCTCCCCTTAATTTAAAGTCAACCAATTATGATCACATCCACAAAATATCTTCACAGCAACACCTAAGTTAGTAGTCTAAGAAGTTTCCTGATATGATTTTTTTTAATTTGTTGAAATTTGGTTTGTGGTCTAACACACGATCTACACTGCTGAGAGTTTCATGTGCTGATGAGCACATAAATGTGTGTTCTGCAACGGTTGAGTGAGATGTTCTGTAAATGTCTGTTAGGACCATTTGGTCTTGAGTGCAGTTTAAATCCAACACTTCTTTGTTGATCTTCTATCTAGATGATCTGTCCAAGACTGAGAGTGGGGTGTTGAAGTCCCCAGTCACCAAATTATAAACCACCCCATAAAAACCAGACAGTGGGAAAGTGCCTGAGTTATCATTTATGAAAGCATCAGCAAGAGCACGTAGTGCCTCAGCCCTTAACAGGGGTATGACATGGACAAGTTCTTTCTAAGCTGGCTCCTCCATTCATAAAATGATTAATTAGATAAGCTATAAGGAGCTCAAAAAATTGCTTGTTCTACCACTGGCTTCTCAAAGAGGAGCTGGATCCGTATTGTACAGAATGAGACAGTTCAAGCTCAGAAGAGTCAGGCCCCTGCCTCCCCCTCCAGCCAGTGTCTTTCCTTTCCTCTCCTGCCCATGCAGACAGCTGAGAACTGGGGGTGGACATGATGGGACACGACTGGCAAAAAAACAGTATATACGGTTATCTGAAAATATTTGCATAAGGCCTCCTCCACTTTTTTTCTGTATAATGGTAACTTCTGTTTTTCGTATCAAGTGAAGTAGAGTATTTCTTGGTGATTTCAGCATCACGTTAAAAATACAGCTCTTTCCACCAGACACACACTTTACATTATTCCCAGCATATCTGAATCACCTATCAATAGGGCCTCCAGCTTTTCTAACACTCCTACACGGAGTTTCTGTACACAAATTATGTTTGGGGTCAGGATTAGGGCTCAATCCTGGAGGTACTTGGGATCTAGCTCTAAATAGTGAAGATAAGGAAACCAGCTTCTCTTGAAGCCTCATGGGCATAGAGAACATCTTTTTCTGGGCCAGGCACAGTGACTCATGCCTGTAATCCCAGCACTTTGGGAGTCCAAGGCAAGAGGATCACTTGAGCCCCAAATTTCAAGACCAGCCTGGGCAATACAACAAGACCCAGTCTCAAAAAAAAAAAAAAAAAGAGAGAGAGACAGATGGGGAGAATGGGGACTGATGTACCCACAGAAGTGCTAGAGACCCCTAAAGCATGCCTTGGTGTTTTCACTTCAGTAAAAGTAAAACAAAGTGTCCTCTACTCATTTTTAGAGGAGACTTTGGAAAGGCATAAGTTTGCTAGGAGCAAGTGCCTTTGAAGAGACAGCTCCTGTAACAGTCCAATAAGACAATGCAAACACGTGGCCCTACCAGAAGGGCCTGAGTCCCTCCACCTCTGAAACCCCTGCACATCTTCAAAGCTTTGTATTTGAAGCTACCTAATCATGCACAGAGCTTACAAGTCTGGGTAACTTGTTGTCTAGTTCTCTCTAGGTTTCATCTCTCACCTGACTTGTTTTTGCGGTGTATTAAACAATGGCATACAGATATTTAATCTGAATGCCAATGTTTTAAAAAAGAAACACTATTAAAGAACTGGATATTCCTGGCCGGCCATGGTGGCTCACACCTGTAATCCTAGCTCTTTGGGAGGCTGAGGCAGGTGGCTCACCTGAGGTCAGGAATTCAAGACCACCCTGGCCAACACGTGAAACCTCCTCTCTCCTAAAAATACAAAAATTAACCAGGCATGGTGGTGCACACTTGTTGTCCCAGCTACTTGGGAGGCTGAGGTGGGAGGATCACTTGAATGTAGGAGGCAGAGATTGCAGTCAGCCAAGATCACACCATTGCACTCTAGACTGGGTGACAGGGTGAGAATCTACCTAAAACAAAAAAAAAAAATAGAGAATTGGAGAATTGCATATTCCTTTCCTGTGTCTCTGTCAAGCGTCAGCTGTTGGATGACGTAGACTGAAACCGGCCTCAAGCCCCACAACCCGGCTTGTGATGCCGGATGACTCATTGGCCTGAAAAGCTGATATTTTCATATGGTCTTTCCTGAGGTCCCATCATTTCAAGCAGTTTAAACTCAACCTCCAAACTGCCAATATAGCAGAAGCTCACCTTCTCTCTCTTCACCAAAAAAAAAAAAAAACAAAAAAAAAAAAACCTTTATATTTTAAAATTGCTTAAAGAGACAATGTAAGCCAATAAGACTTTTAGGAGCCATGGAGCATTTTTTTTCTTACAAGAGTTACAGCAGTGCACATAAGTAGCAGCTAAATATTATTTTAGAAGTGGGGCGTTGATGTTATAAACCTATTAGCTCTTAATTCCAGCTAATTATGCATTTTGTCACATGTAGCAAAGTGCCTGTGGAAACCTATTTTAATAATATTTTAATAACCTTATTTCCTGATGCACAAAAACGATTGTAGATATCAACCACACCCTGTGCATAAAGCAAAATACATCCAAATCGTTAAAAATATAAATGTCTGGCACCAGAGGTACTTCCTGAAGAATAAACTCTCAAAAATTCAGTCATAAATGGACACAGCCCTTTCAAGTCTCTCTGTACCCACTCTAAATCAGATTTGCAATAAATCAAAGTTGGTACCTGTGCGATACCCATCAATATTAAGAAGCTGAGGGTATAGCATATGGGCAAAGAGTCAAATTCGCTTCCAGCCATTGGGGCTACTGTGTTGGTTACTGTGGAGGCACAGTAAGTAGTCAGGCGTAACAATCTCTGAATTTCAAAAACTAAGAACCTAAAATTTTATTACTCCATGTTTTACTCATTTAAGCAGACATACTAATAAATCAGGAATTACTGTGCCTAAAATATTAATGAATCAAATAACACAAAATAAGCAAAATGTTAAAGAAAAGACTATAAAACATGTTTTTCCTCTTTCCTCAGTTTTACTACATTGATCTTCACCAGTAATTCTCTGCTGTGAATGTCGAGTGTCTATGCTCTCCATGATTGTCTATGCTCTTCATGAGCACGGCTCTGCTGTTGGCTCTCTCCATTCACCTTGTCCGAATCTTCCTAGCCTTTTTAAGAGTCTCTGTCCTACCTTTTGAAAACCAGTAGCTGTGGCTACTCTCCTGTAGGTCTGACTGCTTCATCTTGGAGCCAGTCCTGCTTTTTCCTCCTGGCAACAAATGATGTCACACATCAGTCAAGATGTCTGCCCTGTCTCTCCCCTGGCTGTTGAGGGGACCGACTTAGCAGCTCAAAATTCTAAGGCATTGTACTCTTTTACAAAACTGCCAGAATGTGTTCAACTAAGTCAGCCTACCGCTAGCACAAATAGAAGAGGAAGAACCCCCAGTTTCTTCATATTTCTCTGACTATCTACACAGGGTAAACACAGTCTCTGCAGCTGCTGTTGCAAAATACAAATTTACCAGGTGGCTGCCCAGATAGAAGCAAGATCACCCAAGTTGACAGATGCTGTGTCTAGGCTTTTTCGTGATATATTAGCTTGAACTCAGATCATAATTTCCCCTGCAGTTTGAGCTACTTAACAAAGCCTTCGCCTTTTAGAATTAAAGCACAGCTAGATACTTGGTCCTCACAGACTTGAATGCCACAATGTGTATACATGCATGCATGCCTGTGTGTATAAAGGTGACATTTACAAAACAGAAAAGTTAAAATAGAAGACTTCTCTGCTTGCCAAAAAAAGCACATTGGATATTTACTATAAATAGTGACCCCCTCCAGCCCTGCCTATTTAAGGTAGACTTGGACTTAAAATTCACACACAATGTTTGGGGGATTCAACTGTTGTATAGAGTGAGGTTCACCTGATTGTAAGCAAAATACAGCCCTTTTCCACAGCTCTCATGGAAGAATTCCAACCACTGGCGATTCTGACACCTTATGTAAGATTGGAAACTGGTTCCAAGAAGGGCTGTCTTCTAAGCCTTACTTGGGGCTTGAGGAGCAGGCCAAGGAACGAGATAGACATGGGCTTGTTTGATTAGAGTGGAGGTGTGTTCTGCAGCGGGGCTTGAGCCACCCACTTGACTGAGTGCTGACCTACAGCCCCACTACTGGAAGCTCAGGGTACCCACACCCTCCTCTCCTTTCCAGTCACCAGCTTGCCCAGGGGCCCAGCATCAACACCTCAGTGAGGCTGATGGTCCCCTACTTGCCACTGGGCTATGAAGGAGTCATTTAAATTTTAGTGAACACAATCCAAGGCCCGGAGTGTTCCCCAGTTTGGTGCTTCTCAAGGACATTCCTCAAGTACCTTCTCAGCTTGGCACCCAGTAGTCACTCCATGTTTTATGGCTGTGGGGCAGAGGGACCAGCTCTGTGGGAAATGCTCTCAGGCTTCCAAGGGGTCATTACTGAGACACTGAAGTGTGCTGAAAAATGCATGTCTGCCTGCTGAGATACAGGGCTAACCATGTCGCAACCCTACTTCTCCAGATGTTAGGGGCTAAATTGCATGCCCTCAAAATTTGTATGTTGAAGTCCTAACCCCCAGTACCTCAGAATGGGACTGTATTTGGAGATAGAGCCTTTAAAGAAGTGATAGAGGTAAAATGAGGTCACTAGGGTGGGCTTTAATCCAAGCTGACTGGTGGTCTTATAAGAAGAGAAGATGAGGACACAGGCACACACAGAGGGACAACCCTATAAGGACACAGGGAGAAGACGCCATCCCCAAGCCAAGGACAGAGGCCTCCAAGGAACCAGCCCCACTGAAACCTTGGTCTTGGACTTCCAGCCTCCAGAACTTTGAGAAAATAAATGCCTGTTGTTTAAGCCCTCCAGTTTGTGGTACTTTGTTACAGTAGGCTGAGTTGACTAATACACCAGAGTTGACAGTCTAGGGTAGGGAGTCGGGCAATAATGAGTAAATAAAGAAACAAAGATTGATGTAGTCCTCACCTCCTGCCTGTCAGCCTTCTAAGTGGTTTTCATATCATTAATCTCTCCTTTTATTCTCACTGTAGTTTCATAAACTATGTATAACATTATCCCTATTGTACAGATGAGGAAAATGAGGCACAAGGAGGTTAAGGACTTTCCCAATGTCATGCAGCTCAAGTAGTGGAGCTGAGATTTAAACTCTGAGAGTCTAACCCCAGATTATACTGTCTACCCACATACACAATGAAGACGAAAGCTACAATAAATTAAGCAGGGAAAACATTGGGAAGTGATGAGGGAGTGAAGATGGGAACTATGCTAGATATGGTGTCAGGGAAGGCCTTGGAAGAGGTGACATTGTAACCATGACCTGGATGATATGACATAGAGAGCCACTCCAGGGGGGTAGTGGGAGAGCTTTTCTGGCAAGTACAATGGCCCCGGGGAAGGACTGGGCAAGAAAGTCAAAGACTGCAGTGTGAGTGATGGGGAGAAGGCTGGGAAATGAGGGTGGAGGGAGCCTAGGGACAGATCCTGCAGGAACTCCATGCCACCTGAAGCTTAGATCTTATCACAAGTGTGCTGGAAAGGGTTTTAAGCCAGGGAAATAAGTCAGCTTATTTCTACTTCGAAGCCAGTGATGGCTCTGGCTGCCATATAGGGAACAGACCACAGGAGGCCCAAGAGGAAAAGCAGGGAGACCTGCCTGGCGTAGACCAGGCGAGAAAGGAGGGTGGCCTGAGCTAAGCTAGTAGCTGTGAGGATGGTGGGAGGCCATAAGATGTGGGATCGGCTTAGAACACAGAGCCCCATGGTCTTTCCCATGAAGGAGCTCAAACTCAAGTTGGAGAAAAATTATCACCGATAAGGTAATTGGAGAACAATTAAGGGCTAAATTATGAGCTATTACCTGGGTGTAAAATAGGATTCAGGAGAAAAAGGAATCAGTGTAGGACCGAGCAGCAGGTGGGTTTGGGATTACTCCTGCCTGGGGAAGAACAGGAGCAAAGATGGAAATAGCCATTGCACCGGGTGACCTGTCCACCTGCAGCATGTGTCTTGGGGCCATGTTACTCTGGGCATCCAGGGCACGGGGTGTCTTGTGGAGTGCCCACAAGGAGTCATGATGCAAGGGACCAGCAGGGTAAAGGTGGGAAAGAGGGAGAACTGAAAGGCAAAGAGGTCAGAATCCAGGAGATACGCTAAGAAGCCATTCTATTAATTCAGAGGAGTTGAAATGCAGGCATTCTAGCATGAAGACAAAAGTATCAGTGGTAGCTTAGAAGACCCAAAGCCCCAGTACTTTATAACTTCATAATTGGGCTTTTGTTTTTATTTTTATGTTTTTTTAGTTGACTGTAACCTTCTTCTGAAATCAAGAAATTTCAGACACAAGTAAATCAATGAAATTCTTTGCTGGTCTGCCAAAACCCACATGAAACAGAGATAGCAATCATCACTTTATCCCTACCACTGAGATACAGTACAACTACCATTAGCTTGTCAGAAGCCCTGGAATGAAAAACTGGGGCTGCTCAACACCCAGTGCTGGCTAGAATCATCTGTAGAGCTTTTTAAGTATTTTATATATATATATATATATATATATATATATATATATATATATAAAGTAATATAAGCCCATAGTTAAAATTGTGGACAATGAAAAACCCTTCCTAGACTCCAGTTCAGTTTCCTATCCCAGAGACAACCACTGTTATGAGTTTCTTGTGTATCCTTCCAGAGATATCCTATTCATATGCTCACACATATGTGTGCTTTTGTGTCCTTAGTTATACATCTTATAAAATTTTAAAAAATATATATGTATGCTTTCTTAAACATAAGTGGAACACTACCATATATTCTCTTTTATAAATAGCTTTTTTACTTAACAATGTATCTTGGGAATTTTTCCATAGTAATTACCTATTGCTATATTTTGGTCTTTTATTTATTGAAGTTGTTTTCCATGAAGCCTCTAGATCTTAAAAATATGTTTATTGTTCTTTATCATATTTTATTTTGTGTTCTTTGTTTGCTTTGCTTTGTTGCAATTTGCAATTTTGTAAATTCGGTAGAATGAGAGTTTCATTTTGTTCTTCTATAATATATACTGTACTTACATCTTTGTTCTTTAGACAGAAACTTTTGTCTCCCTACCATAAAGTATGTTTAAATTGAGATTCTTTGATTTTCTATTTTCATGTAGTTTCTTTCCTCCTTCACCTTCCCTGCCTGGTTTTAATTGGTTACGCTGTTATTCCTAGTTCATCTAGTGCTGACCTTTATTCCCTTAAGTTATATTTCTATAGCTCCCTTTATGATATCTTCAAAAAAAACCCATGGAGAATTTCATTCCTGAGTGCTTGCATCTTTAAGATATCTCTCAGGCATTTCTTTGCTTGAACACCAGTGTGGCTGAGTATAAAACTGTAGTATCTCACTTTATTTTCCCAAAGACTTTAGATCTTATCCCATTGTCTTGTTGAATGTTTCTAGAGAGAAGGCTAAAGATAGTCTGTTTTTCCCCTTTTCTATGTGCCCTTTATGCTTTGATGCCTGTAAAATTATTTCTTTTTTCTCTGAAGTGCAGTAACTATATTAGGATATATATCAGTGCCCATGAATCCCCTTTTCCCCTCCAGGACCTAGCATGCTCTATCAATATTAAGAATTGAGCTTAATCTGAACTTTCTTTTTTTTTTTTTTTTTTTTTTTTTGAGACGGAGTCTTGCTCTGTCGCCCAGGCTGGAGTGCAGTGGCCAGATCTCGGCTCACTGCAAGCTCCGCCTCCCGGGTTCACGCCATTCTCCTGCCTCAGCCTCCCGAGTAGCTGGGACTACAGGCGCCCGCCACTACGCCTGGCTAATTTTTTTTGTATTTTTAGTAGAGATGGGGTTTCACCGTGTTATCCAGGATGGTCTCGATCTCCTGACTTCATGATCCACCCTCTTCGGCCTCCCAAAGTGCTGAGATTACAGGCGTGAGCCACCGTACCTGGCCAATCTGAATTTTCTTAATGATGTATCTAAATATTTTTCTGCTAATTCTGTTTTCTTCTCCTAGGATACAAACTCTATATATGTTGAATCATCTTTTTCTGTCTTCCATGTCTGTCATTTTCAGTTTGATATTTATTTTCTTTTTATTTTGCTCTATCTTCTCAAATTACACTCTGTGTCCTTGATTATATTTTCATCAGTGTCTTTCTCTTTTTTCTAAATAAATATGGCCTCTATTTCAATATTCACTTACTATATTCACTGTACTATTTCTATATTTGCTTTACCATTTACTAGTCACCTTACTTTTCTAGGTCATTGTTCAGCTTCCAGCTTGTCTTTTTTTTCCTGTAATATTTTGGATAGATCCACTGCTGGCTCCTCATGAAACAGGGGATTTCTTTCTGGGTCAGTAATTTGTGAAAGGAAGTGTTGAGAAGGGCCCAGGAAGCATAGCACAGAGCAAGAAGTCTCTTGGGCTAGAGTAAAGTTCTGTCTAATTCCGGGCTTTGTCAGAGGTTTAGTCCTTACATCACACAGCTAACAAAGGTTGGCAGCCACAGAGCTGCTCACTGTCCACAGTTTCTTTTCCACTCAGCCACACAAAAAGATTCCCTTTGCAAAATGGCAGATCTGAGCATTTTCTTCTGTCTCTCTGCTTCCTCCAGTCCCTTTGTGGTATCACACACTGTCCAGGAAGGCTCTCATAGCCAGTACCACATCTTCATCTTGTTGCTCTAAACATTGGTAATGCTTTGACTATGCCCCCAGGATGAAGAAGGCTGTGGGCAGCCAGCTCTGCCATAGATTTCTGGGGCTAGGCATCGTTTCTCACTCACCACCTTTATCCTGGCCCAATTTCTGCTGCATGTAACAATAGCCCTCCCTCTACATACATGTTCTGAGGTTGTAGGCATTTCATAGTTGCATCAAAAGTGAAGATTTCCTTCAGTTTCTTGGTATCTTTACTGTTTTCCAAAGGAGACAAAAGTCTCTGTCTTACCATCTTAAAATTAGATCTATCCATAGGAATGGTTTAAAGAAATGCATATTATTTACTTTTATCCGCAGAGATTTTGATTCAGTGGGTCTTCATTGGAGTATCGGCACCTCAAGGCTCAGAAGAGCCACAAGCAATGCATTTAAAATATTAGGGATACCATTCGATACTCCTACCAGAGCATGGCCTGGTGAACCATGCAAGAGCATCACACACTGGAATGAAACCAAGTAACTGGTACATCCAGCCAGGTCAATACCCAAACCATACAACTTCCCCAGGTCAGAGGCCATTGTTCTGACCTGGGGCTTAGGGGAAGCAGTTTACACTCACCATACTGATTTTTTATCTTTTTTTAATTTTGAAAAATGGAAAATCTGTAGAAAAGCCACAAGAATAATATAATACACATGATATACCCATTACCTGGATCCCCCCGTTTGTAAACATTTGTCACATTTGCCTCCTTTATTTGTGTTCTCTCTCTCTCTCTCTCCATTTAAGAGTTATAGTCATCAGGATATGTTGCCCTAAGTATTTGAGTGTATATCTCCTGAGAGCAAGGGCATTTTCCACACTGACTTGAAGTTCACCTAGTCCACAGTCTTGACTTGCTCATCAAGGCAGGAACCTAGGCACCTTCTCATAGAGAACCAGGAACAGAGAGGCTGGCTCTGACTAAGGCCGGAAGCACAAAATCACAGAGTTGAGAAATGAACAGCAAGGAGTAGGGAGAGGACAAGGAAGATGATAGCAGGATTTCCTGGTGGAAGAGCTAAGAAGGAAATGAAAATGTTTAAGCTGGTTGCTGCCTTAGGCACAGTAATTCTTCTCCCATCTCACTAGGGAATGTGGCCCAGCAAATGCCACAACATTGTATGGCATTGGCTCTGTGGTATTCAGAGAGAAGAATTACGAGATTTTAAAATGCAGGGAATCTGAAGAGCTTCCGGAAATGATGTTTGGACCTCTTCCCTCCCCTTCCCCACCCTCCTGTCTCTGGCCATGGCTTTCTGAGTGATGGAAAATGCAAGCACCATCTGCCCTAGCACCCAGTCCCAGGGAGGATAAAGCCTTGGGAAAGAATTCTTGCCTTGAGCGCCCTGAATCCTGCTTCCACCCCCTCTCCCCTGCCTTCTGCTGTGCTCTGGGACAGGGAGGCTGAACAGCTGCTGCCTGTCAGGGACAGAGGCCCCTGGCCGTGCTTGGCCAATAGCCCACCTTATAGCTAAAAGTGGAGAGAGTCATTTTTTCTTCCTCACAGATAGATATTTTAAAAAATTAGGAACCACAGAATTGTCAATGAGAATCTCATGATTGTGAATATGTGGTTTTGGAAAAATATTCATCACGGTTGAGCAGAACTGAGTTTCTTGGCTCGGCAGTGCTAAAAGGATGATATAAACAAAGGACATGATTCTGCAATGACTGGTCCCCGGGGGAGAGAGGGGCCCCCAGCAGATGCAGTCATTCTTGACTTCTGCCTTCTGAATTGGAAGTTTACTGTTGGATTTTTGATTTCATAAGGAAAGCTATTTTTTCTGCTCTGCTTAATTCTTTTTGTCACAAAACTGTTTAAACTGCACAAAAGATGCAAATCCATCTTCCATGACACAGACTCAGAATCTAACTATCTTCCTCTTTCCTCTAGTATTCTATAGAAAGGTTCCAAGAACAGTCACAATAGAGCGATGTGAGGGTTATGCTAATTCTCCAAGATCAGAGAGAGTGTTCCAATAAAGAAGCTAAAGAGAATGGAGAGTCCATTCCTCCCTTTTCTTTAAAACTCTGAGCCATGAAAACCACATCGTACTCCAAAAACTTCTGAAGAACTGCAACCTCACTGCAGCATTCAGAATAATGACATGCTAGACTGGTAGGAAGCAAACATGGGGGTGGCACAAGTAAAAAAGAGAAAAAGAAGAAAAGAAACCAAAAAAATTTTATTTTTTAAAAGTTCGATTCCATTGTGATCAGAGAGCATACTCGGTATGATTTCAATTCTTTTGTTGAGGTCTGTCTTGGTATATATGCTGTGGGCATTTGGAAAGAACGTGTATTCTGCTGTTGTTGTGTGGCAAATTCTATAAACATTGATTTGATCCTGTTGGTTGATGATGTTGATTTTCTCTGTATCCTTACCGATTTTCTCTGTAGTTGTCCTAACAATTGTTAAGAGAAGGGTGTTGGCATCTTCAACTATATTCGTGGATTTATTTCCCCTTTCAGTTCTATCAGTTTTTGCTCCACATATTTTGCACCTCTGTTGTTTGTTGCATACACATTTAGGATTGCTATGTATTCTTGGTTGATTAAACCTTTATTGTATTGGTACTTAATGGTTGTTCATATTTATGAATATCTCATGTGATATTTTGATAGATACATACAATGTGGAATGATCAAGTCAGGGTATTTGGGATATCCATCACCTCAAACATATATTATTCATTTGTGTTGGGAACATTTCAAGTTTTCTTCTAGCTATTTTGAAATATACAACACAGCATCATTAACTATAGTCATTCTACTGTGCTATCAAACAATGGAGCTTATTCTTTCTATCTAAATGTATTTTTGTATACACTAACCAACCTTTGCTCATCTGCCTCCTGATCCTTCCAGGCTTCTGGTTACCGTTCTACTCATTACTCCATTAGATCAATTTTTTAGCTCTCAAGTATGAGTGAGGACATATATTTTTCTTTCTGCGCCTGGCTTACTTCACTTAACGTAATATTCTCCATTATTTAATCTTTATTATTATGTAATTTTTCTCTCCATCTCTCATATTTTCTTTGCTCTGCAGTCTACTTTGTGTAATAATATTGCCATACTTTTTTTAAATTAATGCTTGTGTGGTACATCTTTTTCCATCTTTTTACTTTCAATCTACCCATACCATTATATTTGAAGTGAGTTTTTTTTAATGATATGTAGTTGGAGTTGCTTTTTATACACTCTGCTAATCTCTGTTTTTTAATTGGTGTATTTGGACCATTTATGTTTAATATAATTATTAGCATGTTAAGGCTTAGGTTGGCCATTTAATTTTTTGTTTTCTATTTGTTTTTTGTTTTGTGATTCTCTGGGGTTTTTTTCTGAAATTCTGTGGGTTATTTCAACATTTTCTAAAATTCAACTTTGATTTATCTATAGTGTTTTTGAATATATCTCTTTGTTTAGCTTTTTCAGTGGCTGTTCTAGGAATTACATTCTGTGTTTATGTATATATACACAATGTAATTTATATATATATATATACATATATATATGTATCTCTTAACTACTGCTGTTAATATTGACCAATTCAAGGGAAACATAGAAATCTTAGCTCCCTTTACATTCGTTTCCCTTCCCCTATTTAAAATATAGTTGTCTTAAATATTTCCTCTACATATATTAAGAATCACAGTAGACCATGCTATAATGTGTGCTTCAGCCATCAAGCATAATTTAGAAAACTCAAGAAAAGTCTACTGTGTTTGCCTATATATTTTCTCTTTCCATGTTCTTTCTACCTCTAAGATGTGTCAAGATTGCTTCTTTTATTATTTCCTTTTTGTTGAGAGAACTTCCTTTCTTTCAGGGTAGGTCTGCTGGTGACAAATTCTCTTTGTTTTCTTTCATCTGAAAATGCCTGAGTGCCTTGATTTTCATTTAATTCATGAAAGACATTTTTGCTGCTATAAAATTCTGAGCTGAAAATGTTTTTTTTCCCAGTGGTTGAAAAATGTTATGCTATTTTGTTCTGACCTCCACAGTTTCTAAGTAGAAAACCTCTGTCACTTGAATTACCTTTCCCTATTGATAATGCACTACTTCTCCCTGGCTGCTTTCATGATTTTTTTCTTTTTCTTTAGTTTTCAGAAGTTTATCATGTGTCTCTGAGTGAATTACCTTGGGTTTTTCTTGCATGGGTTTCATTTGGCTCCTTGGATCTGTAGTTGTTTTTTTTTTTTTTTAATTTGAAAAAATTGCAGCCATTATTCCCTTGAATACTTTCTTCAGCCTCATCTTCTTTTTCTTCTCCTCCTGATATTCTGTGTCATAAATGTTTGATCTTTTGTTACAACCCCACATGTTCCCAAGGCTCTGTTCATTTTTTTAAGTCTATTTTCTCTCTAGTGTCCAGATTATATAATTTCTATTGTTCTATCAACAAGTTCACTGTTTCTTTGCTCTGTCTTACCCACCCTGCTGTTCAGCCCATCGATTGAGTTTTTTATTTCAGTTATTAAAATTTTTAGTTCTGAATTTTTTTCCAGTTCTTCTCCATAAGTGCTGATTTTTTGCTGAGGCTTACTATTTGTTTGTTAGCACTTTTCTTCATTTGTTTCAGGCTGCATTAGGTTCCTTATATAATTATAAAATCTGGGTCATATCAGTGTTGATATTTGTCTTTAGTCATTCAGTTTTAGCTCTTTCTGTTGGTATGACAGGTAATTTTTTACTGAAACCTAAGCATTTTTGGTGTTACTATAAGATTCTGGATCTTATTGAAATCTTGTATTATAGCAGGACTCCTCTGACATCACTCTGGTGAGTTAAGGAGGGAACCACCTCATTGCTCACTAGTAAGGTGTCATCCTTTTTACTGCTGGATGGTAATGAAGGCTCAGGATCCCTACTGGGTCTCCAGCAACACCATCCTGGCTGGGATAGGAGGGGGCACCTCATTACTACTTCTCACGTGGTGGTCTCCACCAACACTTTGCAAGAGTGACCTTGTTACAGCTGGATGGCAGTGAATATCCTGACTCTATACTGGCCCTCCTCTAATACCTCCCCTGTGGCTCTGGGGAGACATACCTCATTATTACCAGAACCGTGTGGAGGACCAGGCTCCCCATATGGTCTCCAGGGAGTCTCACTGTCCTTTAGCAAGAAGGAAAATTCAGAATCTCCACTCTGTCTTCCCTGACACCATCCTGACAACAGGTTTGGGTGCAGCATTACACCTGATAAGAGTGGGAGCCAAAGCTCCCCACCCAGCCTTTGCTTTCCAGGTGGAATTGCTGTTTTTTCTATAATGTTTGGCTACAGAGGTTATTGTTCAAAGGTTTTCTGTCTTCTTAGACTACCTCTCTCCTAGGTCTTTGGCTAAAGAATTCAAGCTTGGGGCATTTTTGTCTGCATCTATTGACATTTCCAATTTGCTAACATCTCCAGTATCCAGTCAGGGATAAACAATATAGAAAAAAAAAAAAAGAACTCAGAGAGCTCACTCCCATGTTATTCCTCAGATATCAAGGTCCCTAGCTGGTATGGCTTCCTCTATTCACCTTTCAGAGTCAACTTAAGTTTGTCATATATATTGTCCAGGATTTTTTTGTTGTGCTTAGTGAGAGGAATAGGAAAAAAAAAATCAATCTGCATCATCTTTGCCAAAGCTGAAATGAAGAAATTAACTGTAAATAGAGAAAAAAAAAGAAGAGATAAAAGAACAACAGAGATTAGGACGGTGTTCCTCATTTTCCTTCTCAGAGATCTCTGTTGCTGAGAATCAATTATTAGATACCTAACAAAGGGGTCACCTTCTGTCCCTTCCCTCCTCTATCCAAACAGAAGTTCAAGCTGAAAACACACGACAAGAAGCACAAGAAAATAATACAGTTTCCATCTGTAAATTTTCCTCAGTCTCCAGCCCCAGTAAATGTCACATTTGGTTATAAAATTGAATTTCTCAAAGGAACATTTTAAAAATATTCCCCTGACTTAGTTTCTTTTATAACTATTGACACAGATGAGAGATTGAAGAAGCACATCTTTCTGCACCCTACACTTTTTTGCATGCGTAGGGAACAAGCTGGCTTCCAGGGGTTATTCCAATAACTGGGACTCTCTGCTGTCCTATTGACAATGCTGTGGCAGAGTTCAGCAGGGATAGTATCCTGTTTTGAGAACAGGCAACCACACCACTTCCCTGGATACTGATAGTGACCAGAGTGGCCTGGCTTGGGAAGGAGCTGTTATCATGCCCCACTGGGTTCCCTGTCTGATTAAGGGGCTCCACATGGGTTATACAGTATTAGGCAGTTTAGGCTTAAATCTCCTGTCACAAAACTTGATCACGGCCCTCCCAAAGGCTGTGTGTTTTCACAGATGCACACAGGCTGAGCCATGAATGAATGAATGAATCAATCAATCAATTACTCTTCACTGCAACCCAGCCAGTTCTCAAGGTGAAGCATGACAAATAGTCCCACAGCAGCATGCATAACCCTAAGCTTCCCTAGGATTCATTCCTCTAAATTGAAGTTATAGGCATAAGTTAAAAGGCAGGAGAGAATTGAGCACCATGGTAACCAGAGTCCCCCACAGCACCTTTGCATGGGGCTCCGTAATACAACATTGCATCATTAGACAAACGTAAGCCATTCTAGTGACCATACCAAACTCACCACTGGGCTTGAGTGACTCCTTAAAACAGGGTCAAGCTGCTGGGCCGGGTGATTATTTTCTAAATCAGCAGCCTCCAACCTTTTTGGCATGAGGGACCAGTTTCATGGAAGACAATTTTTCCACGGACCAGGGGCAGGAGGAGGGGGTGGGGATGGTTTCAGAGTGAAACTGTTCCACCTCACATCATCAGGCAATAGATTCTCATGAGGCGTGCACCACCTAGATCCCTCACATGGGCAGTTCAAATAGGGTTCGCACTCCTGTGAGAATCTAATGTCACTGCTGATCTGACAGGAGGTGCAGCTCAGGTGGAAATGCTCACCTACTGCTCACCTCATGCTGTGTGGCCCAGTCCCTAACAGGCCGCGGACCAGTATTGGTCCACGGCCTGGGGTTTGGGGACCCCTGTTCTAAGTATCCCTTATATGTCAGAGTAACTAACCAGCCTTACCTTGGGGCCTGCCATCCTGCCCCTATCATCAGTCCCACCTGACCCCTGGCACCCCGCAACCTACCTCTGATCAAATAAAAGAAAGAACGTCATACAAAGAAAAACAAAAGGAATCAGGGATTTCTTTCCCTGGAACTATCACTACATCCCTGAAACCATTTTAGAAGAGCTCTTACAGGTCATTGTATTGCACTACTTTCTGGGGCAGAAATTCTTCTGGAAAATTCTGAACAAATGACTGGTCAGCATCTCATGTCAGGAAACTCACAGCTGTTCAGGGACATTCCATTCATTCTATGCATTCTTTGGTTGTGATTTGGTATTTCGTTTTACCCTTTTTGGAAACAGAGGAATTCATCCTTTATAGTGTTTCAGTTGCTCCTGGAGTTGTCAAGACTATTTCCTCTGACTTGCTCTGTTACTTTGTAAGTCATGGCTCCAAGAATGACAAGTCCTACATCCACAGTATGTACAGTTGCTAAGGTGCAGAGGGGATGGGCACTCAGAATGGGTTAGCCAGGGAGAATGTCAAACGGAAGTGAAACCTGAATTGAGGGATGAAGCAATGCAATGTGTTCAGAGACCAAAGGGGCTTGTCGGGCAGGAGCATAGTGTAGAAGTGATGAGCAATGGGCCTGGAGAGGTAGGTGGAGACCATGGCTGGAAGGGAAGGGTCCAGGCAAGCCATGGAATGCGGGGAGCTGGGAGTGCAGAGTGGATGTTGGAAGACTCAGTTTGCTTAGAACTTGGATTGTGGGCAACCTGGAAAAGTAAAGGGGAAAGAAAGGAACTAATATGGCATCTGTTCCCTTTCCTCTTGGAAATAGAGATGGTTTGGCAATGCCTGTGGGTTGGATGAAGCCAGGTGGGAGAGGCATTGGCCACCGCAAGGCTTAGGATGTCTGGAAGATCACCCTGGTATAAGAGCCCCCAGAGAGACGCTGAACCACAAAAGAGGCCATAGATTGAGAGTCATGAGACCAACAGGAAATTCCTGCCTGTTTCCAAGATTCAGCACTGTGGTTGAGTCCTGGGAAGCTAGGGACCAAACCTAGAATAGGTGCATCTTGGAAGCAGAGGTACCTGACAGGGAAAAGACTGCAGATGCTTGTCCACCACGGGCATGGGCTCTGTATGCTCCAGTTACCTGGACATCCTCAGTGCCTCCCTGCAGTCTCGCATAGTATTTTCTTTAAAGAAAATTTCCTGATAGGTCTGTGGTGATAATGCTTGTCCTATATTTTACAATATTTCCAGGAGCTCTAGGAAAGGAGAAATGAGTCACTCACCAATATTCCAAGAAACCAACTCCCCTGGGGAAATTCGTGAAACATTGTCTGGATATTGACGCTGAAAGTCAAGAGCTTGTCCCACAGTATTTCAAGCCAGGGAGGACACACACACAGCTGGGTTTGGAGAAACTCTGGCAGCCATGTGGTCCAACTGTTTTCTTACTCTTATCTCTGCTACCCATCACTCTTAGAAGGTCACGTGCTCAACATGCTTTCAAGAAAGTACCCAGAGCAATGCTCCAAATACTCTCCTGCCATCTACGAACTCACGCTGAAGCCCAAAGGAATTGAGGCAATGTTAGTACAAACTTAACTTTGAATCTGATTTATCTTTGTGAGATATCCTCATAACTCAGTGTATTAGGACCCTCCCTGGTCTGGTCAACAAGACCACAATGGTGGCAGCATAAGGAACCAGTCAGGGTGACCTGTACATAGGGACCTTAGAAAGGCTATCTGGTGAGGCTAAGGCTCTGAGCCTTATTGCAAAGAGGGCTTTCTCACCTAAAGCATCCTACATGGCCTGCCTAGCAAAAATGTCACCTCCTTCGAGCACACCCCACAGATGTTTTTACCCCAAATTGTGAAAATTTCAGATTATTTTAGAAACTTTAACTGAGTATATCAGTGGTGAAAACTAACTTTACTCTAAAAAAATGGTACCCCATCCTGATAGGCAAGTTCTTTACTCTTCAAATCTGCTAGTCCCCGGGCTCACAGGAGAGCACACTCATTGGGTTTTGCCTCCACATCTCCCACCATCTTCCTTGGCTCACCAGCGTGGGTTGCCACGGTCTTCACACAGGCACCTTCCTCCTCCCACTGGTTTGCCACAACTCCAGCCCTGGCCTCCCTCCTGAGCAGCTGTCTGGCCTCCAGGGACCTCCAGGGCTTATGTCCTCATTGTCCATGCCAGCCTCCTGCTCTTCTTCTCACACCAAGCCTTGGTCCCCCTGTGACCTGCTGCTCCTCACGCACCAAGCTTCCCCACCTTTCCTCATGCCATTTCTCCATCTGGAGTATTCTTCCTTGCCCTCCCCTCTCCCATCACTCTTCTTCCCCTCCTTCACACCTTGAAGCTGCTTCCTCCGTGAGGCACACCCTGGTTCTGTGAGTTAGAACTACATTTTCTCCAGTCTCATTCTCTGTCTCTATTCTGTTTCTCCCCCTCCTTCTCCCCCTCCCTTCTCTCCTCTCTCTCTCCCTCTCTCTCTCTGTCTCTCCCTTTCTCTTTGCTCCCTCTGTTCCTCTTTCTATCGATGTCCTGTAGAACCCTTCTGGTGTTTTACCCTTGATACCACATATTGCAGCTATTTCTCTACACATCTTGCCTTCTGGACCAAACTGGAAGCTCTCTGAAGGCAGGTGTAAAGCTGGCTTTACCTGGATGTCCTCTTCTATCCAGTGTCCATCTTGTGCACATCAATAAATTTTCAGCATCGGATGATTGAAGAAGGATCTTAGACCTGGATTCTCACTGCTGCCTTCAGCATGAACGGCCTTCATTTCTAGGACTTCTCACCAGTTCCTAGGGTTGCAGGTGGCACCGTGGCTGAGAGAGTGCAGGTGCAGAAAGAAGACTTGTTGGGTTTCATGCTCAACTCTACTCCTCACCAGCCGTGTGATCTGGCATGATCTGCTGAACCTCTCTGTGCCTCAGTTTCCCCATCCTCAAAGTAGAGAAGACAGTACCATTTCACAGGGTCCTTGTGAGAATTAAGGAGATAGTCTAATGTACTAATGCAGTGACAGGCTATAATAAATGTGAAGTAAACATTAGGAGTTACTATTTTTATATATTTTCATATTATATTTTTATGTATTTTATATTTATATTGCCCCAAACCATACTTGCATACCGACTACTCATTTCCATTTGTTTTTCATTAGGCAAAAAACTAATTAGTGATTCTTAAATGCTGTGGCCTATATTTTTCGGCAGCAACTCAAGGCAACATAAATGATGCTGTACTAAGAGAACACTCACTTGCTTGGCTATCTGAGGATGTGGCATTTTCCATTTAAATCAGTCCTCAGGTGACCTGCCATGGCACCGTGTCAGGGAAGAGGAGGGGGGAAGGTGAGGAGGGGCCAGGGCTGGTGCATTTGTTGAGAACCTGAAGAACAGGGCGGGAGATTTGAGGGCTCCTGGTTTAACCAGAGGTGAGGCCCTGTTGAGGATACTAAGTTCATAAAATGGCTTTATCGTTTCCTACTTTGCATAAATGTTTCTTTAAATGGTTGTATTTTGGGAAAAAAATCACAGTTTTCTGATGAATACAAGCACACATTTTAGAGAGATAAAAATATCTGAGATGCAAATATAACCGGTTTGAAATATATCAACCATGATGAGTTTCCCCCTCATCCTTAAAAGCCTACTTCTGGGTAGCAGAAAGCAAGGCAGCACCACCGAAAATGCAGACCTCACTGGGTTCTGCCAGCTCCTGTCCTCTGTCTGAGGGAGCCCCATGCAGCAGAAAAAAACCCTTTCTACCCTTTCTAGATACTCTGCATTCATGAATCAATCTCCTCTTCCCCATCCTCCTCTCTCCCTCACACACACACACACACACACACACACACACACACACACACACACACACACAGAGTGTCTCAGCCTTAGCTCTGAGCTAAAGTCAGACTGTTATAATTGCCCTCATTAAAAACACCTCTGTCATTTTAGACACTCAAAGAGAAGTATGTAGCTGGCATGGACTCAGTAGAAAGCCATACTCTCTTTAGCTGAAACAGATGTGGGAGTATAAATTACACACACACCCCCACAAGCAAGTTGCTGAGCCTTTATTTACTTCCCCAGGTGTGGAAGAGGGAATAAAGTTCAGACAGAAAATTAAATGCCCATTGCCCCTGAAAGTCAATGCTCTACCCGAGGAGTTTATGATTTAAACAAGACACTTAACGTTGTTTTTTTTTCAGCATCTGTGAACATGTTTTACTCAAATATATCATCATGATTACCCCAAACGTTTGATGTGTCTATGAATGCCTTTTATTAAATGTACAACAATACGACTTTAAGTGGAGTGCCTCCTAGAGCAAAATAGCATAGCTCTTCCAAGCAGTGTGCCTAGGTTCTGCAGACCTTATATTCTGGAGCAGGGGTGTGGAAATACAGGTGTGGGTTGCATAGTCACCAGCTGTTGACGAGTAGTTCCCTGAGGGGCTGGCAGCCATGGGTCTGGCTAATTTCAGGGAAATTTGCTTTGTTATTTTTGGCACAAATGCTAGAGGTCAATATTTGTCCTCAAATAGCAAGAACAGGTTCTAACTCTGGGTCCCCACACAGTAGCCAAACGGAATAATGATTACAAACCCACACATGGACATTACACTTGACTGTATTTATATACATTGTCTCATTTGTTCCTCAAACAGTCCTGTGAATCAGGCAGTGCAAATTCCACCTATCCCCACTTCACAGATGAGAAAATTAGAGCTTCCAAGATTAGTTAATGAGTGAATAAGAAGTGGTAAAACCATGACAAAAACCTTTCTAGACCCAGGCTTCCAAACTCTTATACATGTGCTCTCTTTCTCTCTCTCCCCGCCACTCTCTCTACGAACATCCAAGTGGGATAGACACAATAAGCAAGAACAAAAAATTTTCAGGCCAAAGTAAGTTCTTTTCTCCCAACAAGTATGATTCCTGCTTTTCTGATTTTCTTTTCATTTTAAAAGAACATGAGATGATTACCTCTGATATAAAAACCCTTGGCTCCCCCAGGGAAAGACATTTTTAACACAAGTTCATGAAACAAATATATCTGTCTTTTTCACCTTAAAATACCACCAATAATCACAGTCTATCAAAGCATGTTCAGGTATCCTCTTCATGTTGCTGACTTCCGCGGGAGTAAGGGATGGGGGACGGGGCAGAAAACAGCAAGCAGCGGACCACTTCTGAAATGAGCACACCAGGAAACAGTAGCTCCAAAAGTAAAATGACTTGTCCAGGTTCCTAGGGAGGTTTAGTGGTCAGGGCTTCTGGTCTACCACACACTACCTCCCAGCCATGACCTCCAGATGAGGCTATTGAGATGGGGCTTTGGAATTTTCCAGAGCTTCCAGAGTCCCTCAATGCCATAACAAATTATACAGTGTGACACATGGATGCATTTGTGCACAAACAAACCTAAAGATAAAACTCAGGAAAATGGTCAGAAAGAGCAGGGGAGCCAGCAGAGACTGGTTGGTGCCCAGCAGAGTTTTTAGGGATGAATTTGGAGAGGACAAGAATGAAGTGGAACTTGGAGTGTCTAGGCAGAGGGAATAGTGCTTGCCAAGGCAAGGAGGTAGAAAATGGTCACGGATTGCAGGGAGCTGGACCTAAGGTATGAGTGGAGAAGAAAGAACCATCGGTCCAGGGGCCCTGGCTCAAAGCAAGGACTGCATTCTCACTTGCTAAAGAACTGATGGATTTCAAGCAGGGAGAGGCCATGTCAGGTTTTAGATAGATCCCCCAGAGCTATTTCATGATAAACCTTCAGGGTTGTAGCTGAGGCTCCAAGCAGGTGGAGGCAATGTTAATAGTCTCCTAAGTAGAGTGCAGCGAGGGAAGACCAACTTTAAAATATGCAAAGTAGGCCGGGCACGGTGGCTCAGCCTGTAATCCCAGCATTTTGGGAGGATAAGGTGGGCGGATCACGAGGTCAACAGATCAAGACCAGCCTGGCCAACGTGGTGAAACCCCATCTCTACTAAAAAACACAAAAATTAGCTGGGCGTTTTGGTGTGCACCTGTAATCCCAGCTGCTTGGGAGGCTAAGGCAGGAAAATTGCTTGAACCCGGGAGGCGGAGGTTGTAGTGAGCGGAGATCATGCCACTGTACTCCAGCCTGGCAACAGAGCAAGACTCCATCTCAAAAAAAAAAAAATGCAAAATATCAGGGGGTGAGGAAGGAAGAAGAGGTGGACAGCAGGGGTTCCATGGAGAGGTCAGGCAGGATATGCAAATCTGGGCATTGCCAGCCATTCATGGAAATTAGGGACATTGTTGTGAATGAGAATACTCGAAGAAAGAACATAGAAATGGCAAATCTAGGAAACTTCAACACTGCACTGGGACTGCTGTATAAGGGATCTTGGCTAAATGGGCTTAGGTTTGATGGGCCTTAAGATTTCTGGGAGAGCAGAGGTTGTGGATAAGGGAAAGAGATCAGCTCCCTCTAAATCCTTTCCTGGCACATCACACTCTTCCCTGGGCTTCAGTTTCATCAACTGCATCACTATGGCATTGGACTTGACAATCTCTGAAAGAATCACTTCCAATTTTAATATGCTGTAATTCTAAAGCTCTTCCCAGTAATGTAAATCCAACAACCAGGAAATTTGCTGTGAAGGAAACTCTTGGCTTTAAAATAAGGAGAATTTGCTTGGGACCAAGAATGAAATGTAAATGCTTTATTGGATATACATGTCGTGTAACTGCAAACATCAACTTTCTGATAATGAGGGAAGGACATAAGGAGTTTAGAGACATCCAATAGAATAACTAAACCACTTACACCAAAACATATGTCATGATTTCCACCATAAGTTATGATATAGATGAGTCAGTCTGGGAGAGCTATATTTAGGATTTTAGGAGCCTCTCCCCACTTAATGTCAGAGGATTCCATTTAACTACAGGGAAGAGGAAATTGCTGGTCCAGGCAGTATTTGACATCTCTAGGACTAAGATATCCAGCACATCTGAACAAAAATAGCTGCAAGGACCACCCACCAGCAAGAATGGGGTCCAGAATGTGGCAGGGTCCTTAGGTCACAAGAGATAAAGTGGTGACACACACACTCAAGAAAACAGACACACTAAACAGGGCTTGTTAGAAATGTAATGCCTGGAATCTGGACGCCTATGGTTTGGCGTTGGGGGGTTCTCACTGCTGATGCCATCAGAGGAGGGTCAAGCTGAAGAGGTCTGTGATCCAGAGTGAGGCCTGATGGAGCACAGACCCAGAAAATGGGGAAGTCAAGTCACAGACCAGGACACAAGGAGAGCTAGTACAGCTAGACGGACTGACACAGCAGAGCTGGGCTATGAGGGGAAGCTGAGAGTCACTGACAGGACACGCAGAGACAGAACAAGCTCTGGGACCAACTTCACTGAGTCCCTGCCATGGAACAGCTTTTAGGCCTGAATTGTCACAACCCGCTGGGGTCAGCTGTTGAGCAGCCGCTGTGCACACTCACATGAACCGGCATTGTGGTAAGAGGCTCCTCTCTGCCTGTCTTATTCAGCTCTGTGACGTGACACTTAGCCTCTCTACTGGCCCACGCCATGCTGTTTCTCTGCATGTTGACATAACCCAAGTGGTAGGCTAAATATCACGGGTGAAATTCCACAGCAAGCAGGTTGGTAGATTACAGCTCCTTAGCTCCTTCTGTTCTCAAGGGCAATTATTAGTTTAAGTAAGAGGCAGCGTGCTGATTTCGTTGTCATGAATACAGGGCTGTGGAAATCAAGAATACTTGCCATGTGCGAAGTTGTTTGTTGCCATTCAATCAAAGCATACCCTTCCAGTTTGAGAACAGTGTCATAAGGAGGATGAATAATGATCTTTCTATCCTTACTACAACACCCAAGCCATGACATCATTTCAAGTGTTAGCCAAACTGCTAGACTGTACTCAGCATTGTACCAGGGCCGTGGGGAAAAGCAAATACCACCCTGGGCTTCCAAGCACGAAAATGTCGATGGCAGAGGGGCTGGAACACAACAATGTGAAACCATGAGTAAACTTCATAACGATGACATGGGAAAGAACACTACAGTTGTCCGTAAACAAAAGGTCAGAGAAAGACAACAGTGTAAAATAACAAGATAATGTTGTCTGCCTGTTGATTTAGCAAAGGTTAGGAGTCAAAAGTGCTAGTGCCACTGGCAAGCTGGCAAGAATGTAAGGAACTGAACACTTTTATACACTGTCAGGTACAACCTTTGTGGGGGACAATTGAGCACTATATGTCAGAATTTTTAGTATTTAGACTTTTTGACCAAGCCATACCTCACCTTAGGATTTATCCTCAGAAAATAACTTGCACAGGACAAGTGCACAACCATATAAGTTCCAAGATGCTCATCCCAGTGTTTTATGAAGTAGTAAAAAATTCTAAGTAAATTAAATGGGATCTGGTAAAGGAAATGATGATATAATCCATGATGAATACTATGCAGTCATTAAAAAATGATGACATATTCTACCTTTATTGGCATAGAAAGATACATGATATGATGTTAAGTGAAAAAGTTGCTTCAACACAAAATGTGTATATGACATATTTATCTCTATGAAGATAGGATCATATTCCCATATCTGTAAATATGCACAGGTAAAGAAATAGGCCTAGAAAGCAGTCACCAAAATGTAACCATGATTTCCTCTGGGGGTGACATTAGATTTATAATTTTCAGGTTTTTTCTGAAGTTTTTAAATAATGAACATATTTTAGTTTCACAGAAAAACAAGGCTACAAAAAAAGTATAATAATAGTGGGCAATGTTGCAGTTACTACATATGTTAGGAACACAAAGAAATTAAACCCAAAGAACTGTGGAAAAGTTAAAGAGAACTTTTCAGTAGAGATGACCAGTATTCTTAATAGCTCCAAAGTCATTTTTTAATTAGGACAGATTCAATTTCTGTATGTATTATTCTGGCTTTCAAACTCAGTGGGTTATAACCTATATCTCGGTTAAAACAAAATGTTTTTAGCCCAAAGTAGATAAGGTTATAAACCCATCAAAACCTATGACTTTTTAAAGGCTCCAGGAACCCAAAAAACTAAGACAAAGAAATATGTATAAAATCTATTTAGTTTTTTGGAAAGAGGAAACCAAATGACTACAAAAATATCAACTCCAAAAATACCAAGAAAGCTTCAATGGGGGGAAACAGAGAGGAAAAAAAAATTGGCATATGGATGTCAAAAATCCAGTGTCAAAGAGGTTTTGAAAACTGGTCGTGCGTCACCAATTATATATATCCAAGATCAGTGTGACAGATGCTCATTTCCAAGAGCAATGGGAAGCTTTTTAATGCCCTAAAAATCTCTTTTCAGTGACTGACTGATAATATAACTGTCATGTGGGTTTTTTATTCATTTAATTATTGGAAACCAAATTCTGACCTAGGAAAAAGAAGGAAGAGAGATATAGCTGTAAATGGCAATTAGATCAATTCATATCTAAGACATGTTTTACAGATAATTGTCTTTTCTTCTCACCTCCAGGAAAAGCACAAAGAAGAAACTGCAACAATGGCCAAGCTGACAGAATCCATGAGTGAGTAGCTTCAAATTTATTATTTATTTTTTGTTTTGAATGGGAAAATGCAAAATCGCACAAAAAAGACATCCCGTGTGATGATCTGATTTGTCCTTCTCTTTTGCTCTTACGGGACCGAGATCTGTTTCACACACACTGCATCATGTTGATGTTACTTTATGCGTTATTTGGAGTTCATCTTGCTTGAGGTCAAATTCTTTGCTGAAGCTGTTACCCACAGTATGGAGCTGAAGAATAAAAATAGATTTTGTTTGTAACACTGCATTGGGGATTGGGACTCACAATAATTTCAACCTGACTTTTAGGAGGTTTAGTCAAAGTCAGCTGAAGTTTTTTCTGGGCATCTATTCCACGGGCTGGATGATCTAAAGAGAGGAAAGAATGGTAAATCATTGTTAAACCTTTCAGGTGTCGTTCAGAAATTTCAGACAGAACTATTAAAAAATGGAGTGCTTGCAGTATAAATAGCTTGTAATGATTTAGGTTTTGAACATAGCGTTATAGTGCTCTTAAGCTAAATAAACAGGATACACAAAGCATTTTTAAGAGGAAAGGGGGCTGGGCACAGTGGCTCATGCCTGTAATCCCAGCACTTTGGGAGGCTGAGGCGGGCAGATCACTTGAGGTCAGGAGTTCAAGATCGGCTTGGCTAATATGGTGAAACCCTGTCTCTACTAAAAATGCAAAAATAAGCTGAGCATGGTGGTGCATGCCTGCAATCCCTATTATGGCTATTCGGAAGCTGAGGCAGGAGAATCACTTGAACCTGGGAGGTGGAGGTTGAAGTGAGCCAAGTGTACTCTAGTCTGGGCAGCAGAGCAAGACCTGGTCTCAAAATAAAAGATAAAAATAAAAAAGGAAAGTGGAATTTATTAGAATAAAGCCTTCTTCAAATGAGAAATGCAGTTTTCTATGATGAAATCTAATTATTAAAGACCATATGAATATGAAATACAAGGCATATTTTTTTCCTTTGAAAAATGGAAATTTCTCCTGATGATAGATTTCATATGGAAAGTTACAATGGAGGCTTACGAACACTTCTCCATGAACACCTTATTAAATTTGGCCTGCAAAAATTAACCATTAATGTTGCCCACATTTAACTGTGCACCTTCCTCCTCCTCTAATCATGAGACTATTAAATACAGGTCTTCCTCTGTAGCATGGTAAGTGAATCTTTATTCCAAAATATCCACCCATACCAAGAAAATATAACGTTAAAAAGTTATTTACATTGATTTCCTTTCATTCCTGACCCCAAACCTCTGTGTAATTTTACATAAGTCTTGAACACATGCTAATTTCACTGTGATGAAAGGACTGGGTAAAGAAAAAAATCCCTTCAGCACTGACACCCCTCTCCCCTGCTCTTATTTCTGTATCATCTCCTGCCCTGCTCTCTGCTCCGTCCTTTTTTTCCACCTGTAGTCTTGCAAACTGAAAATGTTAAAAGAATTTACAACTTGGTTTGAAAAACCCCAAACTGGTTGTATTAGTCCATTCTTGCACTGCTATAAAGAATTACCCGAGACTGGGTAATTGATAAAGAAAAGAGGTTTCATTAGCTCCACAGTTCCACAGGCTGTACAGGAAGCATGGTGCTGGCATCTAATCAGCTTCTGGGGAGGCCCCAGGAAACTTACAATCATGGTGAAGGGCAAAAAAGGAGCAGGCATGTCACATGGCCAGAACAGGAGGAAGTAGGGGGAGGGGGTTCCATACACTTTTAAACAACTGGATCTCTCGAGCACTTACTCAGTATCACTAGAGCAGCACTGAAGGGGAAATCCGCCCCCGTGATCAAATCATCTCTCACCAGGCCCCACCTCCAACATTGGGGGTTACAATTCAATATGAGATTTGCATGGGGACACAGAGCCAAATCATATCACTGGTTCTCTGTAAGTGAAAGCATCCTAAAGTGATGAAATGTGCTCTTCTCAGACCTGGAATGAAAGAATGTGGCCAGTGCCATCACAAAATGGACCAGCCTGTATTGTCCAAATATGCAGTGGATCCGTGGGCCTTATCAACTAATTCACAATCCACAGCACATGAGCAGATTTCTTTCTAATCTTTAAGTCCAAATTCGCCACGTTCTCTAAATGACAGGAGGATCAGTGGCTTAGAACCTAAGCATCATTGTCCATGAATGGAGTCTCAGGTGTCTGGGTGAATTACATCAGATGGTGTTGCACATAAGTTATGATGCTAACAGTTTTCCCAAGGCTTCCTTCTGTTGGAAATGGATACTCTGGTTCAGTGAATATTATTTTTAACTCACCTGACTGAATTGGAAGGGTACCGTACTGATTAATATTTCTGATAAAGCTATTTTTATTTTTCCATCTATATTGGTTTCCAGATACATTTAAATAAGAGCTCTTCACCTGACTATCGATTTATTGGTTTTAGGTTTCAGGTTTGGCTGAACAATATCTCTAATGATTTTGGTCTGTGAATCAACTGTCATAAGAGAATTCTATCAAAGTTGAATTCCGAATCCTTGGGTCAATGACTGGGTGCACCCATTCTTCTAATGTGCTCTGTCATTATGAAAAAGATTGCATAAATGTTTCTCAATGCATAAGGAAATTTAAAAGTTGAGAACAGACCTTAGAGTCGTACCCAATGTCCGAGTTTATTGGTCCTTACAAAGATACAGCAAATTATAAAATATATAAGATGTGAGGCAACTTCTATAGATGCTACAAAATGCTAATCATGTGGTCAACATACCAAACATTTCATTTAAATTAAACTCATGACTAATTAAATATACCACACACTTATTTTACATAGAAATCTACAATGAAATACATAATTAGGTAAGGATATTCTATCAGTAGGCTGAGCAAAGAATTAACATATAATTACCACACAATAAAATTGATGGGAACATAAACCATGGCCACACTCTGGAAGAAAAAAAAAAAAACAGACAGAACCATGAATACCCAAAACACAATGCTATGAATGGGTTTCCAAAGCCAATAAACACTTTGCTTGTTAAACTGCCAAGCAAAAACCATCTGGTTACTAGAACATCTCTATGTTTAACTAGAACTGGATAGAGATTCTTCTCCCATCACCCTAGGTGTCCACATGCTAGCAAATGGCTAGCCACATCAATGGCTAAGCAAATACCATAATGGGAAAGGAATGTCTTCTTCTAGAGCAGGGAAGAGGTGCATTTCTTTCCGCTACGTGCCATTCATCAACCACCTCCAAAAAGTCAACTTCGATCATTTTTTTAAGGGCAAGCAAGAGATAGATTTTAAATGTTTGATTAACATTAGCAAATTTTAAATGTTTGAATAAAACCACCTTTATTTTTCTGACGACTTTGCTGTGAAAAAAATTACAGCAACTTTAATACATTAAAAATACTTTAAAATATTTTACGTCACATTATTGAAACGAGGACGGGCATGATAAGGATAAGAAAAAAAATGGAGAAGGGAAGAAAAGTAGATGTGGAAGAAGAGATAGAGAAACAACAAAAACACGCACAAAGCATAGAGAAAATATATGTACGGTATATGATGAAAGCCCAAGAGAAGGGGGTATTGAGGAGGACCGAGACAGAATTACAAGGAGCAAAGACAAGACAGGTAGGCAAAGAGGGAGAGGAGGTAGGGAGAGATTTAACAAAGAGAGGGTCCATGGGGTCTAAAAATTAGCAAACTAAGTGTGGCAGTTCACAGCCTGTGAACTTTCAACCTTCCAAAGGCTGCCAATTTTTTTAAATCTTTTTTTATATATAATACTTTAAGTTCTGGGATACATGTGCAGAACGGGCAGATTTGTTACAGAGGTATACACATGCCATGGTGGTTTGCTGCACCCATCAACCCATCATCTACATTAGGTATTTCTCCTAATGTTATCCCTCCTCTGGCCCCCCAACCCCTGACAGGCCCTGGTATGTTATGTTCCCCTCCCTGTGCCCATGTGTTCTCATTGTTCAACTTCCACCTATGAGTGAGAACATGCAGTGTTTGGTTTCCCGTTCTCGTGTTAGTTTGCTGAGAATGATAGTTTCCAGCTTCATCCATGTCCCTGCAAAGGACGTGAACTCATCCTTTTTTATGGCTGCATGGTATTCCATGGTGTATATGTGCCACATTTTCTTTATCCAGTCTATCATTGATGGGCATTTGGGTTGGTTCCAAGTCTTTGCTATTGTGAACAGTGCCACAATAAACACGTGTGTGCATGTGGCTTTATAGTAGAATGATTTATAATCCTTTGGGTATATACCCAGTAATGGGATTGCTGGGTCAAATGGTATTTCTGGTTCTAGATCCTTGAGGAATCGCCACACTGTATTCCACTATGGCTGAACTAATTTACACTCCCACCAACAGTGTAAAATGTTCCTACTTCTCCACATCCTCTCTAGCATCTGTTGTTTCCTGACTTTTTAATGATCACCATTCTAACTGGCTTGAGATGGTATCTCATTGTGGTTTTGATTTGCATTTCTCTAATGACCAGTGATGATGAGCATTTTTTCATATGTTTGTTGGCTGCATAAATGTCTTCTTTTGACAAGTGCCTGTTCATATCCTTCACCCACTTTTTGATGGGGTTGTTTGTTTTTTTCGTGTAAATTTTGTTTAAGTTATTTGTAGATTCTGGATATTAGCCCTTTGTCAGATGGATAGATCGCATCAAAAAGTGGGCTGCCAATTTTTTAACACTACCCTTTGAAATGTTAATCTCTATTTGCATCTTCACAGTGGATATTTTCATACTTAGACTACCAGAAGCCCATTCCAAATGAGGCAACCAGAAAGCCCACACTGGAGGGTTAGGGTTAGGGTTAGGGTTAGGGTTAGGGTGACTCTCAGCTTGCTCGCTGGTAACCAGCACTTTACCACTACACCCACTGACTGAAATGAAACTGAAAGCCTGATTCTAGTGGAGGCTCCCAATATTGTCTAAAGACAGGCATGCAGTGACCCAAACCGTGCCATCATCAGAGGTGACACAGCCTAGTAGACTCTGTCCTGGCCTCTCAGATGATGACAAATTGGAGATGTCCAGAGGCAGGCAAATAGCCCGAAAGCTCTGAATCATGGTCTGCATGGAATACTTTGCAGGCTGTTCTTACATAAATTTCCAAAGGTAATTTTCTTCATGGTCATTGTCTGCTGACACATCACTGCCCTCCAACCTTGGAGGTCCTGGGAATGCATCAAATACAGCGCAGGAAGTCTTGCCACATGGTTTCATTGATATTTAAATTGTAATCAGATATCTGGTCTTGTGCATGGTGTTGGAGTTGCAAGAGTTGAACAGGCAGTGGACTTGGCCCTGATGTCTTCTCCTGGCTGCAGGATCCCTTCCCTAGGACCCCCCACCTCCAACCTCAGGGTTCTGCTGGCAAGCTGAAATCACACTTCTGTCCCCTTCTCTGCATCAGTTGTGTGTCTGCCATGCATTACTGCATCAGTAAGTGGGGGCCGCCTGAGCTACCTGTGGCTGTCTCTGCATCTTGGCAGAAGGAGTTGGCTTCCTCTTGCTTTCTGTCTCTATCCTGCCAGTCTCTCTCAGGCATGCCCACTCCCCACTTTTCCTTGGCAGCCAGAGCGTCCCTAGGGGTTGTTGTCATGAGCCATTCTACCCCAGCCATCCCTTTGGGCATGGTCCACCTTGAAATCACCACCATAACACATCCACATGGAGCAGAGAAGAGGTACTCATCATTTCCAAATAAATAACAGAGCAGCAGCTTTATTCTGAGTAGCTCCAGGGGCTGAATCTTCATCCAGCCAGAAACAGGCAAAAAGACTATGGTTTCTTTTTCTGCAAAGAGTCAAGGACCTGCTCTGTGAGGGGTTCAGAGGTCTTGGCTGTCTGCTTTGATATAGAGGGAATTCCTCCTATGACTAAAGAAACAGCTCAAATTTAGTACAGATTTGAAATGCTGTTGTGTCAGATGAAATGAAGACAGAGAACCAATTACAATCACCACACATTAAATTAGCTCAATTAAAGCAGAGTGGTTTTTAATCATTTATTCCCTTTTTTATGGGGTGGTTATTATAGCTCTGGCATTGTGTTAAGGCACAGAAAGACAAAAAGATGGGGTTCCTGCCTGCACCAGGCGCAACATTTGGGGGCAAAGGAGGCAAGAGAGTAACAGCTATGACATGTGGCATGCGTTCTTGCAGAAGCATCCTGTAAGTCGCTGTAGCTTGCAGGTGCAGGCCACGAGGCTTTCCTTTTACAGACCCCAGTGTGCTCCTGCATCAAAAAGGCACCCAAAGGATGATCAGGGTTCCACCAGGCAGCCAATGGGACTGTAAGTGCTAGAACGTCATGCAGGAAGACAGAGGTGGCGGAAGAGCAAAGCATTGATAGCAGATGACTGGGCAGATAGGAGAGGTCAGATTATAAAAGGGCCTGTATGTGGCTTGAATTTTTCCTGTGGGTAATGGGGCAGTGCTGAAGGTTTCAAAGAAGATCAGCATTTTAGAAGGAATCCACTGAGGCATCATGGCGTGGATTGCAGGTTGGGCATACACGGATGAAAGAATCCAGGAGCTGGCACACCACATGAGCTGAGAGGCTCTGGGGACCTAGACAAGAGTGGATCTGAAATGAATTTAAGAGGTGGTGACCAGTGGGATGTAGTGGAGGACAAGAAAGGACTTTGAGCTTAGGAGAGAGGCTTGGCGAAGCTTTCGAGACACCCCAGGGCTAGAAATGCAGGTGGTAGAAGGAGTCATTTGATAAGCTGTTACAATTGGTTCAAATGCAAATATATTGAGTTTAGGGTTTTCCATTGTTAGGCACAGGCTTCAGTTGTTTGGAGTTATTTTTGGTCCACAGTCAGTGTGCCTTTTGGGAAAGAACTCCCTACTCTCTAGGATACAAATAGGGCAGGTGTGTGTATATCAGTGGCATGAGGCTAAGTTATGTTGCAATAACAAAAACATCTCTGTGGCTGAATGTACATGCATATGCACACACGTTTATTTCTCCTTTATGCCACTTGTCCACACTGGTCAGCCATGAACTGGACATGTTAGGGTCACCCTGGGACCCCCACAGTCTCGGAGGCTGCATCTCCACCTGCGTTTTCACATCCATGGCCATGGTGGGGAAGAGCACATGGTATATTGACACTGCATCTTAAAATTCCATCCAGAAGTGACACATGACACATGTCACTTCTGCTCTGATTGCATTAGCCAAAGCAAGTCAATAACCTCGCCTAACTTCCAAGATGAAGGGGGCACAATTCCACTCTGTGTTTGGAAGGAGGATGTATGGTCACCAGAAGACAGAGGGGCTGAACTGCATGCTAGAAATTCCGAGAAGTCAGCCGGGTGCAGTGGCTCATGCCTGTAATCCCAGCACTTTGGGAGGCTGAGGTGGGTGGGTCACCTGAGGTCAGGAGTTCGAGACCAGCCTGGCCAACATGGTGAAACCCCGTCTCCACTAAAAATACAAAAATTAGCTGGGCATGTTGGCACATGCCTGTAATCCCAGCTATTCTGGAGGCTGAGGCAGGAGAACTGCTTGAACCCGGGAGGTGGAGGTTGCAGTTAGCCAAGATTGCGCCATTGCACTCCAGCCTGGGCAACAAGAGTGAAACTCCATCTCAAAAAAAAAGAAAAGAAAAGAAATGCCGAGAAGCCAGACTGGGGGACAGGGAGATAATCTACTCTCAGCAATGGCTGGGGACCACCACTACCTCTAGGTCATAGGGATGGAAAGGGGCGACAGAATTGGAACGACAGCCTACCTGTCTGATGAAAGCTTGAGCCATGCAGGAGGTATGGTCACTGCCAGAGACGCCTCTATAGGCCAAGAAGAGGGAGAGAAATACCTTTGTTCTCTCTTCCCACCGACCTCCAGGCTCCCAGTGGAGCCCCCACTGGCTAAGCCTATCTGGATGTCAGCTGACAGAGCTTCCCCGCCCCCCACCAGATACAGAGCTGAGCAGGTTAAGGGTGAGGCAGGGACCTGAGGACAGACAGACCAGGATGGGCACGGGGAAAACCTGAGTTGACCGTCAGAGAGCAGATGACTGCCCCATGCCTCCAGAACCACCTGCCTACAAAGACAAAGCCTGGGTCCCAGCAACCAAGACAAAGAGCCAGGAAAGCAGGTGTCAGAATTCTAGATGGGAGCCCATTCATCCGGAGGTCCCAGGGTTCCTGACAATGGGAGAATCCTGTAGATTTCTGTAGATCCTGTAGCTGGGCTGGGAGTTAAGGGCCGAGGAAGACGTTGTGTCACCTCACGCGGGGCAGAGCTGTTCATCGTATATGGTCTTTAAGGTGCTAAATGACCCTTTATCCCCCGGGACAAAAGCTACTCCAGGCCCACTAGATGGTGCTTTTTAAAATGCACTTTCTCCCTACCAATGAAATTTAGGCACTTTAAATACTAAGATCCTTATCTCAGGTTCACACTCACACAGGTAGTTATAGCATCATCTCAAAAGTAACTTGACTTAAACTCATTACTCTTGACAACTCAGTTCCTGCCATTACATATTTTAAGACATGGCTGTGATGTTTTATTTCTGATTATTGTCTAATGAGCTCTGCAGTGACAACCACCCAGGAAAACATTGCTATGTCCCTACCAGAGGCATACTTCCTTTATAAAGGAGGTTTGGGGTCTTCTTAAAGTCCCACAGGGACTCCATCCCCCTCAGCTGTCCATCAGTGTGCCTTCTACTGTCCCTGCAGAATGGTACTTACTTCCCTCTACTGCCTTTCTTCTCTCCAAAACCTCCCTTCTCATTTGCCTTCCTCTTCCATAGTGGGCAGGTATCACTAAGGCTGCCCAGTCTCTCCCCGCAAGACCGCCTTCTGACAATTCTCCACTTCCCCTCCTTGCGCATTCCCCTGCCTCCTTTGCCCCAGGACCGTGTGCCCCTCCTGCAGGGTGAGCTGAGCTAGGTGAGCTACAGGACTGGAGGCAGGTGCAGGTTTTGAGTTGCCAGCACAGGTACTAACAGAAGCAGTCATTCCCTTACCAAGAGCTTCTGCCATGTACTTCTGGGAACAGGTCCTGAAGGCCAACCTAGAGGCGGGTTTTCATGCTCTCCTATGGCTCCAAGAGCTTTCCTTCACCACCCCTGTCTGCTCATGCTTGCCAAATTGCCTCCTGTCATCTCAACTTGTAACTGAGGGATTCAGCCTCTCTTTTGTTATTCATTGCTGGGTTACCTGCAGGACCAGGGGAGTGAGGCACTCAGTGGATACTAAGAAGGGCTGGCTGGGAGCAGCAGCAGAAACTTCGTTTATGCTTCTTCATCACATTAGTGCAGTCCCTGTACAATGTATCATTTCAGTCCCACCATTAGGCAGAAAAGCAGCCTTTGATTGAAAGCAAAAGCAAGCTAGTAGGCTCTTCCCTGTCTGTGCTCCTCTGAAAAGCTGGTATTTTTTCACTGTGAGATACGTTTGTCCTTACTGGAAAATATCTTTTAAACTCAAGGATAATTGCTTCCTGGTTGAGATTACAGGCATGTTCAGTTGGAATCAGAGATCCTACCTACCTCTGAGGCTGACAGGGCTGAAATGGACTAGAAGGCCTGAGCCATGTCTCCATGCAAGGGGGGCTTCCCGCCTTGCCTGCTCTCCCTTCTTCTCCCTCCCATGTCCCTCAGGGTGGGACTTTCTTGATCCTGTAGTTTTTATTTGCTGCCTCCTGCACTCACTGCCCAGGATCTTCCCCCTAACGGCCATTTCCAAATAAGAATGCAATTCCCTCCCTTGCCATATCCAGAATGAGCATGTGGCTTAAAGCATTTAACTGGTACAAACATGCAGGGGTTTGCAAAACAGCAAAATTTTAGAACCATCACGCGTGACATTCCTGTAAGTTATTACTGGTCTTTGTGCAAATGGAAATGGGGCTAAAACTGTTACCTAAAAATTCATCTCCTTTCTTTCTGCTGTCTTGGAGATCACGTTGCCCCTCACCTTCTGATGAATGTCCCTTACTTGGTTGGTAAGAAACTCACCTCTCTGATGCCCACACCTTCTCTCTGGCACTGGGAAGGAATGAACTGGGCTTTCTCAGCGTGGCCACCAGTGAGATTTGTCAGCTGTGTAATTCTTGATGTGAATTGTAGGATGATCAACTTGACCTCAACCCACCGGAAGCCAGTAGCACCCTCCCTCTAGGTATGACAACAAGGTGACTTCAGACATGTCTAAATTTTCCCTGGGGGAGCAAAGTCACCCCCAGGGGAGTAGTTGAAAATCAATGCTGTAGATGAAACCAGGAAGGAAGAGGAAGGCCAAACAGACCCAGGCATTTATTCTTCTGCAGTAATGGCAGGATTTGCTAGTCAGTCTCAGACCCTCCCTAGGCCTGTGGTCTCCAGGCTACGGCCTCCCACCTTCCACTTGCCTAACACTGGGATGATCAACCTGAACCACTCCAGGAAGCCACCAGGAGAGTCTGTCTGGTCAGCCACCTGACTGTGGAGACAATTCAGACATAAGAATCTGTATTTAATTGATGATCTGATTGAGGCTCAGAAAGATGCACTGATTTTTCCATCGTGATGGTGTTGTCGGGGAGTTGGAAATACCACTGCCTTGGGGACTGACAGACACAGGAGAGCAGGAAAGTGGGCAGGTGGAGGAGGCGGGGACCCTGATTCTGAGCAGAGCTGGCCATTTTCTCCCAGAACATGGAACGAGAGTGTCATTCTTTCCACAACAGCAGGTTTTAGGGCCTGCCCGATGACTTCCTCAATAATAATTTTTCTCACTCATTTTGCCTTTCCAAGTTATTGGTAATGGAAAGCCCGGCTCTGGGGCAGCTATGGACCTTTTCACTTGGTTCCATTTGCCCCCATCTCGGGGGCACCCCTGCGTGGGCAAAGCCTCCATGGAGCATTTCACTCCAGTGTCTTCCTCTCTCGCATGGGTTCACAGGGACTTTGGCCTTCCTCATTTGCCACTCCTCTTACAGAAAGTAATCATGGGCAAAGCAGCTGTTCACAACATGAGTCACTGCATTACCAGCCCAGCTTGGCAACTCAGACACAGAGGCCTGAGCCAGGCGGCCACCATCATCACTGGGGCCACAAGCTCCACACACCTCTGCCTCTGTCTCCATCACTGCCCCCTGGCCCCCACACACCCAGCAGCAGGATGTGTTCCCAGCCCCTTCCAAGCCAGTGGGGTGCCCAGGTGACATCCAGGAGCCCCAACCAAACCCAAGTGCAGAAGCACCTCTCCAAAGCTGGAGGCCCCCAGCTCCCAGAGGGAACATGAAAGGCACCTACCCCCACTTGCCTTTGCTCCAGCCCAAAGTAGAAAAGTAAATAAACACATTTTTAAACTCTCTTGCCTCACACTTCCTCCGCTCGCCTTCCCCGCCTCCCACCAACTGCCACCCCATCTCACTGTGTCTCACTGTCCCTCCCGCCCTCCTCCCACAATCTGCCACCTGGCTCCAAGAGCCCGCTCCTCCCTCCCACCACCTCCACCCCTGGTTCAGGCTCCATCCCCCACCTCCCGCCACTCCCACTTCTGCTCATCCTCCCATCAACCTCTGGTAACAGCAGGTTCTACCCAGGCAAGGCAGAGGGCAATAGGAGAGGAAGTCTCCCCCAGGATGGCACAGGCCCTGGGTTAGGCTGCATGGCTGGATTTTGGGGTGCCAGCCTTTCCCTGCACCCTCAGAGAGCAAACAAATGGCCATGCAAACAAATGGGACCTGCAAACAAATGGCCATTTGGAAGAGATGCCCAGATGTGTGGCCAAGAGAAAAGCTGGAGGGTGCAGGGTAGACAGCCTGGAGGGTACAGAGTAGATGGCTAACTCATCAGGGAAGCGTGGACAGTCCACAGCTGGGAGAAGGCAGCATGTTTAGGAAGCGCTGAGCCTCAGCCTCAGCTCTGGAAATTGAGTGAGCAGATGGTCAGAGGGAGCAGCAGAACACTGAATTTTAAAGGCTGAAACTCCGCAGAGCGCAGCTACGAGGGTGGGGAGGACAGCCTGCCACGCAGAGCCATGGGCCTCTCCCGGACCGGGACTGATGCAAACACCTGCTTGGAGGAATTTGCTTTTCACCTCATGCAGCCCGCTTTGCCTCATGTTACTTTGTCACCGAAAGGAAACTGATCTCTTCAGGGACTTTTCATCAAGAATCCATCACCCCCCAGCTCCCAGGCCTGCCTTCTCCCTGGTGACAGGTGTGTGAGCTGGGACAGCCCACAGGCTCCCTGAATTCAGCTGGGGAAGGGAAGCAGGCCGGGGAAGCACCCTGGCTTCCAGTGCTGCGGGGAATTAAACTCAGATGAAGGTGGATGGCACCAGTGGGAGAAAGCCACCTCCTCGATGGCTTCCCAGAGAGGAAAAAGTCAAGGCGTCCGGGATGTTCAGCAGTAAAAACATCACCACCTACACCCCGGTGTGCTTTCCTGATTCCATGTCACCTTTATCACAAGATATGACATTTCAGGCTCAAAGGTGTTGGGGGTTGGGGATATCTACATGTTTAAATATTGACTCAGAATTTCTCTGCAGCCCAGAATTGCATTCATAAAGGCTTCTCCACAATTAGCACAACATCCCTGCCGTCCACAGAGGGTGTAGTGCTTATCAGGTGAGGCACGTCAGTGTGGCCTTAAGAGACAGACAGAGCTGATCTAACTGTGGCCCAGCCACCTCCTAGCTGTGAGGCTACAGGCAACTCACTTAACCCCTCTGGTCCGAGTTTCTGCCACTGATCATACCAGCTCCCCACCTGGGTTTCATAATATACACAAAGCTAATGGGTATGTGCACATGTGTGCTAATATGTATATTTATACATATATAAATATGTATAACTGCATTTGATTATGTTCCCTGTGTATATAAACTAACAGATACACTGAAAGCTGAGAGAGAGATAATATATTCATATATTGAAAACTAATATATAATGCATATAAAACATGTAACATAGCAACTGTCCCATATCAGGCACTCAAACAAAGGTGAAAATGACAAAGTATCATTATCTTCCATACCTTGTTTTACTTACTATTCTCAACTCAAGCCCATTATAATAATATTCATATTGTTGAGTTTTATCACCTTGTACTGTATTCAACCCTTTTAAAGACTCGAGGTTAAAAAAAAAACCCAAGGGTTATGATGTCACTCTATGATTTTATAAATTTCCATTAGGTACTAAAAAATTCTTGTTGATCGATTTCTACTACTTACGGGATTTGGATATGTGGTGTTTGTTACCTGCAGTACGTTTATTCTGACAAGTAACACTGCACCTTACACCTGAAATCTCATTGTTGCCAGAGTATACCTGTGGGTTTCATTGCTAAATACTAGTGATCTTTCCTGCCAAATATGCAAGTGCTTCCCTCCTGGTACCACACACTCCCCTTGGACAGATGGGGATATAGAGGGTGATTGCTTCCTGGACTCACACAGTCCAGCTCACAGAATTCAGGGAGATAAAGCACACTTTTGATTTCCTGAAGTCAAACCCAAACCAAATATCATTCCCTGCTTAGTTGCTAGGGATATTTTTCTTAGTGGAGATTTATTTAATTCAGGTTATAGCTCTCATACTCAGAAGTGTCCAATTAAACCCAGAGGCCACTGTGCCCTGACTCTTCAATAATCTCCTTCCCAAAATTATTTTCTCCTGAGAGTCGCTGAGTCCCCACATCCCAGGGACAAGCCTTTGCGGTCCCTTCTTCCACCACGCATTCTTAACAAGAACACTCTCAGTAAGACGTGAAAAGGACAAAACGAGTCTGGATTTAAGAAAGAAATCCAGGCTACTCTCTGCTTGTGTGTGTTCCCCACCCTGTTTCCTTGGCTTTAATAAGAGGAAAGGTTTCAGACCCATCTCTAATCTCTCCCATGGAGGTTTTCTCATTATTTTCTCTTGTCAGATTTGGAAATGTTACTCTAAGGCCATCAAGGAAGAAAGAAATCTTTCTTTGAGTAAATCGAGAGTTGCATTCATCAGAATTATTTTACACGATTCTTCCTTGCATTCTCTTTTTAAAAATCTGTTTTTTTTTTTAATAAATTGGAAATAACCAAGTAGTCACTAAGTATTTATCAGTAGGTACCATGAGGGAGGGGGGAAGAGGTAAGTTACAAAACAGGAGCCATACCTGTGAGTCTGACATAAAAAGTTAAACACTACTTTGAACAAGACTTAATTATCATAAGGAAATAGATGATGAGATTCCAAGTGAGAGAGGCACACCTGCAGACTCCACTTTTTCACTTTTTTAAACTAAGACACGGTATCAAATGAAGTTCAACCTGAAATGCCCCACTTCCTGGAGGAACCCCAACATTATGCTGTAATTTTAACTTCCTGTTTTAGCTCCAGTTTCCATATTGCAAAGACAACACAATCAATCAAGGGATGACTTTGAAGGTGCTTGTAAAACAAAAAAAGTAACTATTCGCACATTTCTATACTGGATTATTATTGACCCCAGGGTACCTCAACACTAAAGCTAAAATTTAGAAAAGGGGAGATCCTTTCTTGGGGGATTAAGGAAGACTTAGAGAAAGCTGGGCCTTGGAGAATGCCCAGACTTAATAAGAGAGAAAGGGGTCACAGTGCTGCAAGTTAGGGGTGCAGTGGGGAAGGGGATAGGTGGCTGATATGGCTTGGCTGTGTCCCCTCCCAAATCTCATCTTGAATTGTAGCTCCCAAAATTCCCACGCATCATGGGAGGGACCCAGAGGGAGGTAATTGAATCATGGGGGCAGTTTGCCCCATACTGTGCTCGTGGTAGTGAATAAGTCTTACAAGATCTGATGATTTTATCAAGGGTTTCCCCTTTTGCTTGGTTCTCATTCTCCCTGCCTCAATGTAGGACACGCCTTTGTTCTTCCCTCACCTTCTGCCATGATTATGAGGCCTCCCCAGCCACATGGAACTGTGAGTCCATTAAACCTCTTTTTCTATATAAATTACCCAGTCTTGGGTATGTTGTTATTAGCAGTGTGGAAACGGACGAATACAGTGGTCATTCACTTAGGAGAAAAAATAGAGGCAGGAAAGCACAGTATGTGTTTGGAGAACAGTGATCAGAACATACTAAAGGTGAACACTTTAAGTAAGAAAATAGTAAGAGAAAGTCTAGGAATGACAGATGGGGTTGGATCGAGTGAGGTATTGAGTGCTAGACAAGGAGTTTGTATATATGAAATGTTGCCCAGTTATCCATAGGATAACATTTTCTGAAGTACTCCTAGAGGCTTTAGTCTCATGGTAGCCTCAGGATAAATTTTTTTAAAGCAGGCTTGAAGAAGGGTGTTGAAGATTCAACAATTTTAGGAAGTTCTTAGCCCTCCTCTTGAGATTCTCAGTGAATTATATTTAGTGTAATAAATGTTTCAAAATGTCCTACGGTATAGAAATCTGCTTAACTACTGTAGTAGATTTAAAAATTGGCCTCGACGATCCAGATCCTAATTCCTGGAACCTTTAAATGGCCAAACTTTATATGGCCAAAAATCTCAGCAAATGGAAGTAAGGATCTTGACTTGGAGAGAATACCCCACATCATCCAGGTGGACCCTAAATGCAATCACATGTATCCTTGTAAGAGGGAAGCAGAGAGAGATTTGACCACACACAGGGAAGGAGTTGGCATGCAGACAGAACAGAGACTTACAGATGCCGGCCTTGAAAACTGGGGAGTAAACCCACGAAAGCCAAGGACGGTCAGCAGCCACCAGGATCTGGAAGAAGCCAGAAAGGACCCTCCCTGTATTAGGGAGAATCCTTAGAAAGGATCCTCCCCGTTCTCACACTGCTATAAAGATACTACCTGAAACTGGGTAATTTATAAAGAAAAGAGGTTTAATTGACTCACAGGCTTAACAGGAAGCATGGCTAGGCGACCTCCCTCAGGAAACTTACAATTATGGCAGAAGGCAAAGGAGAAGCAAGCACGTCTTACATGGTGGCAGGAAAGAAAGTGTGCGCAGGAAAGCCCGTCACTTATAAAACCATCAGATCTCATGAGAGCTCACTATCACAAGAACAGCTTGGGGGAAAATGCCCCCATGATCAAATTACCTCCCACCAGGTCCCTCCCTCCACATGTGGGGATTACAATTCCAGATGAGATTGGAGTGGGGACACAGAGCCAAACCATATCACTCCCCTAGATGCCTGGGAGAGAACTTGCCCCCCACCCCCTACACCTGGAGTTCAGACTTTTCATCTACAGAACAGAATAAATTTATATCGTTTTAAGCCATCCAGTTTTTGGTCATTTCTGACAGGAGTTGAACACGAGGAGAGAGGTTGAAGTAAAACTGCTGAATGACAGTTTTACTTCAGAATTGTGTTTGTCTAACAGTCATATCATAAAAATTATGAAGGTGTTAAATATGACATTAAGAGAAAGGACTTGGCCTATAGGAATTCTGGTGATTTCTCAAATTTGAATTTTGAATTGTCCTGACACAGGCTGACTCTCTACATTAACCAGAACAAAAATATGCATTTTTTGTGTCAAGAACTTTCCCTTTTTAAAAATGCATTTGTCTCTTTTTCCCCCCACCTCCATGGAGATATCATGGATGAATAAAATTGTATATATTTACAATGTGATATTTGAATATATGTACGCATTGTGAAATGATTCAATCAAGCTAGTTAGCATATCCCTCTCACAAACATCATTTTTGTGGTGATAATATTTAAGATCTAGCAATTTCAAGTATACAATGCATAATAATTAACCACAGTCACCATACCGTATGGTAAGCATCCAGAACTTCTGCTGTCTGACTGAAACTTTGTGTTCTTTGACCAACATCTCCCCATCCCTTAGCCTCTGGGAACCACCATTCTACCTACTCTCTGCTTCTATGGTGTATTAGTCCATTTTTACACTGCTATGAAGAACTACCTGAGACTGGATAATTTATAAAGGAAAGAGGTTTAATTGACTCACAGTTCCACATGGCTGGGGAGGCCCCAAGAAACTTACAATCATGGCGAAAGGGGAACCAGGCACCTTCTTCACATGGCGGCAGGAGAGAAAGAGTGAGAGTGTGTAGGAGGAAATGTCAAACACTTATAAAACCATCAGATCTCATGATAACTCACTAACTATCAGAAGAACAGCATGGGGGAAGGAGCCTCCATGATCCAATCACCTCCCACCAGGTCCCTCCCTTGACATGTGGGGATTATGGAGATTATAATTTGAGATGAGATTTGGGTGGGGACACAAAGCCAAACCATGTCATATGGGTTGGACTCTTTAGATTCCACATGTAAGTGAGATCATGCAGTATTTGTCCTTCTGTACCTGGTTTATTTCACTTCACATAATGTGCTCCAGGTTCATCCATGTTGTTGCAAGTGACAGAATTTCCTTCTTTTCCAAATCCTATGTTTATTGCAGCATTTTTCTGGAGCCTCAGGTGTGCCCAGAGCCTAAGTCTGAGGGCTCTGGCCTGGTGTTGGGGTGGCCGTGGGGGCTGGTTCGGCAGGTGCTGGCCTGCAGACTGGGGCTGGGGGCCTGCCTGCCATCTCTCTCCATGCTGTGCTGCTCGGGTTTAGGGGAGGGTGACACAGGTTATGTGAATCTGTCCCTCCCTCTTCAACATGTCCTTTCTTATTTCTGTGCTAACCCCTGGTGCTATAGTCTCTTGCCTGGTTTCCTTAGCTCTTGTGAAGGAATTTTCATGCATGACAAGTTGTTCAAAGTGATGTTTCGATGAAGGAATGAGGACTGAAAAGTCTTATTCCACCCCCTGCTGACATCACTCTCGAGTCCCCCGTTTTGGTGTCAATTCCACTGAAACATTCTGAGCTGTCATATAAGACCCAATCTAAATATTTATTAAAAGTGATTTAAGTCTATGGCTTCTTGACAGAGCCATAGGTTCTTTTCCTCAGTGAACCTGAGACCAATAGTGGGTTTTACATCCTCACAAAAGACAATCAAAATCGAATCCATAGAGATTAGAGGTCTATGAGAAGTTCCCACTCACTTGTCTATGTGAGCAGGCTCCAACAAAGCCATAGACCCCAATATAAAGCATCCTCTCAACAAAAATATGCCTCTCAATGCTGAGTAGGAACACAGAAGGCGTTTCTTTTGACAGATAATTTCCCGCATAAAACAATAGCCCGTACCCATTCAGAGGCTTCAGGAGCAGAGAGCTGAGTGGGTTTTCAGGAACAGCTCCCAGCTTGTAGGAGCCCCAGAGCTGTCCTGGGATATTGGCTGCTGTCTGGTGTTGGGGGAAAAAATGGAACCAGGCACTTGGGCACAGCCCTGGCAGCACCCCCACCTTCCCCATCCACGAGGAATGGGTGCCTATCAGAGGAGATTGGGCATGTTCAGAGTGGTATGGCCATAGACAACAGGTGCCTATCAAACCACGACCCACTCTTCATTGTGAAATGGTGTCTGCAAGCCACTCCCCAGCTCCTAGCATGACAAGGGACCTGTCATCCTCCACGTGCAGCCAGATTGTTATTACATCTGTCTCTCCAAACAGCAACTCTGGGAAGCTAGCTCACCTGAGAATAGTAGCTTCAGGTTGCAGTTCAGTTCAACCTGGCTCACCTGAAGCAGTGTGAGAAATACTTATTTTAACAAACAGGTGTGACAGCTCCTCTGTGTTGATTATCCTCCTCTGGTGGAATCTTCACATTGACTCAGATATGCAGTCATGTCTCTGGCTGGTCATGACTAATGCCTGCTAAAGAAATCTTTAAAATAATACAACCATTAGACAATATAATTCTAATCCAAAACCATTACAGGAAAACTGTCATTCAGCATTTACTAGGATTTGCTGTGTGTCTGCCATTCTTTCTGGATAAAATAAAGGATATAGATTCTATTTATAGAGTAGAATTTACTATTTGATTAACCAGACCCAGTAGACTAAAGTCTTCCTATAACCATATACAATACATTTAGGAAAAATGAGAAAGTGATAAAGAAATAAAGTACCCTAACACAGTTGGCATAAGTAGGTGTTAAGTGGACGACTGATAACAAAGATTTCATTTAAAAATAATTACCTTCTGGAACACATGGACACAGGGAGGGAAACAACACACATTGGGGCCTGTTGGGGGGGCAGGGGAAAGGAGAGCATCAGGATAAATAGCTAATGCATGTGGGGCTTAATACCTAGGTGATGGGTTGATAGGTGCAGCAAACCACCATGACACGCTTACCTATATAACAAACCTGCATGTCCTTCATGGATAACCTAGAATGTAAAATTAAATTTTAAAAAATTAAGAAATAAAAAAATTGCCTTCTGAAGGAGAGAATTGCTAAGTGAGTACAGGATTTCCTTTTGGGTTGTTGAAAATGGGAACTAGATGGAGGTAGTGGTTATACAGCATTGTGCAACAATGTAGGTAACGTTTACTTTAAGTTAAAATTGTCAATTTTTTGTTATGTGAAATTCACCTAAATAAAAAAGTTATTTTCCATATTATGTGCTATTATACTGGGGTCAGAACAAATTTAGTCACACCTTCACAAAACCATGCAACAGTGGTTGTGATAATATTTGCAAGAGGAGACATGGCAAGAATGAGCATCATTAATGGGAGATAAGTATCTGTCACACTCTCCTAAGATAGAAAAACCAGCTGAAACATTTTAAATAGAAGATTAGTATCTGTCACACTCTCTTAAGACAGGAAAGCCAGCTAAAACGTTTTTAAGTTTTTCAACAAGAAATAATATTGAACACAGAGGGTTATTTTCTACTTAAGACATTGTTCACAAGAAAATCCAACTAGTCAAAACAAGGCACATCCCTCAAGGGCTGCCAACATATACCTCATGGTTTTTGGTCAGTGTATCTCCTAAGTTCTTATATCCTAAGCTCTTCAGAAAAGCAAATAAAATAATAATAAGCTTTCAAAAAGAAACAAATTATCTGAATATTTGGGTTTGCCAAAGTGATGAGGAGTAAGAACAAGGTTAATAACATTGACATGGCACTTTCTTGAGTTCTGTTAGTCATTCTAGTAAATTATGGAACCTGAATGGGTCATACGAACCCCAGAATTCGTAGCAGGAAGTTTGATCAGAACATAGGTCAGAAGTGAGGATAGCCTAGGATCCCCGATGTGCTGCTGACATCTGAAGCAGTGTCATCCAAATGCAGTGCAAAATGGCAGACACACAGCAAATCCATAGTAAATCTGTGGCTTCCAGGACAGAGTCCCTAATCTGTGAAGTCTAACTCCAGGTGGTTAGTGTCAGAATTGAATTGCAGCACACCCAGCTTTGAGCAGGAACATGTACTTCAACAGATCAATCCGAAACAATTAAAAAGAATCAGAATACAGTTTTAAAGAGTTTATTCAAGCAAAAAGCTGGGAGTAGCCATCCGGAAAAGAGACTCCACATAAATGGGTCAGCGCTTCAAAGTTAAAAGTTAAGATCTTGCTTATATAGGAAGAAAACAAAGAAATGTAATCAGATTACATTTTCTGTGAGTTACAACCGTGTAATTAGTTGCAGTTTGTTTTCTTTTCCATACAGCTTTTTAGTTCCTTTCCAATTTAAAAGAGTGGGCCAGGCACAGTGGTTCACATCTGTAATCCCAGCACTTTGGGAGGCTGAGGCGGGTGGATCACCTGAGCTCAGGAGTTCGAGACCAGCCTGACCAACATGGTGAAACCCCGACTCTACCAAAAATACAAAAAAAATTAGCCAGGTGTGGTGATGAGCGCCTGTAATCCCATCTACTCAGGAGGCTGAGGCAGGAGAATCAGTTTGAACACAGGGGGCAGAGGTTGCAATGACCCAAAATTGTGCCATTGCATTCCAAGGAGTGAAACTCCATCTCAAAAAAAAAAAAGTGTATTTAACATTCCATCTTAGACAATGTGATAGCCATGAAGTCTTTGCATGACAGAAGTAAGAGAGGAGTTAATCTATAATGAAAATAAACAGTAAGAGCAAAGAGGTCTTACCTGGCACCCTTCAGTCATTTACAACATTTTACAAAACAATGTAGGTAAAGAAGGAGGCTAATCTATAATCTGAAAAACAAAGGTTACTTCTGCCTGGTTATAGCTGTACCTGTCACATGACTGGGCAGTGACATGTAGTACATTGTTGAAGAGGATATAAGGTTCTGGGAAGTTTTTTTTTTCCTTAAATACATAATGTCCTTTCAGATTTGTCAGATGGAATTTCAATCTCCAAGCATTCTCAAATTGTATTCCCTTGCTATAATCATTCTACTAATAATTTATGATGGTTTTTAAATACCAGGAGTTAAAAAGTCTAAGAGGCAAACAGAACGACCTCAGTTTTTCAGGCACTGACACTCTGATCTCAATTCTAAAATGACAAACAACTTAGCACAATTTCTGTCTCACATGATCTGATCCTACATTTTTTTTTTTCCCAGAGCATTTCAGGCAAAACAGTTCATCAAGTTGAAAGAGATTTGGAATCATTCACTATCTGTTGCCAGAAGGATTCTGAACAACAGAAGAAACTGTAAACAAAAAGTAAAGTAATAACTACCCAAGGCCAATATCCAGCTTGTCTAGTGTGAATGAGACCAAATAATTTGGAAAACTATTACGATATCCAGACAATTATAATGATACAAAAAGAGTTCTAGGGGTGAAGTAATATACCTGTGGAAAATACTTGTGGCTTGATTTTTTTAGCTCACCCCATACCTGCTTTATCCTGTCTGTTAATATTTCTGACTTCCTGAAAAACCTTGGAAGTCTAATATCCAACCACTTATTTCTCTTACAGCAAGATCTACACCTGTTTTGCTTCCTGTCAGAAATGCAAACAGGTTGAATGTATATTGTTTAGAACCTTAATATCCATCCTCTGACAAAGAAAAGGTAGAAGAGGATGAGGGAAAGGTGAAAAATCAACCAAAAACATTAGGAATATTTCTCCTGAAGTCACTTCTGTTTTCTCAGTGAATCGAAAAGTATCATTGTAACAAGATAAAACGCATTATGACAACATAAGAAACCTGAAAGGCAGTTGGGTTGGGGGAGACGAGTCTTATCGTTATGGAGAAATTATCATTTTAAATTGCATCGTAGGTTACTATAGAGACCTACATTTAGTGACATGGGAGGAGGGGATGTGGTAAATCCACCAAAGTTGCAGGCCGTCAAAGCCTGAGTCGGGTAAAACATGGGATTCCTTCATCATTCGGGTGCCGCTAGCTGATTAGGAATGGGCATTGTGTTATAAAATGTCATGTTGTGAGTTCTATTAAGTTGCCTCATTAGTCCCTGCCCGCCTTTTAGATAATGTATTAGACGCTGCAGAAGCTTGATGGATTGAGAGGTTGGTTTCCATGGAGATGTTTTGCAGCTTTGCTGGTATTCCCTTTAGGAAGGAAGGAAACTGCCCCAGCATTCAGAGTACACACACACACACACACACACACACACACACACGCACGCACACACACACACGCACTTTTAAGCCAATTGGCTATATATAGCAAGAAATGTAAGACACATGAAAGGGGTTCCTAGGGTTTGGGAAATAAGGACAAGACTGGGGAATGTTTGGGGGCAGAGAAAGTATTTTTAAGCATCTGTAGTGTTTGAATTGTGGTTTGCTGAGAATGAAGAGAATGCCATCTTCATGTGCATTCTGGGTACGAGGCAGATGGGGCTTCTGAAAAGCAATAACTACCCAAGGCCAATATCCAGTTTGTCTAGTGCGAATGACACCAAATAATTTGGAAAACTGTTAATGATATTCAGACAATTATAATGATACAAAAAGAGTTCTGTTGTACCCACTCTGTTGTACCTGTGTGGGTCAGACCTGAGGCAAAGCTAAAAAGCCAGAACCCTCCCAAGTGAGCCAGGGAGACAGTGGAATCACCTCCCAGAGTAACTGTCAGTGTGCATCAGCAAATCATATCAGACCAAAACAACGGCAACAACAGCAATGCCACGCGGTTATTTCTGAACCAGGATGAGGGTGCTGTTGTCAGCTGACTTGCAAAGGGTCATGCACAGGCTAAGGTGAACCTGAGAATACCCCCTCTGTCTCTCAGAGCAAGGAAAATACTTTGGAGAAATGGGGAAATGTCTCCCCTTTTATTCAGGGATCTAACCTCCTCACAGTCTCAACACTACCATTCATTAGCTTTGTGACTTCTGTGTGACTTCAGGAAAGTTTCTTAACCTCTCTGTTTCCTCATTTGTAAAACAAAATTAATATGTCAGTATTTGCATAGCACTTAGTATGCATCAGGGGCCTTTCTAACCATTTTCATTAATTCTTTGCAATAATCCTCTATGATGAATACTGTTATTCTCCTTGTGCTGTGCAGGAGGAGCACAGAGAGGTTAAGAAACTTGTTCAAGAGCACCCAGCTAGGAAAGAACAATCAGGATTCAAACCCAGGCCACCTGGCTGCAAACCCAGTTACCTAACCTCCATGCTGTAGCACCTCGCCGTGATTCTAAGAGCCATTTTTGTTCTAAGAGCTTTGTGTGTATTACCAGGTTTAACCTTGACAACAGTTCCGTGAGGTTGGTGCTAATAGACCTTCAGATGAGAAAACAGAGACACAGAGAAGTAAAATAACTTGCCCACAGCTATCCAGCTACAATGGGAGGGGACTGGAATTTGAACTCATGCATTCAGGCTCTGAAACAATCATCAAGGATCCAAAAACATGGCAAGAGAAACTCCCAGAAAGGGGACAGCTTGTAGGAGCAAATGTGGCCAGGGTCAGAGCATTATCTCTTGGATTCAGGGCAGTTGTCTGAGTTAGGCTGGATAGGGGACGGGGGGCTTGCTTCTCTATGGACCGGCCTAAGAGAAGCAGGATGGGAAGGCCCACCAGCTACCCTCAAGTAGGGCTAGGACCAACTGCACAATCACATCTAACCCCAAACCTGCATGCATCCCCACCATCCACACTCAGCAGAGGCGGCACGTCTCTATGTTCCTTCTCTGCCAAGAAATCCACCGTAAGCAGGTTTCACTGCTATAGCCACAGAGGTGCCCCCTCCGCCAATCGCCCTGACCCAGCCCAGCAAAAATCTAGGCCAATGCCCAACCTTTTCCAGCATCAGGATGATGTTATAACCTCAGACAGGTCACAGACTTACACAAAAGATTGGGCGAGGAGGAGAGAAAATACATAATGACAAAAAGTAAAAGTCAGTTCGTTTGTAAATGTGTGATCTGTTATCACAGCAGCATGTACTCACGTGTAATAACTGCAACACAGACATGAACTGAGAAATGATTTATTTTATCTGCAGGCAATATCTAGAGCATAGAAGCAACCCCAAGCCCTTGCAATAGCTTCTCCCAGATGCCCTACTAGGGATTTTTGAGTTGAACATCAGGAATGTAAACCGGTCCTCCAAAAACACAGAACCCTTACCTATGCTTGGTCCCTGCAGCACCTACCACAGAGCGTGGCACACAGCCAAAGGTCAATAAAGTGCTCCAGAAAAGGCGGCAGGCATTGGACTCCCCAGTCCTGGGTACTCCTCTGAGACCTTCCAGAACAGGGATGCCGCTGACACTGCTCTGGTCTCGGCCCCTGCATCAGAGCTTGGTTCCCTTCAGAGGCCAGCATGGCCAACACCCTTTCCTGTGGCCACCTCAAATGAGGAAACTAAAAATGGGTGTTCAGGGAGCAGAGCCTGTATTCACCAAGACACCCTGCCCCTCTACTGTCTGCTTCAGAAGATGCACTCTTAGCGCTTGTTGCAGTCGCGTCACTGCCTGCCGTGTCATGCGCAGGGACGTACATCTGGCCTCGGTGAACACCTGAAATGTCCTGGGTACACTCATGTTTATTCACATATGGGGGCTAAAGCCAAGGGCTCAAAGCTTTTATCAGCCTCCCAAAGGGAAACAGCTGTAGAAAACTGTGAGATCCCTGCTCCTTCGAGTCTGAGCCTTCATCATACTCACCTGACATACTCAGAGGGGTTCTTTCTGCTCCACCAGAGCTGTTCCATAGACCACCTTGTCTAAGGCCAAGTGGACTGGATTAGATGATCTCCCTGGAGCACCAAGTTTTCAGGACTTCCGTGGAGGACCAAGTCCCCAGAACCCCACTATGGGGGCTCAGCCCTGCTACCTGCCCCGAGTCACTTGTGGGACTGACACTGACAAAGTCTGGTGATTACACTGCACAGAGCCATCACCACTCCAATGGTCACACCCATTCTTCTCCCCCTCCCCAAGGCTTTCCATCTTTTATTTTTAATTTTCGTGGGTACATAGTGGGTATATGTATTTATGAGGCACATGAGATGTTTTGACACAGGCATGCAATGCATAATAATCACATCATAGAGAATGAGGTATCCATCCTCTCAAGCATTTATCCTTTATGTTACAACAATCCAGCAATGCTCTTTTAGTTGTTTTAAAAGGTACAATTCAATTATTATTGACTATAGTCACCCTGTTGTGCTATAAAATACTAGTTCTTATTCATTCTTTCTAATTATTTTTTGTACCTATTAACCATCCCCATCTCCCCCCAGCCTCCCACTACCCTCCCCAGTCTCTGGTAAGCATCCTACTCTCTATCTCCATGAGATCAATTGTTTTGATGTTAAGATCCCAAAAATAAGTGAGAACATGCGATGTTTATCTTTCTGTGCCTGGCTTATTTCACTTAGCATAATGACCTGCAATTCCTTCCATGTTGTTGCAAACATGGACGGAATTTTTCCATCCATGGAAAAATTCTCGTTCTTTTTTTTTTTTTTTTTTTTGAGACAGAGTCTCGCTCTGTCACCCAGGCTGGAGTGCAGTGGCACATCTCGGCTGACTGCAAGCTCCGCCTCCTGGGTTCACAGCATTCTCCTGCCTCAGCCTCCCCAGTAGCTGGGACTACAGGCGCCCGCCACCACGCCTGGCTAATTTTTTATATTTTTAGTGGAGACAGCGTTTCACCGTGTTAGCCAGGATGGCCTCGATCTCTTGACTTTGTGATCCACCCGCCTTGGCCTCCCAAAGTGCTGAGATTACAGGCGTGAGTTGCCACGCTTGGCCGATCTCATTCTTTTTATGGCTGAATAGTATTCCATTGTGTACGTATACCACATTTTCTATATCCATTCATCTGTTGATAGACATTTAGGTTGTTTCCAAATTTTGGCTATTGTGAACAGTGCTGTAATAAACATTGATCACTTCAGGTATCACTTCAGTATACTGATTTCCTTTCTTTTGGATATATACCCAGCAGTGGGATTGCTGGATCATATGGTAGCCCAATTTTTAGTTTTTTAAGGAACCTCCAAACTGTTCTCCATAGTGGTTGTACTAATTTGCATTCTCACCAACAGCATACAAGGGCTCCCTTTTCTTCACATCCTCGCCTGTCTTTTTGGATATAAGCTATTTTATTTGTTATTGCCTGTCTTTTGGATATAAGCTATTTTAAATGGGGTGAAATGATATCTCATTATAGTTGTGATATGCATTTATTTGATGATCAATGATGTTGAGCATCTTTTCATATGCCTGTTGGACATTTGTATATCTCCTTTTGAGAAATGTCTATTCAAATCTTTTGCCTATTTTTTGATCGGATTATTAGATTTGTTTTCCTATAGAATTGTTTGAGCTCCTTACATATTCTGGTTTTTAATCCCTTGTCAGATGGGTAGTTTTCACATATTTTCTCCTATTCTGTGGGTTGTCTCTTCACTTTGTTGATTGTTTCCTTCATTGTGCAAAAGCTTTTTAACTTGATATGATCCCATTTGTCCATTTTTGTTTTGGTTGCCCATGCTTGTAGGGTATTACTCAAGAAATTTTTGCACAGACCAATGTTCTGGAGATTTTCCTCAGTGTTTTCCTGTGGTAGTTTTATAGCTTGAGGTCTTAGGTTTAAGTCTTTAATACATTTTGATTTGATGTTTGTATATGGTGAGAGATAGGAGTCCAGTTTCATTCTTCTGCATATGGATATCCAGTTTTCCCAGAATCATGTATTGAAGAGACTGTCTTTTCCCCAGTGTATGTTATCAGCAACTTTGTTGAAAACGAGTTCATGCAGGTGTATGGATTTGCTTCTGGGCTCTCTATTCTGTTCCATTGATCTATGTGTCTATTTTTATGCCAGTACCCTGTTGTTTTTGTTACTGTAGCTCTGTGTTATAATTTGAAGTCAAGTAATGTGATTCCTCCAGTTTTGTTCTTTTGCCTAGGATAGCTTTGGCTTTTCTGGGTTTCTTCTGGTTCCACATACATTTTAGAATTTTTTTTTATTTCTGTGAAGAATGTCATTGGTATTTTGATAGGGAATACATTGAATCTGTAGATTGCTTTGGGTAGTATCGACATTTTAACAACATTGATTCTTCCAATCCATGAACATGGAATACATTTCCATTTTGTGGTGTCCAGTTCAATTTCTTTCATCAATGTTTTATAGTTTTCATTATAGAGATTTTCACTTCTTTATTTCCTAGGTAATTTAATTTTATATGTGGCTATTGTAATTGGGATTACTTTCTTGATTTCTTTTTTAGATTATTCACTGTTGCCATGTAGAAATGCTACTCATTCTTGTATATTGATTTTGTATCCTGAACCTTTACTGCATTTGTTTATCAATTCTAATAACTTTTTGGTGGAGCCTGTAGATTTTTCCCAATGTAATACCATATCATCTGCAAACAAGGACAATTTGACTTCTTCCTTACCAATTTGGATGCCCTTTACTTCTTTCTCTTGTCTGACGGCTGTAGCTAGGACTTCCAGTACTATGTAGAATAAAATTGGTGAAAGTGGGCATCCTTGTCTTGTTCCGGATCTTAGAGGAAAGGCTTTCAGTTTTTCTTCATTCAGTATGATACTAGCTGTGGTTTTATTATATATGGCTTTTATTATGTCTAGGTATATTTCTTCTATACTCAGTTTTTAAGGGTTTTTATCATGAAGGAATGTTGAATTTTATCAAATTTTTTCTCAGCCTCAATTGACATGATTATATGGTTTTGTCCCTCATTCTGTTGATATGATGTATCACATTGATTGATTTGCGTATGTTGAACCATCCTTGCATGCCAGGGATAAATCCCACTTCGTCATGATGAGTGATCTTTTTAATGTGTTGTTGAATACAGTTAACTAGTGTTTTGTTGAGGATTTTTGCATCAATATTCATCAGAGATTTTGGTGTGTAGTTTTCTTTTTTTAATGTGTCTTCACACCCATTTCTTAATGACAGAGTAAGATGACCCTTTGGTTAAATTCCCAGTTCTAGTGCCAGATTAGATGGCCACTTTTCTTTTCTCAGCTACCATTTTCTAGAAAATAGGGACTCTCTAGGATTCAAGAATTCCTTGCCTTCCTCAGCACTTTCAGCTCTAAGAGGAACAACCAGGTGGGACTCCCCTGAATCACTGCAGCTGGTGATGGGGCCAAGGGAGTGATTTTAGCCAAGAGGAGTCCCCAAACACTAGGGTAACAGGACTTATGATTTCCTCAGAAAGTGTGGTATAACCAGAGCATTTTTATTTATAATTAATAATCTAATTTACATGGTTTCCAATTTCACGGGGGTCAGAAGGACCCCAAATGGTCTAAATTCTTTCAGTAGTTTAGCTATTCCATGTCTGAGACTATTCCCTTCTTTCTACCTAAACAATATAAATATTTCTGCCATTTAATCATCTTGCCCAACTGGCAGTGTTGCAACTTATCTTTTTGGGATGGCTTTATGTTTGCCAAATGTTTTTCCAATGTTATGTCTTCTGGTGTGTTTCCCATGTCTCCCCTTTCATTGCATAACCACCTCTCCATATTCCCTAGGTCTGCATTGCCATATTAACCAGAAAACTGCTGCAGAATTCGTTGCTTTCTGGTATGTCTGAGGTTGAAAAGAAGCTCCCTTAAGCCCTCCAAGATCATTTAAATTCTAGAGCTTGGTAGTTATGTCAGTTTTATGGCATATTCCACTGGTAAAAAAAAAAATTCACAAATTTGAAGTGGGGAGGACAAGCTCTAGCTAATTAGTATGAACAAGACAAACTCCCTCTGGAAAAGCACTGTTTATCTCCATTCTCAAACAGAACACTTCTGACACCAGATGTGCAGGCTCTTTCCCACATCCACCAATTCTCTGACACCAGCTCAGCATCCTGCAATTTAATGCAATTCTGACATATCTACCTGGAGTTAATGTCAGCTCCCACAAGTTAAGGCATCAGCCCCTCAAGACTGCCCCCACTTTTGATGCCAATCACAAGTCCTGGACATCCTCCCATACCTCTGACTGGCTATAAACCTGGGGTTCTTCTGATTCTCTCCAGTTCAATAATTTGCTGGAATGGCTCACAGTCCTCAGGAAAACACTACTTATATTTACCAGCTTGTTATAAAGGATATTATAAAAGATACAGATGAGGAGATGCACAGGGTAAAGGTTAGAAAGGTCTGAGAGCAGGGGTTCCTATCCCCATGGAGTTGGGGTGCACCAGCCTCCTGGCATGGGATGTGTTCTTGTTCACCAACCCAGAAGCTCCCTGAACCCTGGAGTTCAAGAAATTTTATGGAGGCTTCATAATGGAGGCATGATTGATTATTAACTCAATCTCCAGCCTCTCTCCTCTTCCCGGAGGATGGATGGGTTAGGGCTGAAAGTTCCAAGCTTTTAATCATGGTTTGATCTCTCTGATGATCAGTTCCCATCCAGGAATCCACCAAGAGTTGCCTCATTAAAATAAAATTACGGGAAATTACAAGGATTAGGAACTCTATGTCAGGAACTATAGTCAAAGACCAAATATTAGAACAAAAGATGCACCTTAGCACCGCTATTGCTCAGGAAATTACAAGAGTTTAAGGAGCTCTGTGCCAGGAACCAGCAATAAAGGCTAAATACAATATGTATATCTTATTATAAATCACAGTATCACACACCCAGTAGAAAAACTGGCAAAATATTCAAACAAATCACTCACAAAAGAGGAAGCACAAATGATCAAGGGTCAATAGACACATGAAAATAACGTCAATATCAAAAGCCAAAGAAGAAATACAAGTGAAATCACTGCTATAAGCTCATATTTAAATGGTCCTGTTAAATGGGCCAAGATTCTATACCTTGACAACACCAGGTGGGTAACGGTGGCAAAAACAGGTACATTTTATTGACTGTTCATTGACAAGTAGATTATCCTCATCTTTTTGGAGAGCAGCTTGGCAATGTGGATCAAACCTTGCTCTTGCCCTTACAATCCCCTTCTAGCCCTGCCTCCTAAAGCTGTAATTGACCAGTTGCACCAAGAGATGTATGCAAGGTTGCTCATTCCAAGTTTGTTGGAAACTGACTAAATTTCCATCAATGAAAAATTAATTTATTTAATTATGGTATAATCATTCAATGGAATACCATGAAGTCATTTGTAAGGGTGATATGGACACAATATATGGAAAGATTTGCACCAGATATAGTTAAGTGAAAAGGGTGTTATGTATAATATGATCCTACTTGAAAAAATTTTGTGTGTTTGTGTGTGTGTGTGCATGCACACAGGTGTTGTTTATAATCTGGAATGACTCTCACTAAAATGTTACATTGTTATTTCTGGTGGTAAGATATTTTACTAGTTAGGTAGGATAGGCTATGCTGCATTGAAAAATAAACACAGATATGTAATGATCCAATACAATGGAAGCCTATTTCTCACTCACATAAAGTCCAGTGACAGGGGTGGTGGGTTGGAAAGGAAATTCAGGCTTCTGCCACTTTGTGCTTTATCATCTCCAGGGTGTGGATCCCCAGGTCACTCTGGGGGACCTGTCCATGACAGTCTGACATGGCAGAGAGAAAGACTATGCAGTATCGCAAGGAAGGCTACAAATGAATCAGGCCCAGAAGCAGCACACATACCATGCTCATGTCTACCTACTACAAGGGAGGCTGAGATACCAGTATAATTGTGTCCCCACAGGAGGAGAAAATGGAGATGATGAATAGCCCAAATCCCAGATACTGAGATTTTTACTTTTTATATTTTTTCTATATTGCTTGAGTTTTCCAAACAAACTTACATCATCTTTTTAATCAGAAAAAATTACAGCAAATTTCCTTTCTAAGAATAATAATATCTTTTTTATTTTATTATTATTATACTTTAAGTTTTAGGGTACATGTGCACAATGTGCAGGTTTGTTACATGTGTATACATGTGCCATGTTGGTGTGCTGCACCCATTAACTCGTCATTTAGCATTAGGTATATCTCCTAATGCTATCCCTCCCCCCTCTCCCCACCCCACAACAGGCCCCGGAGTGTGATGTTCCCCTTCCTGTGTCCATGTGTTCTCATTGTTCAATTCCCACCTATGAGTGAGAACATGCGGTGTTTGGTTTTTTGTCCTTGCGATAGTTTGCTGAGAATGATGGTTTCCAGTTTCATCCATGTCCCTACAAAGGACATGAACTCATCATTTTTTATGGCTGCATAGTATTCCATGGGGTATATGTGCCACATTTTCTTAATCCAGTCTATCGTTGTTGGACATTTGGGTTGGTTCCAAGCCTTTGCTATTGTGAATAGTGCCGCAATAAACATATGTGTGCATGTGTCTTTATAGCAGCATGATGTATAATCCTTTGGGTATATACCCAGTAATGGGATGGCTGGGTCAAATGGTATTTCTAGTTTTCTCAGATCCCTGAGGAATCGCCACACTGGCTTCCACAATGGTTGAACTAGTTTACAGTCCCACCAACAGTGTAAAAGTGTTTCTATTTCTCCACATCCTCTCTAGCACCTGTTAAAAGGGGAGAAAGACTAACAAAGAAGAGAGAGAGAGAAAGGAAATCAAGACCTTCTCTCTGGGAGAGCTAGCCCAAGAGAATAAAGAAGCTTGAAGTCTTGCAGAGCCAATGCCCCTTTGTATGTGACTCTTTTGTCCCAGGGATGAGTGGCTTCTGTCTCTGGGTGTTCATGCCTCCAATATCAGTCCATAAGACCGGAGAATGGAATAATCTTAGCCCTTGAAAATGAATCTTTCTGTTCTAACATCTTAGATATCTAGGGCCTAAAGCAGAACATTATTAAATTTGATTTTTAACACAAGGAAAAGTCAATAGCGTTATTATTGGATTAGCTGCTATCTTTTTTAAAGTGCACTCAAGGCCAGGCATAACCTCATCAAGTGGATGATTCATGTATCTTTGTGCATTTCTGAGAGGAGGTGGTAGGATGTTTGCTAACGTTTTCCATTCAAGTTTTCAACAGGCCATCTAACTTTTAGTGTTATTCTTGCCTGTGACTTTTATTTAAGGCAGATTATGATTCTTTAGCTCCATTTCTCAGAATAATATGGCAAAGCTAACTTGATAGCCCAGGACCAAAATAATCAGCCCATTTGAGATCATGCACAATGTTATGATTGACACTTTTAACACCTTGCTCGTATGCCCTACAACAGGACAAATTCCACGGATTTCGTTAGGTATTCTGTTAAAATGTATTTGGGGGTTATCACACTAGCAGGTTGCTGTTTATTATTAAATTCATAGAATAATTTAAGCAATTAATGCTAATCTTATCCTATAGTAGAGGTGTGGCTACCTTGAATTCTGCAGAGGAAATATTTTTCTAGAAGAGAGGGTCACAATTGGCCATAAGTGGCTGGTAGCACCCAGGACATATCCTCTGCCAACTTTCCCTGCATGTCACACCAGGACATGCTCGCCCCCTATCTGAACCCTGGATGCCTGGTTGGTTCCCAGACCCTGGCAGTACATGGAGGTGCAGGCTACTGCCACATCTACTTGTCAGTCCTAAGGGAGGCTCCAAGGCACAACCATGTCTCCCAACAGAGCTCTGGGCCTGCGGAGCAAAGCCATGAAATGGGTATAAGATTATGCATTGATTAGGAACAGGGATACATTCAGAGAGAGTTCAAATTGCTAGATGATATGTTTAGATAGATACCACAAACCTAGATGGCATAGCCTGCTACTCACCTAGGCTACATGGTCCAGCCTGTTGCTCCTAGGCCACAAGCCTGTGTAGCATGTTACTGCGCTAACTACTGTAGGAAATTGGAACACAATGGTATTTGTGTGTCTAAACAAATCTAAACATAGAAAAAAGACGATAAAAATGTGGTATTATAATCTTACGGGACCACTGTCGTCCATCGTCAATGACAGAAACGTTGTTATGCGACACATGACTGTGTTCTTAAATATGACAATGGACATTGAATCTCTCACCATCTTTGAATTTCAGGAAATACGTGACTTTTACATTTTAGAAACTCACTCCAGGGCTAAACCATTACATTTCTTTTTAATGGTTTGATTTAATTATAGCTTGTACTTTTCTGTTCATATTTCTCAAAACCATGGAAAAATGGAATAACTCATTCCCAACCATAGCAGTAATTACTCTAATGAAAATAATTTTTGCAAAGATTATATAACATTAGCTAACTACACTCAATGTTCCCGACATATGGGGTAAGTGTAGGTCATTAGCTGTTGAAAGCTTTCCCCAAATGCTCAAATAGGTTAGCAACTTAAAAATAAGCCAATCTTCATAGCAATTTCCTGAGAAAATGGAGAAAGAAATTGAAAAACAACCTTTCTAAATTGTTACAAAATTTTTAAAATAAATGATGCTGAGAAAGAAAATGGTTTGCATATCCTATTGAAAGTTATTCCCATTTACTACTCCCAAAATAATAAAACAATATAATCTGTAAGAATGTTATATGCCTTTACAGAAGGTTTATCAGTCACTTCACTGAAAAAAACTGAATGCAAAAAATTCCTTAGTTAAGTTTAAGGTTTAGTTATTTTTATGTTTCATTTATTGGTTATATTACTCATCTCAGCAATTTATTACTCTCAAAAGAGCAAAAATACACTGCACACATTAAAATATTATCGTTGTTCTATTGATCACAGAAAATGTTTATATTTGTGAATTTAGATCAGGATTGTATAGTTAATGACTAGAAAATGGAGATAATGAATTTTTCATTCACAACTTGAGTTTGTAAGGTAAGTAGATCCTGATCACTTGCCAAATAAACTTGAAACGTCCTCCTGATATTTGAAAGCTGTCTGATCAATAAATCTCCTCAGCATGATCAAGGGGAGGAAGACCTTACAATCATAAAGACCCGGGGAGGGGGGAATTCTGGCTTTGCTATTTACTACGTGACCTTGGACATCCAAGGTCCAGAGGCCCATCTCTGTTTTCATGCCAATTGTCTATTTTGCAGAAATGTGGATAAGAATGCTCATAACATAGGGTCCTTGAGAGAAATAAATTATACCACATACACAGTGCCTGACTCATAGTAGGCTCTCGAAGAGGCTCATTTCTCTTTCCTATCTCCTTTCATTAACTCAGAGTTGAAATATCTGAAGTAAATCCTCAGTCCCCATCCGCTATCTACCTGGGGTAAACAACTTCATCTCTTGCTGAAGTTCTCACTTGTAAAAGCAGGAACTAACTATTCCATTTTTTATCAGCCAGTTGCTGGGGCTTCTTTCCATGTCAGCCATCACAGATCACATAGAAGCAGAAGAGTAATTCACTCAACAAACATGTTTGGGCTTCCGTGTGCCAGATTTCATGTTAGAACGCTATATTAGTTTCCTAGGGTGACTGCAACAAACTATCACAAAGTGGGCACTTAAAACAACAGAAATTTATTCACTTGCAGGTCTGGAGGCCAGAAGTTTGTAATTCAGATGTCAACAGGGTCATGCTGTCGCTGAAGGCTCTAGGGGAGTGTCCTTCCTGGCCTCTTCCGACTCCTCGTGGTTGACAGAGATCCTTGGCATTCCTTGGCTTGCAGACGCATCACTGCAGCTCTGCCACTGTCATCACACACCACACATCTGCCTGTGTGTCTTCACATTATCATCCCTCTGTGCCTTTCTCTGTGTCCAAATTTACCTCTTCTCATAAGTACACCAGTCATTGGATTAAGACACTCCTTAATCTAGTCCGAACTCATCTTAATTTGATCACTTCTGCAAATGCCTTATTTCAAATAAAGTCACATCCTTTTGGTAACACAAATCAATAAACAAGAAGGGAACACAGCAGGGACTTCAGGGGGCTCATGGCCAGAAAGGCAGGCTCAGAGAGCAAAGAAATAAAATTCAGGATGCAAAGGGTAGCAAGAGACCCTTGTCCCAGCTGCTCAGGAAGTGATAACACCAAACGCCAAATGGGGAAGGAAGAGGCAGCTCAGATTGACAGAGCGTATTTTTTTTATTTTTATCATCATCTTTACTAAAATAATACAATTTAAGATTCAAGCAGAAGACAGGACCACCTTGGAACCCCAGTATCACTCCCCAGAAGTGATATTTTTCTCATACAATTATTTTCATTGAAATATAATTCACATATCGCAAAATTCACACTTGTAAAGTATACAATTCAGTGTGTTTTGGTGTCTTCACAAATTCATGCAACCATCACCACAATCTAATGCCAGAACATTTCTATCACCCCAAAAAGAAACTCTGTCTTTATTAGCAGTCATTCCACCTGCCCCCTTTCCTGGCAATCCCTTATCTCTTTTCTGTCTCTATGGATTTCCTGTTGTGAATATTTCATATAAATAGACTTGCACAATAGATGGTCTGTTGTGTCTAGTTTCTTTTATTTAGCATAATGTTATCAAGGTTCATCCATGTTCATTCCTTTTTATAGCTAAATAATATTCCATTGTACCACATCATAATTATCCATTCATCAGTTTGGTTGTTTCCACTTTTTTGGCTGTTGTGAATAGTAGTGCCTACTCACTATAGTAAAGACATAGACTCAACAATGCCCATCAATGATAGACTGGGTAAAGAAAATGTGGTACATATACACCATGGAATACTATAAAGCCATAAAAAATAATGAGACCATATCCTTTGCAGGAACATGGATGGAGCTGTAGGCCATTATCCTTACCAAGCTAATGCAGGAACAGAAAACCAAATACCGCATGTTCTCACTTATAAGGGGGAGCTAAATGATAATACATGGACACACAGAGGGGAACAACCTCTACTGGAGCCTATTAGAGGGTGGAGGATGGGAGGAGGGAGAAGATCAGGAAAAATAACTAATGGGTACTAGGCTTAATACCTGAGTGATGAAATAATCTGTACAACAAACCCCCATGACACAAGTTTACCTGTATAAAAAACCTGCACACGTACCCCTGAAATTAAAATAAAGTTAAATAAAATAAAAATTAAAAAAGAATAGTAGTGCTATGAATATCCACATAGTAATTTTTGTGTGGACATAGGTTTTTAATTTTGGGGGGTATGCACCTAGGAGTGGAACTGCTGGGTCATGTGGTAATTCAATGTTTAACCTTTTGAGGAACTGCCAACCTGTTTTCCACAGAAGCTGCACCATTTTACAATCCTACAAACAATGAGTGTTGCAATTTCCCCACATCCTTGTCAACACTTGTTATTATCTGTCTTTCTGATTAGAGTCATCCTAGTGGGTGTGAAAGTGGTTTTGATTTGCACTTCCCTAGTGACTAACGATGCATCTTTTCTGGTGCTCATGGCAGATTTTAATATCTCCTTTGAAGAAATGTCTATTAAAATCCTTTCCCCATTTTTTTAACTGGGGGCAGAGTATTTTTGCTCACAGGGATTTTGAGCTCAGAAATAAAATTCAAAGTGGGAGACTTGGATAGAAGCGAAGGGCAGGCAACATCAGCAAAAGCTTTCCCCAAAAGGACGCCCCTTCTGTGAGCCCTCCCCTCTATCCAGTGTCCCTGGTCCCATGAAGGAGTGAGATGGTGAGGACACAGTCAAAAGGTGAGCCCAACTCAGATGGAGTCATGCCAAGAGAGAAACAGACGTAGGGAAGATAGTGTTATTTCTTCATGTGGAAGGTAGGTGTCGTGTGTTCATTTTAATTTGAAGCAAATAGGACAGCACTTCCTCATCGTTTTGCCTGCTGGTGTGTGCCCACCATGGACCCCAGTGGGGCAGGGAGGAGGGCACTTCTCTGCCAATTTGAGGGAATAATGGTCAGTGACAGTGGTGACGTCTGCTACAAAATCACCTGGAAAAGCAAATTCCTACGGTGAAATACTGTCCAACACTGTCCTAAGAAGAGACTTTTAAGCCAATTAGAGTGTCAGGAATTATGATAAATGCTCTAATTATGATTCTGGCCGACTCACTATATACCATGAATCTCCTGCCCCAACTCCAGCCCCAGCATCACCACAGACTTATTTCCGTGGTGGATTGATGTCTTGTTCTACTAAGTACATTTCAAGATCACGCAGATGCTGTGCTGTGTGGATTTGAGGTCATAGATTCTTGGCCAGCACTGTCTCTGAAGGAAGGCACTAAAATGGGAAATTAAGCTTCAAGGCCTCCTCCACAGTTCTGTGGCCACTGAGATAGAATAGCCTCTGACAGGATGATGGGTGGGTGTTTTGCTCCCCACCGCATTCCTGTTCTTCCAACCAGCCCTAAGGAAGAAAACATAATTTTCAACGTCATTGTCAAAGGCTTAGAATTTAACCAGTTCGCTGTGCGTTGACAAGGATGAGCCAAGGACGTCAACTATTTGAAATTTACCAGCCTATAATGGTCTTCAAAATCCATGCCAGGTCGGAAAGCCCTGCTGAGACTGGTGGGTAAAACAGGTCAGGAGTGGAGGATCTGAGTGAAATACCTAGGGCAGAGGATCCTAGTGGCAGGAGAGTCGAGTATTTATTTATACCTGCAGTGCTATCACCGCAGTGTTGACTTGATTCCTTAACTATGCTGACCTTTCTGCTCCCCACTGATGTGTTTCCAAGCAGGTCTGTTTGCCCATGGTCTCACGTGACCCTTAAAATGATTTAAATGCTCTTTTCCAGAAGGATGGCTGTAAGTCACCTAAATTTATATTATTTTAAGCCACTGAATTTGTAACAATTTGTTACAGCAGCAACAAAAACCTAATATAAATGTATTCCCTTTGAGTTTTTGTGGTTAGAAGTCTAACATGGGTTGGCCTGGATGGGTTCCTCCTGGAGGCTCTAAGAAAGGAGCCATCTTCTGGCCTCTTCTCACTTCTAGAGGTGGCTCCTGACCTGATTCTTCATCTTCAAAGCTGGCAGCATAGCCTCTTCCAATCTCTCTCTCTCCACTTCCATCATCACATCACCCTTTTTCTTTTCTGTCCCTCCCGCCCTACCCTTATAAGGACCCTTGTGATTATATTGGGCCCTCTGGATAACCCAGGACCATCTCCCCTTCACAAGAGCCTTCCTTTAACCACATCTGCAAGACCTTTTCACCATGTAAGGAAACAAATTCACGGGTCCCAGGGGTTAGGAAGTGGACATCTTTGGGAGGACATTGCTTAGCCTGCCACAGTCTCCCAGGCCTGGACACTGGGAAGCTTGGGGTGTTCCCCCCTGCAACAACTGCTTCTTGCTTAGAGGGAAGGCTAAGAAAGGACCACAGGATGAGGAAATGAATGGAAGGATGCCTGGATCCTTCACCCCCGCCATGCTATATCCTTCTCATCATAGGTAGTAATAGGCTCTGAAAGTTGGTGATGTCAAAGCCCTAAATGTGCCCTGTTTCTGTGGAAATAACTAAGAATTTGGCATTGGCTCCAGCTTCACCACTCACAAGTTGTATAATTTTGGGCAAATCACACCTTCTCTGAGCATAGTCACTCTAACTACTACTTTATCAACCCACTTTAGGGACAGTATCTTTCATGCCTACCACACATGGTGACTGGGGGGAATAATGTTGAGATAGTTGATGTTAAGGGGCTTTGAGAAATACCAAATAAAATGCAAGTGGTTTGATGCCATCTTCCTTGTCCTCACCACAGTCCTCTGAGTCGGGAAAGGGGTCCACACCTCCACTTCAATAAGGATGATTTTTTAAAAAAAATCACAGTGCTGCCTAGGAGGGGAAATGCCTTAGCCAGTCACCCAACACACATAGGCTCAGCCTCCAGCAGCTTTGAGGTGGGCAGAAGGAGAGGATGAGAAGTGGGAAGGCTGGGAGAAGCTGAGTCAGGGAGACATATTCGCTCAGCGTTACCCAGTGATGGAGAAAAGCACAAGTAGAGACCCAAGGAGGGTGGTGAGCCCATGCCCTGGGGCTGCCCGTGAGGGTGAAGTGGAGGGAGACTGGCACACAAATAATTGCAGTTGTGCATGGCAAGCAAAGTGATGTGAAAAGAGCTGGGGTCACCAGAGAGGCAGGACAACCAAGCGTCCCAGAAGTGCTGCTTGAAACTGTGCAGGATGGGGTTCTCCAGATGGCATCTTGGAGAAAAGCATGCGGCAGGGGCTCTGCAGAAGCCCCAGTGGCTCCTTGGAGTTTTGCACACAGTGGATGCTCCAAAAATGTTCATCTGGTATCAAAACCCAGACAATAAATGAAGCCAAAAATCGGGGCTGTTTGCAAGATAACTCAGGCAAAATGGGGGTGTGCTTTTATCCAAAATATCCAGGAAACTGAGGCCAAAGGGTTGGGTTCAAAAATCCAGATGATATGCAGAGAACCCCAGCTATCTGATTCTGAAAAGTCAGAAGGTTGAGTATGTTCGGTCAAAGTTGTCCTAAACAAGGATACTCCCTATGAACTGGCCATCTTTAACAACGAGTCCCCCTCTCCCTTATCCCCAACATCCGTCTTCCCTACCTCTCATCAACCTCCGCAGAGGCATCCAGTTCCCTGTAGTTCAGTCTCTCTCTGAGTCAGGATCCTACCCGATAATCCAGTGCAAATGCCTTGCAAAGTAAGATGTGCAATCTTGTGACAGATGTGGAATTTCATAAAGTCATGGGCTGGGAGGTTGGGAACCTCCGCCCCTCTTGGCGGGGGGTACATCACTGACAATGATGATTTAGTAGAGACGAACTCATTCCCTACTGAAGAGGAGAAAATGATCAGGAAGATGGCAAACAGGATGTGCCTTCAGAGAGAATGATATGCTTATCAAGGGTTATCAGCGGCCCTTCAGGAAATAAAGCCCCTGCCTGTCTCTGCAAAACCGACTTTCTTTATGGTCTTGCTGATAAGCTCTCTGTATAAAAGAGAGGCTATTTAATTGTACTAATGTGGATTTTTGCCAGAAAAATCACCCAGATGAGAAATAATCAACACTTAATTCCTGCTTATTTTCTAAGAACGGTAGCTTGGTTAGAACTACGTCCAAAATTATGTTTAATATCAGATAACTTATTTTCAGAGTTTTTGTTTCAGTTTTTGGGATAAAGTCCCCACAATGTAACACTGGACATTTTCATTGTCCAGCATAAAGTTTGGGTCCCTATTTTATTTAAGTGGATTTCTTCATGGCCTTTCTCCAACACCCTGAGGTCATCCCACGCCACATCCTCTCTGTCTAGAACCCAGTGTGGACTCAGTGGGCAACTTGGTGTGTCATGCTAGCTCAGCCTCTGCCCAGCTACCTCTGAAGAAGTCTCCATTCCAGGGAAATAGGGCACGGTTTGTTCCAGCCAAGTCTTCCTTTTGCTCTTGATAAATGCTCCATTTCCAACTTCTTCCAGGACTTTAGCTGAGAATTATAGCTGTGGAATGAGCCACTTCTTACAAATGCCTCAGATACATTTGTCTGCAGTTCATGGTGTTATCCTAGGGGTGAGGAGTCCAAGGTTTAACAGATAGAGGCATTTGGGTGCCTCTCTTACTAAAAAACACATTTTCATAGTTTTTTGTAGGAATTTTTGAAGAAATTCATAGATAATAATTTTAAAATTGTAACTTTAAAATAGAATCCATAGGAAAAATAACCAGGAAGACAAATCTATTGTAACAGTGCTCTCTCAAAATTAGGGCTTCTGGGAAGATGCCCAAACTAAACCACATTTTAAATATATATAAGTCAAGGATAATCAGTGAGGCTTCTAAATGTCATATAAGAAATGTAACAGACATTCTGGAAACCTCAAACATTTCGAGAGAACTTAGAACAAATATTTGAGTAGGTATTTCCTGAGTGTTTATATCTTTTTACAAAATGGGAATATCTGATTTATTCACACAAAGTTTTGTGAACTAAGCTGCAGTTCACTGAGGCATTATTTTTTCTGCCTCAAGCAGAAGAACTTGCTCTTGCCTGTTGACCCATAATTACTGTGTAGAGGAGACTCACTTTGCTCAACGGAGTGAAAGAAGGAAAGGAATTCACCCCTTCCTCTCCTGCCTCTTCCTGGGTCATGCTGAGCTAACAGATCTCCCTGACCCCAGCTTCTCCCAGCCTTCCCGCCTTTCATCCTCCCTTTCTGCCCCCTTCAAAGCTGCTGGAGGCTGAGCCTACATGTGTTGGGTGACTGGCTAAGGCATTTCCCCTCCTAGGCAGCACTGTGATTTTTTGAAAACATCCTTATTGAGAACAAGATCATGTCCTTTGCAGGAACATGGATGGAGCTGGGGGCCATTATCCTTAGCAAACTAATGCAGGAACAGAAAACCAAATACTGCGTGTTCTCACTTGTAAGTGGGAGTTACATGAAGAGAATGCATGGACATGTAGAGGGGAATGGCACACACTGGGGCCTAGTGGAGAGTGGAGCATGGGAGGAGGGAGAGGATCAGGAAAAATAACCAATAGGTACTATGTTTAATACCTGGGTAACAAAATATTCGGTACAACAAACCCCCGTGACACAAGTTTACCTATATAACAAACCTGCACATGTGTACCCTTGAATTTAAAAGTTAAAATCCTTATTGAGATAATTCACATGCCGTACGATTCACCCATTTAAATTGTACAATTCAGTGGTTTAGGTGTATTCAAAGATATGTGTAACTATCACCGAGATCAATTTTAGAACCTTTCTATCACCTCAAAAAGAAGCCTTGTGTTCTTAAACTATCACCTTCCCACACCTTTTCCCCGGCCCCAAACAACCACAGATCTACTTTCTGTCTCAACAGATGCCCTATTATGAATGGAATCACACCATCTATGGTCTTTCCTATCTGGCTTGTTTCACTAGGCATGTTTTCAAGGTTCATCTATGTTGTAGCACAGATCAGTACTTCATTCCTTTTATGGCTGAATCATATTCCGTCCTGGACAGACCACATTTTGTTTATCCACTGATCGGTTGATGTACATTTGAGTTGTTTTCACCTTTTGGTTATTGTGAGCAACACTGCCTTGGACGTTTTTGTGTGAGCATATGTTTTCTTTCTCTTGGGGCAGCACTACAGGGTAACTGCACTCAAATGCACAGCTCCCCAAAAGCCTTCCTAAGGAAATACTAGGAGTGAGACTCATGGGACATGAGGCTAGTGGGAAGGAGGACTCAAAGCAGAGCTAGTGCCCTTCCTGGGCTTCTCCAGAGCCCATGTGGAGGGGCTGCTTGCTCCGCTGTGCCCCAGGCACAGAGGAATTTGAAAGCACAGGCTCAAGTCCTGCCTCAACCACCCACCAACCACGTGTTCCAAGGCCAGATACTTCCCATCTCTAGGCTTCAGTTTTTGTGTCTGTAAAACAGGGCTTGTAATAAATGCACTTTCTGGGATTGTTGTTGTATTATTAGAATGATAAAACAGGGAGCCCTTAGCACCAATGCTCAGTATAGAGGAGTGACCTAAAAGGAGTTTGCTATAGCTTATCAACTAGGAAGCTCTAGACTGCAACTGAGAGAATGTTTAGCTAAAGTGATATCAATATTGGAGGATTGTTAATAAGTCCCACCTACAAAAAATCCAAAGGTAACTTGTCCAGTTCAGTAGCTCAAAATTCTCAGAGCTTGCCTGGACCCATTTCCCTTCATTTCTTCTTTCGGCCTTCCCCTCTTGGAGGTAAGAAGGCTGCCATAGCTCCACACATCGTATCCTGCCTCAACCAGGTGCAAACGTGGGATGGAGCAGGGAGAATCCCCTCTTTCATTTCACCTCTACCCACTTATCTGCTGACCTTCCCTTAGGACTGGAAAACACAGGCAACCCCGAGTTGTGAGGATGTTGAAAAGTGAGTATCTGGCACTCATCTCTGTTGTAGGTGGTAGACTGGTTAGAAAAAAAAAAATGCAAACCACAGGCGGGAAAATGTCAGTTGGTAGTGAGTCAACAGTGTCACTGTCATGTTTTCATTGGTGTTATAATTCTGTCAGGGAAATACAGCCGTATAAAGATAGACTCTAAAACTTGGTATTCTGTCATTCCCTTCACTCCAGACACTGGGTTTTGTGGATTGTCATGATTACATAAAAATTACCTTTGTTTCATTGTTTATAACTCACACTAAATCCTTGTGCATGGTAACTACAAAAAGACACAAAAGGCCAGGCACAGTGGCTCACGCCTTGTAATCCCAGTGCTTTGGGAGACCGAGGCGGGCAGATCACTTGAGGTCAGGAGTTGGAAACCAGCCTGACCAACATGGCAAAACCCCATCTCTACTAAAAAGACAAAAACTAGACAGGCATGGTGGCACATGCTTGTAATCCCAGCTACTCAAGAGAATCACTTGAACCCAGGGGGCAGAGAGGTGGCATTGAGCTGAGATCAAGCCACTGCACTCCAGCCTGGGCAACAAAGTAAGACTCCATCTTAAAAAAAGAAAGAAAGCCCAGCACTTTGGGAGGCCGAGGCGGGTGGATCATGAGGTCAGGAGATCGAGACCATCCTGGCTAACAAGGTGAAACCCCGTCTCTACTAAAAATACAAAAAATTAGCCGGGCGCGGTGGCGGGCGCCTGTAGTCCCAGCTACTCGGGAGGCTGAGGCAGGAGAATGGCGTGAACCCGGGAAGCGGAGCTTGCAGTGAGCCGAGGTTGCGCCACTGCAGTCCGCAGTCCGGCCTGGGCGACAGAGCAAGACTCCGTCTCAAAAAAAAAAAAAAAAAAAAAAAAAGAAAGAAAGAAAGCCCACAAACACTCAAAGGAGACCCCAGAGAGGCCAACTGCAACTGTATTGACAAATAATACAGGGACACAGGGACCCCAAGTTATAGTAACAGGGCTACATCTGGGAAGTTGGTCTTCCAGGAGGCCCAGTTGAGGTCCAATGAGGGGAGGGTCCCACTCTGACCACCCTGAATCTCAGTATGAGAACCAGGAGGGACCTCAGAAAAGTCTCATCCAAGCACTTGATTGCAAATAGGACAAAACCGAGGCTAACAAGTGAGTCAGATCCAACTAACTCGCAAATGAAATGGGGCCTGGTCCCATCTGCCACCCTTCAGGTCAGGCTACTGGCCTGGAACCTGCCACCTTAGGCTTCTGAAATACCAACCACTTTGCCGCTTTCAAAATGAAGTCAGTCTTTCCTTGGGCTCACGGGGTTGATCCATTTTAATGGAGTCATTTATTTTAATATCACTCTAATTTCGCTTTGTTTCCAACACACCAAGCTCCTAAGAACAGGCAGAGCGAAGGCTGTTGATCCAGCTGAGAACAGTGACTTCAGGCTTGCTCATTCATCTTGGCATCGTCCTCGCCTTTTCACCTCCACGCAGGGCCATAAAAAATGGCAGGGAGAAAGCGCTGGATGCAACCACGGGCTACGGCAAATGTAAACCCAGAGCATAGAAGCCGATCACAGCGCTGCTCTCTCCCAACAGACTCCAGTCCTCCATGGCTGCCCTTCCCCTCAGGCTCCCATAGAACGGATTATTCTTCTACATCTCAATTGCAAGGGGCAGGATGAGACTCTATTATAATACATCAAAACTGGGAGAAATCCCAGGGTTTCATGCCCAAGATTGTGGCTAAGGAAAACTCCTTAACCTCTCATGCCTGTTTCCTCATCTGTAAGATGGGCATAATAAAAATAATACCACCTCAAAAACATTCTTGAGGCCCTAAAGAGATTATTTTTCTTTATTTTCTTTTTTAACCCTCAGAAAAAATGTGGTTGCATTCTATGTGGCAGGGTTTTTTTTTGTTTTTTTTTTTTTGAGACGGAGTTTCCCTCTTGTTGCCCAGGCTGGAGTGCAATGGCATGATCTCAGCTCACTGCAACCGGTTCTCGCCATTCTCCTGCCTCAGCCTCCCGAGTAGCTGGGATTACAGGCACCCACCACCATGCCCGGCTAATTTTTGTATTTTTAGTAGAGACGGGTTTTCACCATGTTGGCCAGGCTGGCCTCGAACTCCTGACCTCAGGTGATCCACCTGCCTCGGCCTTCCAAAGTGTTAGGATTGCAGCCATGAACCACCATGTCCAGCCCTCTATGTGGCAATCTTACTTTCTTTAGGACATGACCCAAGGAAATCCCATATCTTTCTTAAAAAGGGAAGCCTGAGGGTTAGCTGAGCCTCCTCTTGCCCTAATTTTCCTCACCCCAGCACCTCCTGCTGTACACATTGTAAGTGACCTTCCATCACCCGAAGGCATGCTGGGGAGGACACCTCCACACAAATCAATCTTCTAAAACACAGAAGTTTACCTCCATCTGCGCCAACAATTTGGTTTCATTTCATTATCCTGATGGAAGTTTTTCTAAAATGTGTTCTGTTTCCTCAACTTCTTTAGTTTAGGCTAAGTATAATTTTACCTTCTCTTGATGACCTATTATCTGTATTATGAATATACATTAAACTAACATGTAGAGCAATGTTTGAATTTTAAGTTTTTGGTTACCTACTTCATACCAGCCTTACTGTCTCTAAGAGCTAGGGAAGTGGAGTTTTACATGATCTTTACCCAGACCTCTAACTCATTCATGGGCGGAATTGCATTCTTCTCGTACATGCCCACTGCCTTAATTTTTTTTTTCTTTTTCTATTTTTTTTCTTTTTTATTTTACTTTAAGTTCTAGGATGCATGTGCAGAACGTGCAGGTTTGTTACATAGGTATACATGTGTCATGGTGGTTTGCCTGTCAACCCATCATCTAGGTTTTAAGCCCCACATGCATTAGGTATTTGTCCTAATGTTCTCCCTCCCCTTGCCCCCCAACTCCCGACAGGCCCCGGTATGTGATGTTCCCCTCCCTGTGTCCAAGTGTTCTCATTGTTCAACTCCCACTTATGAATGAGAATATGTGGTGTTTGGTTCTCTGTTCCTGTGTTAGTTTGCTGGAGAAAGAATTTTTTTAAAAGGTTATTACACAGCAGCTATGAGTGCCTCACCTAATAAAATAAATACGTTGTTGAAAGTCATGTGTAACGATAAAGAACTAACAGCTAACATTAGTGAGGTCTTTGCTTTTCCCAGTCTTTGGTTTAAGCACTTCATATACCTTATTTTACCTAATTCACATAACAACCTTGTTGAACTGGTATTATTTTTATTATGCCCATTTTATAGATGAGGAAACTGAGGCATGAGGGGTTAAGGAATTGTCTCAAGGTTAGACAGCTAAGAAGTGGAAGATCTAGAAATCCCATTCAGATAGTCTGGTCCAGAGACATGGCCCCCATTAACCACTATCTATGTATGATGAAGGGTCACAACCAACAGATGGAGAAATGAAATGAATTTAACCAGCACTTTAAAACAGTGAAGTAGAGAAATATGGAACAGAAAATCTTTCAGTGCAGAGTACATGTTAAGGAAAAAAGAACTCTTCCATGAAACTTTTGGTTTGGGTCCATACACATACACAGACACACACACACATGCGTGCACACACATATATGTGAGTGTTTCTACTGAGTCACAATAACAAATATATTTCTTACTGTGAGGTATTGTCAAAAAAGTTTGAAAAGTAATGCACTAAACTACATGGCATTTTTAAAATAGATGCATTATCCTTTACTTTCATCATGCCTGTGTCATTTCCTGCCTTCCATTTATGGTAAAGGCAAATGGTATTAACTTACTTAAGCAAACTTTCACTTCACATGGTGAGTTAGGCACCGGCCCTTGCAGAAGCTGTGTGTCCATGTGTGTAAGATCTGAAGCTCTGAAATCAGACTAGCCTGAGTCTCAGCCCCAGCTTTTATATATACCATGGGCCAAGTGCTTAACACCCCTATGCCTCAGATTGCCATGGAACTAGCACCACTCTTGCATGATTCTTGCCAGGACCAAAAGCAATAATAACACACATCACATGTTTAATAGAGAGACTGGCATTTAGGGAGCCTTAGAGGCTTGATAGCTCTCACTCTTTTTTTTTTTTTTTTTTTTTTTTTTGAGATGGAGTCTCGCTCTTTCACCCAGGCCAGACTGCAGTGGCGCTATCTTGGTTCACAATAGCTCTCACTCTTTAACCACGCCTTTTGATCCAGAACAGATGTGCCAAGAAAGGGATGACTTTTAATTCCGTTGTGTCTGCCTGTGCCACCAAAGGCATCTCAGCCGAAGGCTGAAGGGTTTTGGGGGAGAGAGGTGACTCATGGTGTCACAGGTCTGGTTGTCTTCATAGTGTGGGCCCTCTGGTTGTATTAACACCCACTCACAACCTGCACCATTCCTCCATATGTAAATGAAATAACCTGCTTTGTCTGACAAGCCATGAGAAGTCAGCCTTTCAAAAAGACAGAGCTGTTATTTAATGGATACGGAACATTCTAGAAATAACACTTCAACCATGAAGATTTTCTAACTCTAAATTCCTTCCAGCTTCATCAGGGTTAGGCCATCCTATCCTGATACACAGAGAGAATGACTTTATACAGGTTCTGATGAGGTCTCAACATGGAGTTGACAAGCCCTAGGATCAGAGTCCCCCCGGAGCACCCTTAGCTGGTACATCTTTAGAGGAGGGGCCTCATGGCTTACTGACTCACCTTGTGACCAAGCCTCACACAACACAGGGCCTTGACCAATCTATGTAGTGGAAGTAGCAGAACTTCCAGGAACCAACAGAATGTACACGTAGCAAGCAACAGCAACTAACTCTCATGAAGTGCTTCCGAGCTTACCAGTGTGCTTTTGTGTGCCTTCTGTCCTGTAATCTTTACTGGAAAACGCCCCTTGATTAAAATGGGCAGATCTCGTCACAGAGATCTGCTCCCTAGACTCACTGTGTGATATTGGGGAAGTGACTTACCCTGGCTGAGACTCCCGCTCCTTATTCAAAACAATGCCAATGTAAACTAAGCCTACTATGAGGAGTGGATGAGACAATAAGCATACAACCCTTAGCATATAGTAGTTGCTCAATAAATCTCAGCCACTTGCTCCCTCTACTTCCTCTCCTACCCTACTGGACTCTAGAATCTGTGCTTTTCCCATAATATTGCATAAAGTTTTGCTTTGTTGCTGGAAAATTTTAAACATCCTGATCTTCAAGGAAATGGGCAAAGAGAGAGATTGTGCTTTTCACAGTCGGCCACAGAAATAAATGCAGAGAGGGGAACTGAGTTTAAAGGAAACAAAAATAATTAGTGTAGTGATTGATTTGGGCAGCTAGTGGCCCAGCCAGCATATGAACTGAGATCCACTGAACTAGAGATGGGCAGGGTTTGCTGGAGACTTGAAGCTTGTGCCAAAACACCACTAACTGACCACAAAGCAGCAGATAGGAGGGTTGCAGCTGATGCACAAGCATTTGCAGCCCATGGGCTGAAGTATTTCTTCACTTTCTTTCTCTTATTCTGTCTTCTGATAAACCTACTGGCCCAGGAGAATGTGCACCTCTGTGTATTCGTTAGCAATTAAATAGACCACATTACAACTGGACCGCTGATGGAGAAAGTCACATCTCTCCAATATCAATTTAAAAACCCTGCTCAATTCGTTTGAAGGAAATAAGGTGGGAGGATATAACAACATTTTTATCGCTAGAAGAGAAGAATTGGAACAGTTCTAGCATCAAGAAAAGACAAATATTTATGGTGATGGATATTCCAAGTACGCTGATTTGATCTTTACAAATTATATGAATGCATTAAATTATCACATGTGCCCTGAAACTATGTACATCTATTATGCATCAATAAAAAAGAACATTTTTAAAGCAGGCTAAAAAAAAAATCAATCTTTGCCAACAGATTAGGAAAGCAATGCTGGCAGGCATATTTTATTCACCTGCCACCTTAGAGAACTATTAGAAAGGAAGACAGGTGGCCAATAAAATCTCCCGTCAAGAAAACCTCTTCAAATATCAGACAGCTATGGTCAAAATCATTCTAGAATTATATTTTCTTTTATGTACGCTGGTTCCTTCTTTTATTAGAACTAAGATTGTGCCAACAAAAATATTGCTGACCCAGGCTGCCCTCCCATCTCTAAAGGGGCTCTTGAAACCTTTCTTTCCTCTTGTCAGGGGACAATGTGCTTGTTCTCCCAGAGCCCCGGCAAACCTGGCCCCAGCTCAATGTGCAGGTCACCCCTGCATGGACCACAAGAACTGTGACGGGGGATAGTCAGATGATGAAAGTGCTTTTCTTTCCTCAGGGTGAATCTGGTTCACAAACCCCAGGTCAGAGACCTTCAAGAGTAACACTATCATTTTTCTTCTTTTTACAATACACAAGGAAATCTATTTTATTAAATGCCCCCAAATGTAAGGTTAATCAGAAACTGCCCCAGAGGAGAGAGAAGGAGCTGGAGACGTATTCAAGGACGCAGGTCCTCCCATGACCTCATGCCTGGTCCAGCAGACACGGTGTGGCTGGAGGACAAGGTCCCTCCCAGGGCCAATGTTCCAACAGCACCATGGAGCCAACACTTTGGGATGAAGCGCCCAGCTGGATTGTGAGACAAATTTAAAAATAGATGGTAAAGATCTAGCAGAGGAGAAATCACAACGTAAATTGGCTTTTGCAATCCAACTGTGATAAACAGTGGGAAGTAATGGAAATGTAATTGTGGAGCCCTTGGATGAGGTATTAAACTTTGAACAGGGAGGATTCCCATTAGCAAACACCAGTATGATCCTTTGGGACGGTGGGCATGTGATTGTGATGTGATTAGCTTTACTGTTTCAGTCCTGTTTACAAAGTTTTCTCCAAATCCTTGCAAAAGAGGAGCAGAAATGAAGACATTCTCTGGCAAGATATCACTCTTGCATTTTGCAGAGACTATAGTCACAGTCCCTTAGTCACATATAGGTCCCCTACAGGTAGCAGAAATCCACACTGGTTCTAAATCGATTGGTTTTGTTATAAAAACCTACGCAGAGTGAAGGCACTTGGCCTTTTAATCCTGACTCTGCCCCCACTGAGGCCTGTGAAACTTTAAGCAAGGTTATTTAATTTCTCTAAACCTCAGGTTCCTTATCTATGAAATGGGGATAATAATGGTGCCTGGAACATAGGGTTATTTTGAGAACTAAATAAGACAATTCATGGGAAGTATTCGGTATTGCTGCCTGGCAAAAAGAGGGCAATAATAAATGCTAGTTATTGTTGGTTTTTAGTTTTGTGTGGTGGTAAACGACAGACAGATGCCCCCCTACTGCCTGCTTTTTCCATTTCCTTTTCATCTTCCTTTGATCCGCATCTAAGAAATTTGTATCTTCTCCTTGATGCAGCCAAAGCTGAAGAAAACATATCTCCTAGTCACAATTCAAAGTGTTGCAACCCTGTGCCCCAAAAAGCACTAAGATTGATGCTGACTTCAAATGCAACAGAGTCTTTAAACATGGAATGTAACATTTAGCCTTGAAGGGATGAGTTCTGTGGACCACTTGAGTCTGACCCATCAAAGACAGACTAGACTGGTCAGAGCTGAGACTAGACCTTACTTTATCCCAAACTCATTGGAAGTTCGCGATGATCCTTCCCCATCCTGCATAGATCTCTGGCTCTTCCCCCAACTCTATCACTCACACACCTGGGTATGTAGCGGCCTTTGAAGTCACAAGTGCTATCAAGTGTATAGAGCCACTGACCTTCCACTCAAACCACAGACTAATGCATATGTGTCCAAAGGGGCCTAAGACACCTAAAGTTCTCACCTAGAGGAGAATTATATCTATCTGCATGACTTAGGAGGACTTTCTGCTGCAAGTAATAGAGACACTGGTCGACAGCGCACTAAACCACAGGGAGGAGTATGCTTTCCATGCAATGTAAACTTGGTGGTAGAAGTGATTGGTATTGATTCAGCTGTGCAAGGATGCCGTCGAAGACCTAGACTCTTTCTCTCATCTATGCTAACCTTAACAAGTTAACCTTTCATCCTCAAGTGTGTCATCTCAGAGGGTGTATTAGTCTGCTCAGGTTTCCATGACAAAATACCATAGCCTGGGTCATTTCAACAACAGAAATCTATTCTCTCACAATTCTAGGGGCTGGAAGTCCAAGATCATGGTGCCAGCATAGTCAGGTTCTGATGAGGGCTCTCTCTCTCTAGCTTGCAGATGGCCACCTTCTTGCTACATGCTCACATGGCCTTTCCTAAAAGAGATCTCTCTACTTCTTATAAGGCCACCAATTTCGTTGGATTAAGACCCCACCCGTATGACTTCATTTGACCTTAGTTACCTCCTAAAAGCTCTATGTCCAAGTACAGTCACACTGGGGGTTGAGTCTTGAACATGTAAATGTGGGGGAACACAATTCACTCCATAAATAGGGTGTAAAGGCATTGTGTGGTCCAGGAATTGCATCTCTAGTAGGAAGAAGGAGAAAAAGAGTACAAAAAAATACATGTCCCTTTTTCAAGAAGAATTTTTTGACCAACTTCCACTTACATTCCATGACCATGCCTAGCTGCAAGGAAGACTTGGAAGTAAGAGAGAGGAGACTGTGGAAAAGAGTCTTGAGAGTAGTGAAATAATAAACTTCCAGAAGAAGCTTCAATCTTTTCGATGATGACTCTACAATACCGGTCATTTTTTTCCTAAAGGGGGCTCTTGATAGAGAACAGAAAACCACTCTTAGGTACTGTTAGTTACTTTTGCTGCATAACAAACCATCCCAAAAATGAGTCACTCAATAGTCAGCAGTTTGAGCTGGGCTCCTCTTGGCGATTCTTCTTCTAGTCTTGGCAGGGCTCACACATGCGTCTAGGTCAGTGATCAAGCTAGCTGCGGCTGGCTGGGATGGCTTATCTCTGCTCCACGTGGTCTCTCATCCTCAAATGGGCTAGCCTGGGCTTATACACATGGCACCTGGGCAGATTTCTCAGAAAGGAAAAGAACTGACACACCTTCCTTTTTCACTTCTGCCACACTCTGCTGGCCAAAGAAAATCACAATGTCAGCTCAGATCCAAGGGATGGGGAAACAGAACTGTCTCTTATTGAACACATCTGTAAAGCCACATTGCACAGGTCATAAATATGAAGAGTGGTATAAGAGCATTGTGGCCATTTTTACAATCTTTCACAGGCACATTGGTCAAATTATAGGAAGTATGCTGAGCAAATGTGGGGGGACGAATAAGAAGGACATTATAATCAGTATTTTATTGATTTATATTAGTAACCACTCCCAAAGAAAATTAGAGGGAACATCATACACTATATCAAAAAGATCAAAAAGAAGCTCCATGTTCCATGGCTAGCTACTGGAATTGGGCCCAAATTCTGTTAAATCTTCATAGATTCACCTTTCATCAAGGCAAGAATGACAAGTACTTTGAAGAATATAATTTGTCTAAAAGTAATGCAGAACTCTGGAGGAAAACTAGAAATCCATGAACTGCTTCATTATGTGATCAATAACCACTGACTGGTATTAAAACTCCATGAGCAAATGCCTTCAGCAATAACAGATCTTCCTTCTCAAATTCTGGTTTTTGCACACAATAGGTACTTGAAAAATATGAAAGCCAGATCATAATCCCATTAGCTTTCTGTCCATGACCTTAAAGAAGATATCTTCCTATCTGAGATGGTAATGGTGCAGGGATAAGGGTAGAGGTTCTCCAACCCTATTATTATTAATTAAAGTCACTACTGATGGAACCATGACCTTAAAGAAAACATTTCTGACCTTTCCATGACTAGTCTCAAACTTGTAACTTTAATTAATATTTCTCATACTTCCTTTTCCAGTTCTTTCTAACTCCATTTCAGATTTGTATACTGACTTTTTTGTAGGCCCATTCCCTTGTGCTTTCAAAAGTAATCAGTATTAGATTCCCATGGCATTAGTCAGCACCTTGTCTGTTTTTTCCCAGCATGACTGTGTCCATTGAAATTCACTTCAAGTTCCCAAACAAATACATTCATGTCCTTGGGGATCCCAAGGCAGATTGGCAGACCCATCCTCAGATATGCCACTTTCAAATTCCATGAATGTGGCTTAGAATGTAGAAGACTGTCAAAGGTCATCTCCTTTCAGAAGAAAATAAGGTTTCTTGCCTTTCTTTGACGTGCCCCACTGTAAAAACAGTCAGCATGTATTATGAGATCCCCATTAAAAGAAGAGTGAGTATGACCCCTGGCCAGCCTCCCAAAAGGTGTCATGGGGCATCACTGTGTGTCCAGGGATGTAGAGCTCCTTGAGGAACATGAAGCTGTTATACTATTCAGCCCCCTCTACCCCCAGTTCCTTCAAGTCTCAGCTCTTCCTAAGAAGTTTTCCAGGCAAGTTTTTATACAGCTCTAGTCAATCAGTTTCACAGACTATGTGAGATGTCAAATTAGTTTCACAGTCTACGGGAGATGTCAAATTTCTAACCCCCTGCTCATTTGTTGTTTTTTTTAAACTATTTTCTGAGATGCTGGCCTGAATTCAGAGGACAAAAGAGAACAGAATCCAGGTCAACTGAGACCAAAAGTAAAAATGAGTAACATCAACTCTGATTTGGGGAATGTGTTTATTAGGTCCTACTATGTGCAAAGCAATCTCTGTGAGGGGCTCAGAGGAGTGCCTGGCTTTAAAGGAATTTATTGTCTGCTGGAAAAATAGAATATAGACACAGAGAAAGTAACTCTAAACAATCATAGCTAAAACTTGAAGCCATGGTTTACTGAGTCCCTATTTTCTGCCAAGATCTGTGTTAGGAACTTTATGTATCTGGTCAGGTATAATCCTCACAACGGCCCCATTTTAAAATGAAGATACCATGACTCAGAGAAATTAGATAAGATGTCTAGGGCCATGGTGTTAGTAAGTAGCAAATTCAAGAGCCAATCTCTGCTGAATCTCGCTGTAAGACTCAGTCTCTTTCCTCCATGCTAGAACAACAGGTGGCCTTAGCCAGGCAGAGATGAGAGCAGAAAAGTGGAACCATTTGTTGCATATAGTCTTTGAGGCCACCAATCGGGGTAGCTGCACTCATGACTGTTGGCCTATTGTTCAGCTGAATTGTGGGGCACACGACAGTGTCCAGAGGCACCTTATTTTCTTCTGAAAGGAGATGGCCTCTGACAGTCTTCTCCATTCTAAGCCACATTCATGGAATTTGTAGGTGGCATATCCAAGAGGAGGGGCCTACTCATCTGTCTTGGGATCCCCAAGTGGATGCCCCAACAGGAAGAAGCACATGGGGTTCAAGTGCCAACCTCTGTCACTTGGTCCACCTGAGTTCTGAGCACATTTCTAGAATACCCTCTGCCCCAACCCTTCCTCCCTGTGGAAGCTCATATTTCTAGTTTAAGTAGCCAGTGGGTCAGCATCCTATCACCAAGACAGGAAGCATCATATCACCAGGAGGGCAAAGAGGCTTCATGTTCTGTGTCAACACCAACTTCATCTGATTAATATTGACCACTTGGAGGGCTAGGCTGTAAAGAGTTGTAGGACCAGATCAGGCCTCATCAGGCCTTTGCCCAATCAGGCTGCCATAACAAAATATTTTAGACTGGGGGACGGATAAACCACAGATTTATTTCTCACAGCTCTGGAGGCTCCGAAGTCCAAGATCAAGGCAGATTCTGTCCCTGGAAAGGGCCACCTCTCTTACTCAGAGATAGCATCTTCCCACTGTGTCCTCAAATGGTAGAAGAGGTAAGCAAGCTCCCTTGAGCCTATCTTATAAAGGCACTAATCTCATTCATTAGGCTCCAATCTCATGATCCAATAATCTCTGGCTCTACCTCCTAGTACCATCACCTTGTGGATGACGATTTCAATGTGCGAATTGGGGGAAGGACACAGGCATTCAGACCATGGCACTACTTTTCTGACCCCCAGTTTCTGCACCTGTGCAATGGATAAACCTTCCTCAAAGACTTGTTTTGGAGATTAGAAGAAATAATATTGATAATGCATTTGTGCATTGTCTCAGAGAATGGACACTCAATGAAGGATACTATTACTTGCTAATAGTGCATCCTGACTAATGCACTTGTTATTCTGTGCTAATGACATATCAACAGCATGTAACAATGATGAAAACCCAACACACTGAGAATACAGTTTCCATGTATGTCATTCCCAGGCATTAAGACATGGATGCCTGTCAGTGATAAGAGGATCACGGTGAGCCTTTGGAAACTGCCACGTGGTTTACTTACAGACAAGGTGGTTTTTCCTCAGCTTAAGCAGTGCTTGTCTAAAATCTTCTTTTAAATGAGTTTTGAACATCTTTTATAATTCTCAGAACTCACTTGTGGAAGTTTTCCTGGTCCTCCCACTTCTTGGGCACAAAAAGTCACATTAACAGTGATAACCTGAAGCCTCAGGTTCTCATCCTCATGGGCCCATGCTGGATCTCAGCCTCCACAAATGTCTCTGAAACTCCCAGGAGACTGTTGGAATCTCAGGCAACATTGTTCACAAGTGAATCCACTCCTGTCAGCTGTTGTGCAGCTCCCGAGGCTCTGCAGTGACCTGAGGTCCCTCCTCTGCTCCTCTAGTTCTACTTAAAACACTTGCTCTCAAAAGCAGGCAGACACGAGTCTGGGGGCTCTTAGGAGATGAATCTCTGTGACATTCTCCAAATTGTGCTCGGAGCCACCTGTACCCTTGAGGGGTGAGGCTCCAAAGAGCTGACAAACAGATTCTGGAGGAAAATATTAAATTCTCCTGGAAGAACCATTTTATGAGAATCCTGAGAGCATTTCTAAGAGACAAGTCATAACAAGCAGATGGAGAAACCGGGGTGCTTGTTAGGAATTCTAACGTTGCTCTGCCAGCAATTCACACATCCCAGGAGCCAGGCAGGCACAGACTCTATGATGTGAAACACAGACCCAGCCGCTGGGCCCCCAAGCAGAGGGGTGGTAAGAGAGAGCTGCCTGGGGACATTCACTTCGACTCAGTGCAGTGTGACAGTTTGCAAGCTCATGGGGTGCTGGGAGCTAGGAAAGGCCCCATGCTATCCAGGTTGAGGTATCTGTCCTGGGAGACAGGTGTGAAATCAAATACCTATAACATGTGCAAAGACCGTATTTCCAAATAAGTTCATATTCTGAGGTTCTAGGTGGACATGAACTTTGTGGGGACAATGTACAACCCACTGCTCATGGCTTTGTGACACCCAGCTTACTCCAGCCTCCAAGGCAGAAGGCTCGGTCTGGCTGAGGGCAGGGAAAGGCCTTTGGACAAAGCAGTCTTGCAACCAGGCCTTAGCCTGGGGTGGGACTTTAACTTGTGGGGCTGGGAGAGATGGCTCCAGGGTAGAGGGTCATAAAAAGCCAGCAAGACTCGTGCAGCCGGGCACACAGTTTGGAAAAATCGGTGCCCTATTGAGTGAGTAGTGAGAAGAGTTTATGGTGCATGGATGGGAGCATGAGAGACCACAGGAAAGGGAGGGAGTGCATGTTGAGGGGCTTAAATGCCACAAAGAGGTGGACTCAATGGGACACAGCTGTAGGAGTCAGCTCACGTCACTATAACAAAATACCCCAAACTGAGTGGCTAAAACAACAGACATTTATTTTCCCATGGTTCTGGAGGCTGGAAGTCCAATATCAAGATGCTAACTGATGGATTTTTGGTGTGCAGTCTCTTCCTGGCTTGGAGACAGCCACCTCCTGCTGTGTCTTTTCATGGTCTTTCTTCGGTGCATGTGCACAGACACACAGAGGAGAGATTCAGAGTTGTCTGGTGTCTCTTATTAAAGTACACTAATCCTAAAAGCTCAGGACCCCACTCTATGACCTCACTTAACCTTAATTCCCTTCTTAGGGGCCCCATCTCCAAACACAGCCACACTGGAGGTTAGAGCTTCAACATATGAATTTGAACATTCAATTCATGACAAAAGCAAAGACTTCAAGCAGGGAATTGATACCCTCTAACAAGAGATTACAGAATTCCAGGTATTCAGGTTGCAGGCTGGCAAGGTGTATTAGTCCATTTTCATGTTGCTGACAAAAACATACCCGAGACTAGGAAGAAAAAGAGGTTTAATTGGAGTTACAGTTCCATGTGGCTGGGGAGGCCTTAGAATCATGGTGGGAGGCAAAAGGCACTTCTTACATGGTGGTGGCAAGAGAAAATGAGGAAGATGCAAAAGTGGAAGCCCCTGATAAAACCATCAGATCTCGTGAGATTTATTCACTACCATGAGAACAGGATAGGGGAAACCATCCCTGTGATTCAAATTATTGTCCACCGGGTCCTTCCCACAACATATGGGAATTATGGGAGTACAATTCAAGATGAGATTTGGGTGGGGACACAGCCAAACCACACAGATATTTTGCTGATGCACGCCCTCATCCGTGGTTAGCTTCTGCATCTCCCTCAGCGTGCATCAAGGATGTGAGTCTTGTGAAAGCATCGCTGGGTGAAGTCAGGATTCTTGAGCTCAAGGCCTGGTCATGGCATTGACTCCTGTGTGATCCTAACCTCTTGAGAACTCAGCCTCCTCCTCTGTAAAACTAAGGATTTGAGCTTGACAGTCTTTTGGGCATCCCATAATTCAGGGAGGTGGTTTCAGAGGTGGGCCGGGTGGCAGGAGGAAGTCAGCCTGGAATTAAAATGTTTGGGGACTAAGACAAATTCAGACAACTGGGAGGTGAGTCAAGATGGGGCAACCATGTAATTTATCACACAAATCAGGTCACATTTCAGACTGAAAGGGAGAGCTTGTAATATTAATATTTACACCAAGACAACAGGCATAATCCAGACTGCCCTGGGCACCTGAGTGTAGATAAATATCCAGCTCCACACTTAGGTGGACAAGGGCAGAGGCAAGAACTAGAAAAGAGGTGTCCAACTTCCCCAGTAGGGCCACAGCCTGACTTGTCCACCCTCTTCTTCCTTGATAAAGTTAGTAGCAATACAGATTTTCTGTTGCATAGATTAGAATATGAGGCAAAAATGAATAGGGTGGCTGGAGAACCAGAATTAGGGTCCCCTGGGTGGAGGGAGTTGTGGCCATGAAGGAGGAAAGCCACACGGGGGAACCAGCCCCAGGAGAAAGGACAAAGGACCAAGAGGTTGCAGTCAGCAAGCGTGGCCCTAAGGGAGCAAGTGGGCACTAAGTATATGTAAAGGTTTGCAGGTGGTAAGCATTTACAGGGAGGGGGGTGTGTTATGTGTTTATATATTATGTGTGTACATTAGTTTCCTGCTGATGCTATAACAAACTGCCATGCATTCTGTGGATTAAAGCAACAAAAATTTTGCTTCTGCCAGTTCTGGAGGTCAGAAGTCCTAAGATGAAGGTGTCAGTAGGGCCAGCATTCCTTCTGGGGTTTCTCAGGGAGGACCCTTTCCCTTGCCTTTTCCAGCTTCTAGAGGCTACTTGCACTCCTTGGCTCATGGCCCCATCACTCTGACTTCTGTCTCTGTTCTCTCTCTCTCTCTCACTCTCTTTTCCCACCCCATCCGTCTCTCTCTGACACTAACTCTCCTGCCATGCTCTTGTAAGGAGCTTTGTGATTACACTGGGCCCACTTGGGTAATCCCGGATAATCTCCCCTTCTCAAGGTTATTGACAGAATCACATCTGCAACGTCCCTTTTGCCATGTAAAGTAACATGTTCACAGGCTCTGAGGATTGGGATGTGGACGTCTTTGGGAGGACATTATTCACCCTACCTACCTATATGTAGGTAGGTAGGTAGGTATTTCCAGGTGATAGCTATTTGTTCTCTGCCTCTGGGGCTGTGACAATACCGGGCTTTGAACTGTTAGCTATGACCAGGGAATGATCAGAGGTTACATAGTTGAGGGAAAGGCCACAGAATCTTGACCTAAAATACTATGCAATCTTATCCAAGTTACTTACTCTTTCTAGTATCGGTTTTCTCATCTGTAGAATGGGATAATGATAGACACTACCTCCATTATAATGATTAAATACATTTATGTTTATAAAGTGCCTAGACCAGCGCCTGCCTCATGGTATACTTTAGAGGCATGTTGCTATCATCATGTTCCTCATCATCATAATTTTCATAATTGTTGTCATCATTAGTGCCTTGTATGCTGCAAGCCTCTCTGAAGTATGAGTTATCTCTTTGTCATTAGTGATAAATCCTGTTTCTAAGACAAGAAGAGTCACTTCCTAGGATTCCTGTGTCAAGAATGCAAAATGCATCCCTTCTTTCTAAATCTAACACTGCCAGGCTCTGAGAACACTTCTCTGTCACTGCGCCCTTACCCCAGCCTCTGCCAAAGTTCGGATTATGCTGGCACACGAAAATATTTGTCACACAATCGAGGCAGCTCATATGCTCTGCAAAGGAGAAGGATCACACTTGACATCCCTTGGGGAACATTCACCATGTCAAGAAGCTTCCGTCATGACTCACATTATCGAAAGCTCCTTTTGACTGATGCCGGATGGGTGGTGGTGTGGAGATGGGAATTCTGCTGTTCTAGCCTGACTGATGGAAGCAGCCGGCGTGTGCTGTGCAATAGACTCGACATAGGAAGGAGCCAGGCCTCAGCCAGTCCCAACTTGTCTTTTCCATTCCCCTAACGTGATATTTGGAGCCAAGACCCTTTGTTGGAACATGAGGCAAATAGGCCATGTTTGTTATTTCTTTCTCTTTCTCCTTTTCTCTCATTCTGCCTTTCTATCTAATTAATAAACTTTATATTTTTATTTTAATTTTTAATGTTTGTGGGTATACAGTAGCTATATATATGTATAGGGTACATGAGATGTTTTGATACAGGCATGCAATGCATAATAATCGCATCATGCAAAATAGGGTATCCATCCCCTCAAGCATTTATCCTTTGTGTTACAAACTATCCAATTATGTAGTCTTTTAGTTATTTTAAAATGTACAATTAAATAAAACCTAGTATTTCATGCTAAACTTTATTTTTAAGAAGAGTTTTAGGTTTATGGAAACATTGAGTAGAAAGTACAGAGCATTCCCCTATTACCTGCACTCCCCCACCCCCACCACATACACACACACAGTCTCCCATTACTAACATCTTGCATTCGTGTGGAACATTTGATATGATTGTAACAATACTGATGAACCAGTATTGATATATTATTATCAGCTAGAGTCCACAGTTTACATTAGGGTTCACTCTATGTTGTACATTTTGTGGGTTTGGACAACTACATGATGTTTAAGTAGCCACCATTACATTATCATACAAAAGGGTTTCACTGCCCTAAAATTCCTCTGGGTTCCACCTGTTCATCACTTCCTCTATCTCCCTAGACCTCTTGCAACCGCTGATCTTTTTACTACCTCCATAGTTTTGCCTTTTGCAGAATGTCATATAGTTGGAATCACACAGTATGTAGCTTTTCCAGACTGGCTAGCTTCTTTCACTTAGCAATGTGCATTTAAGCCTCCTCCAGGTCTTTCTGTGGCTTAAAAACTATGTCTTTTTATTGCTGAATAATATTCACATTATTTCCTTATCTTATATTTTCAAGGTAATAATTCTTATCCACGCTTTCTCTCCCAACCTCAAATAGGCAGAATGACCTCAGACCAACAAAGGAAAAGTTGGCAGTCAAGGACACCACCTACTGCCTCACCACCCCACCCACTTCTGTGCAATGAGATGATACAGAAAGTCTCCACATCTTGGTTTAAGATATTAATCCTGTCCACCTAAATTACACTCAGTTAAATGGAATCACATCCAGAGACATACACTGTTGCATTCTTATTTCAAGGGTAGAAGATTTTCAGTACATACAACCTCACTTGTGACTCCAAAAAGTTCATCTCAGTGCCACACGAGCATACAAGCAAACCTTCAAGGTTACAGTCATCTCAGAATCACTAGCACATGTGCTTTTAGAGAGACATTAGCCTCGTCTCAAGGAACTCATTCCTGCTTCAAACAGAGGCTCCTGGGACCAGCCAATTTTTGAACTCCCTCAGGTTCCCCAAGTGGCTTTTCTTCAGTCATACTCCCTATCTGACAGCCTCTGTAACTCTCTCACCAAATGAGCACTAAATTTCTAAAGCAGAGAAAATTTGCTTCCTAGAAGTGCAATGGGGTCTATGGATGGATGCAATCAGACAGGTTAGGGGTAATAATTGGACTTTTGACAAGTTCATGGTCCCCCCAAGGGCTGATTAACACACCTCTCCCCATCTCATTGCTATACCTTGAAATAAATGAACCAACAGGTAGCACCATGTTGACCTGGGAAGGTTAGAAGAGTATGAACTACAGAGCTGCCCTCACAAAGCTTGGAATCCAGTGGGAGAGATGAGTTTCATTATTTGTGAAATGGGCCAGTAATACCACAGGAGGTCCTGTGCACACCTCACAGGACTCTTCTAGTTACAAGGATTAAATGAAGCAGGGTTGGGACTGGCCTGCAAAATTTACAAGGCCACCACAACTCAGGGATCAAGACAAGTACTATTTTAATGCAATGGTTTTAAAAGTTAACCCAAATGCAAAATTTTTATGATGAATAAAATATCTAAATTTTAAATAATGACAGGATCTCATCCAGCTCTTGCATGGCCCTGAGATGAAGCAATAGATGTGCACTTGGTCTGAAAACTGCAAAGAGCTGTACAAATGCCCGTTCACGTGCATTCCGAGCATGTGATTATGGCAGATCATAAGGGCAGTAACAATTCAGAGAAAAAAAGGGCTGCGTGTGGATGGCCCCAGGTGCTCATGAGCTTGACAAATGGGTCAGGTTTACAGAGGCAGAAGGAAGGAGGGGGTGCTCCAAGAATAAGTGGGGGGTACACATGCTGGGGAGGGAGGGTACAGGAGATGGGAACATGTTGTCTTGATTCAAACAGAAGATGAGTGTTAAAACACACACACACACACACACACACACGCACACAGCACACGGATACACACAATGTAGTGGGAAGGGGCCAGAGTCCAGGGACCTGAAAGTCCCACCCAAGACTGAGATGGATGCCACATCCAGAGTAGTTTCCCAAGTACAGAATTATCTGATGTCAATTCAAAAGTAAGAACTCATGAACAGAGGCAGTCCTGCTGCTGCTGAAATATGTAAGTTATCTTCCATTGCAAAAAATAATACAAGTTCATTCTATAAAATTGGAAAAATACAAAAAAAAGTATAAGAGAAACGCCTCCAGAACTGTGATATCTTGTCTTTCCATGTTCTCTAGGAAGCTACAGTTGTCTATTAAGAGGTGGTTATGTTTGGAGAGCTAGTTTTACAATCTTAGAAACAGAGGAGACTCAAAAGTCAGGTTATGGAAACACTGACTTTCAGAAAGCAAAGTAGCAACGGGTTGGGGAAGAGATCCTTCCTTTGAGGATCTTTTACATGGTAAGAACTGACTGAGGACAGAATCATACCCTAGTCAGCATCATGTGTCAGTAGATGCCCCTAGATAGCTTCTGCTCAAATAAAAAACTCTGCTATAGATCAAACACAGTTCTTTTTCTAGCATGGAAAAAAAGCAGAATGCCTGAACGCTTCAGGTCATGTTTTTCTCTCTCCTTGTCAAACATCTGCTCCCAGCTTGATGGGTTGAGAACATCAGGAACACTTTCCTCTTCTAGAACAGGCAACACTCCCAGGTCTCTGACCTACAGAAAGAAGGATGTCCTGGGCTCCTGCCTCCGTGGGCTCCAGGTGTGCTGAACCACAGTCAAGAGTGATGTTCCCAGCTCCCTGCTATCCTTTCTTCCATGAGGTTAAGATTCTTTCCCAAGCACGCACAAAGCACCTTTTTCTATTAACAGGTACTGGGAACACTGGTGACAGAGCCAGGTTGAAAAGCCTGCATCAGATGCTTAATTTCCTTCAAATGAATAGGCAAGACTTGTGTTATATGACTTCCAGAAGTGACGCCTGATATGTTGGCCAATAACTCCACTTTATTCTTTGAAAATGCAATTCAACTTGTCAAAAAAGATGTCAGTTCTCTACCTTGAGTCAACTGAGCATAATACTTAGTACCTGGTTCTTAATTAAAAAAATACTAGCCAAGAGCTTAGCTCTATTCTAAGTGCTAGAAAACATGGCACAATGTCTGGGAGAAGACAAAAAGCAAATAGTAAACATAGGAATTCAGGGTAAAGTGAAACAGACCAGGAAAAAGTCCTCAGAGTCAAAAAGCAGAAGATAAATCATTGCTGAGTAAGGCCAATCAGAGAGTCCAGGGAAAGTGAGGCTGGCCACTGGGGAAAGGACAAGAAAGAAAGAAAAGAGCAGATAGGGGCAGGGGAGACAGAAATGCCCCTGTTTGATAAAGGGTGCGGGAGGCATGCTAACAAAATTGATAGACCGCTAGCAAGACTAATAAAGAAGAAAAGGGAGAAGAATCAAATAGCTGCAATAAAAAATGATAAAGGGGATATCACCACCAATCCCACAGAAATACAAACTACCATCAGAGAATACTATAAACACCTCTACGCAAATAAACTAGAAAATCTAGAAGAAATGGATAAATTCCTCGACACATACGCCCTCCCAAGACTAAACCAGGAAGAAGTTGAATCTCTGAATAGACCAATAACAGGCTCTGAAATTGAGGCAATAATTAATAGCTTACCAACCAAAAAAAGTCCAGGACCAGACGGATTCACAGCCAAATTCTACCAGAGGTACGAGGAGGAGCTGGTACCATTCCTTCTGAAACTATTCCAATCAATAGAAAAAGAGGGAATCCTCCCTAACTCATTTTATGAGGCCAGCGTCATCCTGATACCAAAGCCTGGCAGAGACACAACAAAAAAAGAGAATTTTAGACCAATATCCCTGATGAACATCGATACAAAAATCCTCAATAAAATACTGGCAAACCAAATCCAGCAGCACATCAAAAAGCTTATCCACCATAATTAAGTGGGCTTCATCCCTGGGATGCTAGGCTGATTCAACATATGCAATCAATGAACGTAATCCAGCATATAAACAGAACCAATGACAAAAACCACGTGATTATCTCAATAGATGCAGAAAAGGCCTTTGACAAAATTCAACAGCCCTTCATGCTAAAAACTCTCAATAAATTAGGTATTGATGGGACGTATCTCAAAATAATAAGAGCTATCTATGAACAAACCCACAGCCAATATCATACTTAATGGGCAAAAACTGGAAGCATTCCCTTTGAAAACTGGCACAAGACAGGGATGCCCTCTTTCCCCACTCCTATTCAACATAGTGTTGGAAGTTCTGGCCAGGGAAATCAGGCAGGAGAAGGTAATAAAGGGTATTCAATTAGGAAAAGAGGAAGTCAAATTGTCCCTGTTTGCAGATGACATGATTGTATATCTAGAAAACCCCATCGTCTCAGCCCAAAATCTTCTTAAGCTGATAAGCAACTTCAGCAAAGTCTCAGGATACAAAATCAACGTGCAAAAATCACAAGCATTCTTATACACCAATAACAGACAGAGAGCCAAATAATGAGTGAACTCCCATTCACAATTGCTTCAAAGAGAATAAAATACCTAGGAATCCAGCTTACAAGGGATGTGAAGGACCTCTTCAAGGAGAACTACAAACCACTGCTCAATGAAATAAAAGACGATACAAACAAATGGAAGAACATTCCATGCTCATGGGTAGGAAAAATCAATATCGTGAAAATGGCCATACTGCCCAAGGTAATTTATAGATTCAATGCCATCCCCATCAAGCTACCAATGACTTTCTTCACAGAATTGGAAAAAACTACTTTAAAGTTCATATGGAACCAAAAAAGAGCCCGCATCGCCAAGGCAATCCTAAGCCAAAAGAACAAAGTTGGAGGCATCACGCTACCTGACTTCAAACTATACTACAAGGCTACAGTAACCAAAACAGCATGGTACTGGTACCAAAACAGAAATATAGACCAACGGAACAGAACAGAGCCCTCAGAAATAATGCCACATATCTACAACTATCTGATCTTTGACAAACCTGATAAAAACAGGAAATGGGGAAAGGATTCCCTATTTAATAAATGGTGCTGGGAAAACTGGCTAGCCATATGTAGAAAGCTGAAACTAGATCCCTTCGTTACACCTTACACAAAAATTAATTCAAGATGGATTAAAGACTTAAATGTTAGACCTAAAACCATAAAAACTCTAGAAGAAAACCTAGGCAATACCATTCAGGACATAGGCATGGGCAAGGACTTCATGTCTAAAACACCAAAAGCAATGGCAACAAAAGCCAGAATTGACAAATGGGTTCTAATTAAACTAAAGAGCTTCTGCACAGCAAAAGAAACTACCATCAGAGTGAATAGGCAACCTACAGAATGGGAGAAAATTTTTGCAATCTACTCACCTGACAAAGGGCTAATATCCAGAATCTACAAAGAACTCAAACAAATTTACAAGAAAAAAACAAACAACCCCATCAACAAGTGGGCAAAGGATATGAACAGATACTTCTCAAAAGAAGACATTTATGCAGCCAAAAGACACATGAAAAAATGCTCATCTTCCCTGGCCACCAGAGAAATGCAAATCAAAACCATAATGAGATACCATCTCACACCAGTTAGAATGGTGATCATTAAAAAGTCAGGAAACAACAGGTGCTGGAGAGGATATGGAGAAATAGGAACACTTTTACACTGTTGGTGGGACTGTAAACTAGTTCAACCATTGTGGAAGTCAGCGTGGCAATTCCTCAGGGATCTATAACTAGAAATACCATTTGACCCAGCCGTCCCATTACTGGGTATATACCCAAAGGATTATAAATCATGCTGCTATAAAGACACATGCACATGTATGTTTACTGCGGCGCTATTCACAATAGCAAAGACTTGGAACCAACCCAAATGTCCATCAATGATAGACTGGATTAAGAAAATGTGGCACATATACACCATGGAATACTATGCAGCCATAACACATGATGAGTTCATGTCCTTTGTAGGGACATGGATGAAGCTGGAAACCATCATTCTCAGCAAACTATGGCAAGGACAAAAAGCAAACATTGCATGTTCTCACTCATAGGTGGGAATTGAACAATGAGAACACATGGACACAGGAAGGGGAACATCACACACCAGAGCCTGTTGTGGGGTAGGGGGAGGGGGGGAGGGATAGCATTAGGAGATATACCTAATGTTAAATGTCGAGTTAATGGGTGCAGCGCACCAACATGGCACACGTATACATATGTAACAAACCCGCACATTGTGCACATGTACCCTAAAACTTAAAGTATAATAAAAAAAAAAGAATAGCCCTAAGGTAAACCCTGCATAGGGACAAGCTGCTATTATCTTCTAAAATTCTTACCCCAAACAATTATTCAGCACTCAAACAATTGTGTCAAGTAAATGCTTTATTGTTATTTTACAGCTGAGGAAACTGAGGCCCAGAGAGATTAAGAAACTTACCTGAGGTCGAGCAGTTAGCAAGGGGCAGAACCTGACTCCAGAACCCTCACTCTTACCTGTTATGCTATCAGTAAGGATAAGACAAGAAGAATGAAGGAAAAGGTAGGATAAGGACACAGAATCCATCTTCAGGGTCAGGCCAGGGAGGTAAGATTCAGTGTGATGTAGAGAGCAGTTTTAAGTTCTTGAGGGAATGATGTGATAAAAACAGTGTTTTGGAAATCATCACATGAGGGTGACCCAGAGGAAATACGGGGTCATGAGAAGTACAGAGCCCAGGTATGAATGGAGCAGGACATGGCCCAGGGGACTGGCCGTGCACCTGGAGGGGATGGATGCTTCAAACTGGAGCTAGAAAACGGATCTTCAAAAATTCATGACAAGATTGGAGAACTCAGGAGGGATGGAATAACAGTAATCCTAGGACTATAAGAGAATGATATTTCTTAGTACTGTCAGCCCTGGTGCAGGTGTGGTGCAGAGGGTCCATTTGGTGCCCACATTGGGGCAGTTAGAGAAAAATAGAGATGATGAATTTAACGTGCAACATGTCAAATTTCAGTTTCCATGTTAAGAAAGCAATTACAAACAGAAGTCGACAATTCCATCCCCCTCTCCAAAAGACCCACTTTAACATGGATGCGCAATTATGTGTTGTCTGGGGAGGAAAGGGGGAGGTGAAGGGGAGGGATGAAGGGAGATCCGTAGTTAGCGACTTCACACCTTCCCTCTGCTCCCTACTCATAAGAAGGAGAGAATAGCAGCTGTTTCCCTTACCAGGAACTATCTTGGTACTGGTGAGATAAAGATAAATAGGACATGGTTCCTGCCCTTGAAAATGAAGACAAGGAAGTGGAGTGACTTGCCCAAGACATGTAGCCAGTTGACGGGGCTGAGGCTGGAACCCAGCATGCTACAGAAATGTCCAGAGAGCCTCCTGCTATGCCGTGAAGCCTCAGAGCTACCTCCCAGCCTTTCACAGCCATCCCATGTGGGCAACCTATCTAGGTAGGCAACATGAGTTCAAGAAAACAGTGGAAAAGGATCATCATCCACAAACAGTTATTTAGCACCTACTGTATACAGGCCACAGTATAACAACACCCCAGTGATACAGACACCCTGAAGGCCCTGGAACTGCCCGAGAATGGCTATCGTGTTAGAGAAGTAGAAAAAGATAGATCTCCCCACTAATTAATTCCCTGATGTATTCCATATGAAAAAGACCTTTCAAATGAACTCATCAGGCTTCCTGAAAGGATTCAGTCATTTCACAGTATCCTTGTTGAGTTAATGCTATAGTATAACATATATATAGTACATTTAATACAGCATAAAGAAATCATGGCAAGTCTCTTCATACTACTGAAACTTGTAAATTACATATTTAGGTTTTACATGTACTTTATCATATTTAGTGAAGAATAAAAATGTTTAGAAGTAATATAAAAGTAAACACGGTAAGAAAGCCAAATGAACTACCTCAAATTTTTGGTTGAAAGAGAGTAAATAGCAAGAGAAATATAGGCTATACAGATAAATATCAGAAAATACTAAGGTGCCAACATAATCATAAGACATTCTACCCAAGTCTCTTGAGCTTTATAATTTTGTCTTTTAAAATTAAACCCATTTAAAATATTTAATGTTACAGCATTGCTTTAGTTTCTTTTTTCACTGTTGGAAAAATTATAGAGTAGAATTTAAAAGTATGACGATTCTAAAATAACTATTAAGTGCCTGAATGAAAAACAGGTAATTTCCATCTGCTGTAATCTGCAAATGGTTAAATTTCTACTGTTAAATATGCATGCATGTGTGTGTGTGTGTGTGTTTCTATCAATGAACCCTAAATAAGCAAACTAGAAGATTTTCACTTCACCAACTGGTATAAACATAATAATATGTGCAACCAATAATAAATTGTCTCGGCGTGCTCTGTTTCCATTGGGTAACCTTTTGAGATTAGGACATGAATATCCTTTTTTCAAATATAATTTTGGGGCACTCTTTAATTTTTGGTTCTTTGTTTTTACTATGAAACATTTTAATAAGTAGGACCATTGTCTAATTATGAGTCACTATGGGTGAAGTAAAAGGCAAGCTAATAAGATGCAGATGAGATAATTTTATTTATGGGCCATAGATGTGTGGATAAGTGTTCCAAAAATGTATTTCATGCAATTTTCATGTTGCAGTCCCCAGAAGGGGAAAACATCGTTCCATATTCAGACAAGATGGGTATAAACTGCATATTCTGTTCGTTTTTTGGACCTCTCATGCCCAGTAGCATTGTAGAGGCCATGAAAAATCCTAAAATAAAGAATTATCTTCAACACCACATCTCAGACTTATTTGCCCAGAGAAATTCCTGCCCTTATTTTCCCCCCGAAAAAAGCATACTTTGGGAAGTTCCAAGTAATACATATAAAACTACATCAGCCTCAACCAAAAATCATTCACTAGAAATTAGGTGGTCATTAAAACATCATTTTCTATAAATCAGAAGGAGCTATCTGGCGCATCTCCTTGGATCTAGCAGTGCTTGTAGCCTCACTTCTGGGACCACCTACAGGGGCTCTGGTGGACCATAGACTAATGAGCAGATACCTCACCCACACACCCACTAGAAAGTCAGCTCAAGTGTATCAGTCAACGTTTACCAGAGAAGTAGGACCAGTAGGAGAAATATAGTAAGAGATTTATTGCAGAGAATAGGTTTGTGTAATTGTGGCAGCTGGCTAGTCAAGTCTGAAATGCGTAGGATAAGCCATCTGGAAGAACAGACCAAAACTCTTGGGCACAAGCTGAAGCTTCGGTCCACAGGCAGAATCTCTTCTTATCTCAGAGAAGACTCAACCCTGCTTTTAAGGATTCAGGTCCATCTAGATTATCTAGGATAATCTCTCACACTCAAAGTCAACTGATTATGGGCTTTAATCATATCTGCAAAATACCTTCACAGCAGCATCTATATTTGTATTTGGGTGAGTGAATAACTGGGGACTACTGCTAAGCCATGTTGATACCTAAAAGACCAACAAAGACCACGCCTATCAACTGAGCAACCACACTATCTCCTTAAAACACACTTACTCGCCAAATAAAGACAATAGCCATGTCATAATTCCTCCTTATGTGACCAAATATCCTGTGTACAGGCAAAAGCACACCAACTCTTTTCCTAGAAAACGACGCAAAGTCCTTAGTTGATGTTCTGCTTATCCTTTGACATTCTACACTTTAAATGCTGAGATATAAAGTTAACCATTATTAATATATCTTATTAATAGATATACTAATAGGTGATAACAGATGCATTAATAGATGATAATTAGATAGGAGATAAAAGAAGGGGGAAAACATATATATACAAATATATCCCCTCAAAATAGGAAAAAATATAACTATTACAATCTTCATTTCTGCAACTGGTTTATGATCATAGCTGATGTAACTACCTTCTTCCATGACTCATTTTCTATTACCTTTGCCGTGAGCAAACTCCTCAGCTAGTCATGGTTCTTTGTTTAGTGGAGGGACCCAAACCTCATTCTTGAAAGGCCGGGGCCATTATCAGTCCTGCAGAGGACAGCTTTATAATTTTCCATTGTGACATTCAGCACTGGCTTGATAGTACTAAGAGATGCCCTAAAGGATCTCCTGTATTCCAGACACACTCTTCATTACATCAATTATGTAGTAGCAATCCAATTTCCTGTTGTTGATAAGGATCAATCACCTCAAGTGGTATATTAATCCCCTTCTTTGCCTGTTGATTCACAGGCATGAGAATCAATTCCTTCTCTATAAATTGAAAAAAAAAAATCATGCAGTTCTTTTAGAGTGTAGAGCACCTCCTCACAGGTCACACTCTGCCCCTCACCCTTTGGAGCCCGCTGTGACTTGAGTATAGAAATGGCCCGCGAAAGTCTTGAGGAGAATCAGCAGTGTCTTACAAGACAGCTGTCCCAAGAGAGGCCCTTACAGATTCCTGAGCCAAAACAGAGAAAACTTCCTCAGATAGGGTGAAAGTGCAGCTCCTACTGGCCAAGACAACTGGGTAGAATACAGGGGCTGGTAACCCTAGTTTCATAAGGATCTGCCGAAATGTCTCTGTTTTTATCCACCTGTGCTGCTATAATGGAATGCCTGAAACTGGGCAATTTATAAAGAATAGAAATGTATGTTCTCACAGTTCTGGAGACTGAGAAGTGTAAGATCAAGGCACCAGTAGGTTCAATTATCTGATGAGGATGGCTCTCCACTTCCAAGATGCTTTCTCTGGAGGGGAGGAACACTGTCCTCACATGGCAGGAGTAAGGGCAAGAACAAAAGGGCTTAACGCTGCATGAAGCCTCTTTAGCAAGCACCTTAATCCCTTAATTCATGAGGGGAGGAACCCTCAGGACCTAATCACCTCTTAAAGGCCCCACCTTTGAATACCATCCCATTGGCCATTAAGTTTCAACACCTAAGTTTTTGAGAGGACATATTCAAACCATAGCAGCCCCCATTCCAAATGTCAGGATCCCATTACTTCCCAATCAATTCCGTAACTTGCAGCATTTTTCCAGCTCTGTTCTCTAGAACTCTAGGATTTCTCGGAGGCGTCTCAGTGGGGAAAGGAGATAAGATATTAGGGTGTGGGTCCTAGCAGCCGTTGCATCCAGAGTGGCTTAGCTTTTATATATTGCCTATGTTGAGTTTGAAAATAAAGTGTTCTGCTACTAAAAAAATATAGTAATAATAATAATAATAATAATAATAATAATAAAATTGAAGGCTACAGGACCAGATCAGGTCTTACTTAAGTCTTTCACAACTAAGAAAGTCTGAAGTTGTATAAAACTAAAAGGGGTGGGGGGTATCTGAACACAATATACACCATGTTCAGAGGCTGGCATACACACATTAGCCACCTTTTCCATGTGACCTTACATTTTCAGGCGGAGAAGAGAGTTCAGTTTTCATCTGGAACATCACGTAAGCTCTTAGGGGAAATTGCCTGCCCACACTGACACAGTATATCAATGCAGCTTAACCACAGCCTAGTGTCCTAACTATACTCCACATCACCCCGTGCGCAGCATCTGAAGAGCTGAACAATGTCTCTATCCAAAATTCAACTGGTTCAATCAGTTACCATGCGTGCAATGTTTACAATCACATCCTAGGTTGGACTTCCTCAGGCTGATTCATCAAAGTTGGTACTTTCTCCTAAACACACCTGCATGCAGGTAAACTTCCATCTGAGCTATAAATTCCCTTCAGGTAGGTGGGCTCCCCAACACACATTTCTACACTAACTCAAAAAATAAGTGCCCCTTCCCATTCAATTACGTTTTGCCATTTACTTGTGTTATTTCATCTTGCACCAAGAGACAGTTGAACAGAAAAGCATAGAGAAAAATGCTGTATGTAAATTCCAGGCCAACTTCATATTAGGAGCATGGGGACAGTTTCCTTATAAGCCTGTTGCCTCTTGTGCTTATTGGAGATAATGATAGCTACATCTAAGAGTGTATATGTTTTAAGTAAATCAGGTGTGATAACTCATAACACAGTACCTCTTGTACATGGTAAAGATCTGTTCCCACCTTTTACAAAGCAGCAGGGAAAACTGAGAGGGTTCATGAATCTATGCACTATGAACATCCAGTGTCATCCTCCATCTTGTAAATTCAACAGTTGTATTTTGGTTGCTCAGTTTTTTTCCTTTTTCTTCTTCCCTACTTTTTCCTTTAGTTGGATAATTTGGTAAGGAGGAACTGCCAGAAATTTTAGAGATGTGAGTGCAGCAACTCCGGAAGGAGCTTGGATGTCATTCTCTTATGTTATCATTAATGTGAAAATTCAGAAGCTGAAATAGAACAGCACCTTCCCTCCAAGGGTCCCACGAATGCCCCAGAGGTCTCTGACCACCATATCACACAGGAGATGGCCTGACTGACATGTCACAGTGACCCGTATGGAGTGGCCTCAGGGAATCAACTCTGTTAACCCGGCAGCTTGGGAAGGACAAACAGGCTGACATATGGCTGAGAAGAAAAAGTCAGACAGCTCAAGATGACTCACACAGATGCTCGAAAAAAAAAAAAAAAAGTCCATACACAGCCACCTACAGTATTTTAATTTAAAAATTTTACCCAAGTCCTTTGGAAATATAATTTGCATGAAAGCCCACATGTCTAAAAAGAGTTTTTGTTCTCACATATGATTTCCCAGACCTCTAGACTCTGTGTCTTCCTCTAAGTACAGATCATTTTCCAAGCTTAGGTGTATAAAATACAAACAACAGTTAAAGCTAAAATCTAATCAATACACTTTTTTAGTGGAAACATGAAAATTAAATTTAAATTCCCCTCTCACGATTTCTCAAAATACAATTTTAGGACTATTGGAGGGAGAGAAAAAAACAAACCTTTTGCCCATAGTAGTTTCAAATACTGAAAGAATATTTCTTCAGTATTTTGTAGTATTCACAATATAACCAGTATGGACATGACACAGTCTTAAATCATTTTAAATTAATTCCCCATCACTTTCTTAGATCTAGATCAGAATTTCTCAGCTTCCGCAGTATTGACATTTTGGACTGCTGGGTTTCTCACTTTCCTGCCTCTCCCTGTCACTCTCACTGGGGCTGGGGAGTGGTGAGAGTTCAGGGTTGGCAGTGGCAACTCCCAAGTGTGGCCCAGCCTCTTCCCTGGTTCCCTGGAAGAGGTCACTTAACTGCTCCGGTTGCTTCCTGCTCTGTGAAGGATGAGATTTGAACTAGAGTGTTCTAAGGTCCCTTGCAGATCCTACGTACCACAATTCTACTGTCCTTTTGACCCTTCTACCCATCCTAAGTTCTTAATCATAGATTCGAACGCCAAACTGTGAACACAAATGACGACATGCTTAAGATTTCCCTGAGGTGAGGACGAGGCAGCTGGACGCCCTCTGTCTCCCATCTTTCTCACCTAGACAAAGATGTGTGCTCGCCAATCCTTGAAGCTGTCAGATAATGGGACACAGAACAATTCCAATCCCATGTACAGTGTGCCCAACACTAATGCGGTGTGTTGAGGATGGGGAGACCCTTGGAATATCCAAGTGGGCTTCTTAAGAGTTGCATCTCATTAGTCTAGATCAGCAGTCCCCAAGCGTTTTGGCACAAGGGACCAGTTTTGTGGAAGACAATTTTTCCACAGATCAGGGGATGTGGGGGTAGAAGAGGGTGGTTTGGGAATGAAACTGTTTCTCAGATCATCAGGCATTTGATTTTCATAAGGAGCTCAAAACCTAGATCTCTCGCAGGTGCAGTTCACAGTAGGGTTCGTGCTTCTGTAAGAATCTAATGCCTCCACTGATCTGACAGGAGGTGGAGCTCAGGGAGTAATGCTCGTTCATCCACCACTCACCTCCTGCTGTGTGGCCCAGTTCCTAACAGGCCACAGACCAGCACTGGTTCATGGCCCACGGTTTGGGGACCCCTGGTCTAGATTCAGTGATCGTTTCCTTTGGTGCAACTGCAAAGCCAGTAAAGTCCATCCATTCCCTTCCTTTGGAACCCTTAGCCAATCACCACCATGTGCTTCCACTGCCCGGGGTCCCATCAGAGTGTCCCATACTGACTTAGAACCCTCGGGGGATTTCCATTTCATTCCTGCTATCCAAATTTACCAGGCCCGTTGGTTATTTTTTTCTGACTTCAGCTGTAGATGGGCTACAATGGGATCTAACAGATTAAATGCATGATCAAAATCCTGCCAAAACTCTAGGCAGTTACCGTGTTACCCACCCCCATCCCTTCTGTCCCTGCACCCATTCCTTTTTAGCCTAGTGACAACCCACCTGTCTCCAAAGGGGTTCATGTCAAACCCTGGAGACAGGACTCTGGAGTGGATATTTAGGGAGTGGCAGCCTTTCGGCATGCCCAAATCACATGACAGGACAGGCATCCTACTCCACCCACATACAGAGCCGCCATTCTTAGTTACCCCAGTTCTTCCCAAAAAACAGTTTCCCGAACCATACAGTACTGAGCTTTCTCCAGATACAAAATTCATGAACATGTTGTGTGGGATGCAGAATGAGGGTGTTACATTTAAAATCTGATAACTCTGTAGCTTCTAACTAGTGGCGTGCTGGTAAATGTTTATCAACAGGCTCTTCAGGAAAAATTATGCACACACACATTTTACTGATAAGAAGGATGTACAGCACTCAACTTACAAATATGCAAAATACATAATATGCATATTTGTATATATGCAATGCAAAATATGCATAATAATTTTATTATAAATTTTACATAGCCAATTGATTCTTACAGAATGCTTTTGTTGATTCTACAATTAAATGAGGATAGTTGCCATGCAAGTAGTGATTGACATCTTCATTTAGTGAAACAAAGAAGATGAAGAAGTGTGTTAGAACTTGACTCATTCATTGACTTGAACAACTTCTTTAATGAATCATATAATAGCTTTCAAACACTGAAAGAAGGCTTCAGGGGTTTTTTTGTAGTATGCACAATGTAACAGGTATGAACTTGACACAGTCTTAAGTTATTTTAAGTTAATTTCCCATCACTTCCTTAAATCTCGACCAGGATTTCTCAACTTCAGCAATATTGACATTTTGGACCAGAGAATTCCGTGTCTGGGGCTGGGAGGCAAAGGGGGCTGCCATATGCATTGTAGGATGTTTAACAGCCTCCCTGGCCTCCACCCTCTAGATGCCAGGAGCACCCCTACCCTCTCCATCTGTGACTGTCAAAGGCGCCTCCAGATACTGCCAAATGTCCCTGGAGGAAAAATCCTCCCAGTTCAGAACCACTGATCTTGATCATCGACAGAACAATAAAACAAGCCAAACTGGTTTTGTTTTACAGTCTCCCTGGTATCCATATCCCACCATGGCCAATTTCCAGCTATCAAAGCGATGTCATGAACACAAAATTTAAAAGAGATGTGCAGTGGCATGTCATATGAAGTGTTTCCACCATGCAGACACAACAGACGGAAACAACCCCAAGAACATTGACACAGTAAAATATGACAAAATAAGTAGAAAGATTATAAGCTTTGAGTATTAATTTCCTTTGCTTTTAATATAATTAAGTATTAAGTTTATATAATTTAATTTTGAAAATAGCCTTATTTAACAACCAGCTTATAAAATTCCTGAAAATTTAACAATTGGCTCTCATAGGCCAGTACAGCTGATTCCAGCACAACACTGCTTCACCCCCTGAGAAGGAAGGTTTGGCTTGGAAGTGAAATATTTGCGGTGCCTCTTGGCCTGCATCTTAGAGCAAGGCTTCTGGCTGGTTTGCCTGACTTGCATCTCCCCCATCAACCACCCTCAATTCTCCCCTCAGTTGCAGCAGTTTCTGAAAGCACTTTCAAAGCACTGTAAGATCACGGGATGACCAAACACCCATTCAACCTTAAAAATACAACTGACTGCAGACTGCCTGGAAACTCATTTTGGAAAGCACCATCAAAAAGTAAATTTCTGGCCAAGCTCGGTGGCTTACACCTGTAATCCCGGCACTTGGGAGGCTGAGGTGGGTGGATCACCTGAGGTCAGGAGTTCAAGACCAGCCTGGCCAACATGGCAAAACCCTGGCTCTACTAAAAATACAAAAATTAGCTAGGCATGGTGGCGCACGCCTGTAATCTCAGCTCCTCAGGAGGCTGAGACAGGAGAATCGCTTGAACCCAAGAGGCAGAGGTTGCAGTGAGCTAAGATTGTGCCACTGCACTCCAGCCTGGGCAGCAGAGCAAAACTGTCTTAAAAAAAAAAAAAAAGTAAATATCTTCAAATTTTTCTTCCAATCATCCCAAGCTGAAGTCTCTCTCTTACTTTGTCCCCTCCATCTGTCATGCTTCCTAAATACTCTGCTGATGGCTCACACCTTTCCGTTTTCTCAGCTTATTACTTTGGAAGGAGAAAGTCCCTTCAAACCAGCTGCTTCTCCATTCATTTCCATGACTAGGTACCTCTTGCATTACCAGACCCTCAATCTCACTCACCATAGTCCAAGAAAGGCATAGCAGCGACTGTCAGTTTCCATAGGTGGTATTTCATCTATGACTCACCTGCATGTTAAACACAAATGTGTTATAATAATTCACTTTGTCAAATCAGGGACTTGGTTCTACTCCTAGACAAACATGGCCTTTGAGTATGTAGATATGTGAGATGAGTCAGGGGTAAAACAAAGGTTTTTGTTTTATTTTATTATACTTTAAGTTCTAGGGTACATGTGCACAACATGCAGGTTTGTTACATATGAACATACATGTTCCATGTTGGTGTGCTGCACCCATTAACTTGTCATTTACATTAGGTTTATCTCCTAATGCTATCCCTTCCCCCTCCCCCCACATTCTGAGCAAACTATCGCAAGGACAGAAAACCAAACACAGCATGTTCTCACTCATAGGTGGGAATTGAACAATGAGAACACTTGCACACAGGGTGGGGAACATCACACACAAAGGTTTTTAAACAAGAGAAAAACAGCCATGTATCTAGAACACATGGCTCAAACACTTCCTGTTTGGGAAGGGCATTGTCCAGATACCAGAAGCACAGGGTGAGGCACACAGTCACTGAGAGGGCCAGCTGTCACTCAGTAATCCCACTCAGTGGGCAGGAAAGTCTCAGGAGCAGGCCCTACAGGACTTCATGACACACAGAGCCACCTGCCCTTAGCTTGCCCAAGCCACATCAAGGCGGGGGTGGGGAAGGGCCGAGCTCTGTGGCTCCTCTAGGATCAGGAGCAGGAAGTAAGAGAGGAGAAAGGAAGACGAGGTGATGGTGTTGTCCCAGCTGTTCAGGGAATCACCTCCTTACCACGAGAAGACAGATCATCGCATCCACCAAAAATTCCACCCTTGCCTTCAAGTCCTGGGTGGGGTGAGAAGGTGTCTGCAGGCCCCCCCTACAAGCAGGCTGCCATCCAGCGTGGGACAAGGTGGGAGCTGCTGCAGGGTCTGGCCCCAGGAAAGGCACACAGCTGGGAGCGGGTGGTGACTTGCCTTGTACTCTCCCAGAAACTTTGGAAAATTCCTCCTCACATGCCATCATCAGATGCCCAAATCAGTGGGTCCTGATGAATCTGGATTTCTCGGGAGCCCGGGCAGTCACTGGTGGCTGCGTGTCATTTAGACAGCCCTGTTTTCATCTGCTTGTGTTCACTCCAGTAGCATCTGTGTGAAGAAAGATTTCCCCGGCTGAATCAAGATTGGAACATCGTTATTCTCAGTCGCTGATTCTTACCCCCGGGCTGCCCATTAGGAACAGCTGGGGCGTGTTGCAGACAGGCCCATGCCAGGCCCTACTTCCAGAGGCTGGGATTTCATTGGCTTGGAGTGGGGCTCAGGCACTGGAATCTTTAAAACCTCCCCAGGGGATCGTCATGTGTAAGCTGGCCTGGGAGCCACAGCTGATCAGCAATCATCACACAGCGCAGCGCCACAGGTCACCGAATGGCCCAGCCTCCCCAGCAGAAGGCCCATGTCATCGTGGTGAGCCCACTCGAATGTCCTCAGAGGAGGCACACAGCTGTGGGCGTTGGTAACATACAAGAGTTGACCTCAACAGGGTCCCCATTGCCTCTTATTCAGGCTGCCGAAAAAAGAAACGGGCTCTGCTTCCAGCAAACTTGGCAGGCAGTTCCACATGGCCAGCACCTGTGGATTTCTTCCTGTGGCTCCTGCCCAGCCAGCCCATCAGCCTTGGCCTCAAGACCTGTGGACCACGTGGTTTTTAAAAATTTCTAATGACGAGCAGGAAGCCTCTCACCTGTTCATCCACATCCCTTACTCTAAAGGGCTGTAACTTAGATGAGCTGCTCTCCATGGGCTGAGCGTCTACATCCACCCCAAAGAAGCCACTGGAGTGTGGCTTTGGAAGGAGCCATCTGTGCTGGATGCTAAGTGCGGGGACACCCAAACACTCCTCAGGGAGCCAGAGGAGTGGGTTCAGATGGGCCTGGCCTGTCTACTAATGAGAAAGGAAGAGGATATTTGGTGTTCTTATCTGGTCAAGACCCCAGCATCAGGTAGCTCAGAGGATAGGTGCAATCCTGCACACACACTGGGGAATTTATGAGCAGCAAACAGCTGACAGACACCCCTGTCCTTCTGGAGCTAAAAGACTCCTGGCCCGCCCTAAACCAGATCAGCAACTCCTCTTTATTCCTAATTAAATCGTTGCAGGCATTCCTCACCACCCTCCTCCCTGGACCTTATCAGGGTCTGGGGCAAAAGGTGTGGAAAGTGTAGCACAGTGAGCATGGGTTGCAGGTGCAAAAGTGAGTGCATGAACATGCACCGCACACAGACACGCACAGAGACACCACACGACACACAACACTATACACAACATATGCACACATACCACACACACACTACATACACACAACACATACACACATACCACACACACGACACACACCACACACACAAATATACACATGCACTACATACAACACACACGCAAATATACACACAAACTACATACAACACACAAATATACACACACAACACAACACACAACACATACACAAATACTACATACACACAACACACACAAATATACACACACACTACATACACACAACACATACACACATACCACACACACGACACACACCACACACACAAATATACACATGCACTACATACACACAACACACACGCAAATATACACACAAACTACATACACACAACACACACAAATATACACACACAACACAACACACACACCACATACACAAATATACACACACACTACATACAACACACACAAATATACACACACACTACATACAACACACAAATATACACACACTAATACACACAAGACACACAGCACATACACAGACACCACTCTACACACATTACACTACCACACACAACACACATATACCACATATGGCACACACCACACACACAGACATGCACACACACACACAATACATACACACACATCGCACACACATGCACACACAACACACATACAGCACACACACCACACATACCACACGTACACCACATACAGCACATAGCACACACACACGCAACACCACCATTGGCCCTTACTCTAAGGGGCGTCCCCTGGCAAGGCTTCCCTGCCCAGTTTCCCTAGCCTGGAACCCAGATGCCTAGGACCCACAAAGTGCATCTTTCTTCTGGCTCTTCCCTGACCTGCCTGGCTTTGTCTCATCCACATGTGCCTCTCTGAGCTCAGCACACTCAGCCCAAGACCGTCTGGCCCTCCCCTCTTGACCCAGGCCTAAGACAGTTCCCCACCCCGCCTCCAGAATGTATGTTGAAGAGAAGGGAGAACAGTCCTTCATTCCCAGCCCAGGTGAGACAGGAGGAACCTGAGCCTTTCTCTATCCCAGGCCTCCCATCCTAGGTGAGGTGCCAGGAGACCACACCACATCTGAGAGGCATTTTCTTGCATCCCAAAACATAGGGATAAAAGGAAAAAGGCAGGTTCTTAAGCATGAGACACTCGCCTGAAGTTCCAGTCAGACCCAGGAGCAAGGGTACTGGCTCGTGACAGCTGGATGGCTGGTGGTCAGGCAGGACTCTGCACCCCTGCCCTGTGTGGAGCACCAAGCTGTCAGAAGCCTCACGCTGTTGGACTTACATCTGTCTGGGGAGGGAAAGATCCTGTGCCTGCCCACCACCTAATCGGGGCTTCACAGGAAAAATGACACTGTTTGAGATGGTGCCTTGTTTGGAGGGAGGTTGTAGTACAGGGCTCAGGGGTGTGGACTCTGGAATCAGACTGCCTCTGTCCAAATTCTGACTCTGTGTGGCCTTAGGTGAGCCGTGTAAATTCTCTGTGGCTCAGTTTCCTTGTCCATGAAATGAGGAATCATAGCATTTCAACATTTATATTAATCCTCCATTGCTACCTAATATGCCAAAACATAGTGGCTTAAAGTAGCAGGAGACATTATTCTTGCAGCTTCTGTGGGTCAGGAATTCAGGACCAGCTTGGCTGGGCAGGTCGGGACCAGGACTTATTCTCTTGTAGGTTCCATCTGATGTTGGCTGGGTCTGCAGTTATCTGAAGGCTCGACTGGGCTGAGTCAACTTCTAAAGCAGCTCGTAGCCGTGGCTGGCGAGTTGGTGCTGCCTGTGGGTGAGAGGCATTCGTTCCTTCTGACATGGGCCTCTGGGTAGGACTGCTTGAGTGTCATCACGATGTAGCATCTGGCTGCCCCTGGGGAGAGCAGTCCAAAAGACAGCAGGCCAGCCAGCAGCTGTCCTTTCGTGACCCAGCCCAGAAGTCCTAACAGCACCTCTTCTGCCATGTTCTCATCTGCAGAACGGGATCACTAAGTCCAGCCCACACTCAAAAGGAGAGGAATGACACTCTGCCTTTGGAAGGAAGGAGTGTCTAAGAATTAAGAACATATTTTAAAACCATCGCAGTGTGGTTGGACAGGTGAACACGCAGATAAAATGGTTCCAGGATGATATAGATGCCAGGAAAGGAAGAGAAGGTTCTATGGAGAAGACCAACAGTGCTACTTAGACAGGATGACTTGTGAGGCTTCCTCAAGGACAAGACCCAGGGGACAATGGGAAGCCAGTGATGGGGATGGCGGGGATGAGCGTGCCAGGCAGATGGAGTGGCAAGCTTGGCGGCACAGGGAGGAGCAAGACCCTGCGGGGTTGTGAGAACACCTTTGCGGTCAGGGTGCCTGCAGCCCAGTGAGAAAGGTGCTGCTGTAACAGGGATGGAGAGGCCGCGTTTCAGCTCTTCCTGGTCTCACTCTTCCCTCCAGCTGTATGACCAAGCCCTCAAACATTCTGCCGTTCAGTGCAGTCCCGCCATTCATTTCACAGTGGTGTGTCTGGGAACAAGAAGAGGAGGGTGAGGCACCCAGAGAAACCTCAAAGCGCAAGGGAAAGACAGAGGCCCTGTGGCAGAGCTGGCGAGAGTAGGACAGAGATGCAGCCCGGACAAATTAGCCTTCCCAGCCAGGACCGCCCCTGCCACCTGGGGGACAGGAAGCTGAACTGCGAGCTGATCTCCTCCCCAGCCTCAAACATGGAACAGTCACCACTCAGCTGAGCCTCAGATAGGGGCCAGGAGGCTGTCAAGAGGAGGACTTAAAAGCAATGGCCTTGGGGGTCAGACTGAGGGCAACTCTTGCAACCCATGTGAGCAGGGCTGAGCCATGTGATCTCTAATCCTCAGTTTCCTCGCCTGTAAAATATCTAAGGCCGGGAAGGCACGGTGGCGCACACCTGTAATCCCAGCACTTTGGGAGGCCAAGGCAGGAGGATCACTGGAGCTCAGGAGTTCAAGACCAGCCTGGGAAACACAGCAAGCTCTCATCTCTACAAAAAAACAAAAAAGTAGGCAGGCATGGTGGCATGTACCTGTGGTCCTGGGAGGCTGAGGCAGGAGGATCACTTAATCCCAAGAGGGTCAAGGTTGCAGTGAGCTATCACGGCACCACTGCACTGCAGCCTGGGCAACATAGCCAGACCCTGTCTCAAAAAAAAAATCTCTATTGCTTACTCCTATGTCTGTACAATCCCTTACTTGGCTTATTTGTACTAGAGCCAGTTCCTCTGGCTCATAAGAGTTGACGGGTAGATATTCAGGAATCCTGTGAATGGTCGATAATCTTGAAATCCGCAGTGGTAAAAGCAATTCACATCATGGCAATCAGCAAACACTACAAATGAGGGATTAATTTTTCTGGACACTTGGTTTACCAGCTTACCACTGTGGATACTCCCATCTTAAGAATGGAAGGAGGAGGTGATATTTACAGCACCTGGCGCAGGGTAACTTCTCCCAAAATAACTGCTATTATTCTACACACACTCCCACCAATGCAAATACGATGATCCCAGAACACCTTTTGAGTCTAAAGATAATAAAGTTACAGGACCCTAGAGAACCCACACACCATCAGCCTCACAGACATCTGCAGACACCCACCTCCGTGGTGACTCTGCCCCGTCACTCCCACTGTCTTAATCGCTCAAGGATTCATGCCTAGGAGCACAAAGAGGAAAGTCAACTGGAGCTGGACCCCTGAAAATTAGGTGAAGCCTCTCCCCCTCCACTAAACCAGGCCCAGGGTCTCCTCCCTCACCATCCCCACACCCTCAACCCACCCAGTGACACCCTGAAACCTAATGCCAGGAAGCCATTCGCAGGAGGTGGGTGAATGCAGGGACACCTGCTGGAAACCTGATCTCATTCTAAGATTTGACATTGTGAGGCCTTTCTGTTGTTGTATTAATTAGGAATCATTTGCTAAGGAAAGCATTTTGTGGGAATTGGATTTCAAGTCAGAACCTGGGCTCGAGCCAGCCAGTGACTAGGCGTGTGGCCTCATGCAAGTCAAAATGGTGTTCTCTTCTCCGTAATAGGGAATGATTGCTTTGGCAACAAATGAGATCAGCACACTGTGAGGGAGTGCTCACTCCGGGCTGGAACCATCATGCTGTGAGGGAGTACTCTCTCCAGGCTGGAATCTGTGAGGGAGAGCTCACTCCGGGCTGGAATCATCACACTGTGAGGGAGTGCTCACTCCGGGCTGGAATCTGTGAGGGAGTGCTCACTTGGGCTGGAACCATCATGCTGTGAGGGAGTGCTCACTCCAGGCTGGAATCATCACACTGTGAGGGAGTGCTCACTCCAGGCTGGAATCATCACGCTGTGAGGGAGAGCTCACTCCGGGCTGGAATCATCACACTGTGAGAGAGTGCTCACTCTGGGCTGGAATCATCACACTGTGAGGGAGAGCACACTCCAGGCTGGAATCATCACACTGTGAGGGAGTGCTCACTCCGGGCTGGAATCAGTGAAGGAGTGCTCACTTAGGCTGGAAACATCATAGCTGTGAGGGAGTGCTCACTCCAGGCTGGAATCATCACACTGTGAGGGAGTGCTCACTCCAGGCTGGAATCATCACACTGTGAGAGACAGCTCACCAAGGCTGGTACCATCACACTGTGAGGGAGTGCTCACTCCAAGCTGGATTCTGTGAGGGAGTGCTCACTCCAGGCTGGAATCATCACGCTGTGAGGGAGTGCTCACTCCGGGCTGGAATCATCACACTGTGAGAGAGTGCTCACTCTGGGCTGGACTCATCACACTATGAGGGAGTGCTCACTCCAGGCTCGAATCTTTGAGGGAGTGCTCACTTGGGCTGGAACCATCATGCTGTGAGGGAGTGCTCACTCTGGGCTGGAATCTGTGAGGGAGTGCTCACTCCAGGCTGGAATCATCACGCTGTGAGGGAGTGCTCACTCCGGGCTGGAATCATCACACTGTGAGAGAGTGCTCACTCTGGGCTGGAATCATCACACTGTGAGGGAGTGCTCACTCCGGGCTGGAATCTGTGAGGGAGTGCTCACTTGGGCTGGAACCATCATGCTGTGAGGGAGTGCTCACTCCGGGCTTGAATCTGTGAGGGAGTGCTCACTCCAGGCTGGAATCATCACGCTGTGAGGGAGTGCTCACTCCAGGCTGGAATCATCACGCTGTGAGGGAGTGCTCACTCTGGGCTGGAATCATCACACTGTGAGGGAGTGCTCACTCCAGGCTGGACACTCCACTCGGTGCTTCACAGGGTTCACAGTTGCAAAGCAGGAATGCAGTGTGAATGCTGGGGCCAGGGTGGAGACCAGCATAGCGGGGAGATGTCAGTGCTGCCTAAGGGTTGGACCCCTCACCCAGACTGCGCCTCTGTTTCCACGCACGTCCCCTGCCTTCTCCCAGGCCCCCACGCCAGCCCTGCTCCCACCACCCATTCTCTGACCGTGGGGTCTGTGGCCCACACTGTCTTCAATGGGTGGTTCCTGCTCTCCAGGTTTATCATAAAGGAATATCCAGGCATTTGTTTCTGACATGGAATGAATGGTCATCTGTGGTATTATTTCTTTTATTTGCATCAGTTTTCCTACTTTTGTTGGTTTTTAATGAAGGTCCAGCACAGGTCCTAAAGGAGCCACAGACACTGAATCAAGGGCTAGGAGCTTGGCGGGCAGGGAAATCCCACACAACCCTTGTGCCAGCCTCCAAGTGGATGCCACCAGCCCTGCTTTACAAACGAGGGTGCTGTGTCAGCGTCCATCCATCCACAGAACCTGGAAGAGCTTTCATCCAAAAGCATCTAGAGGAAGCTAACCCATTTGGTGTTGATTTTTCTTCTCAAGCTCTGAGCATTTCGAGCCACCGAATAAAGACTTCACAAAGTGCCTGCATTCCGCATTTAGCACTCACACAGCATGGGGCTCTCCAGAAGTCAGTGGCTCCACCAAAGGCCAAGGTGCAGTGTGAGATGTGCTTGGGGAAAGGGGCAGCCTCCACTCTGCTTGGCACAGCTCCTGCTGCCTGTACCGCACCCTCGTATCCATCCTTCTCACCCGGAGGCTGGCCCATGGTAGCACCCACCTCACCCCTTCATGGCTTCTCATGATAGGGTCAGGAGCTCAAGGCAACTCAGCCATGCTCCCTTGCTGGCTAAACACAGAGAGAGGACACCTTTTCTGTTCCCTCAATTACAAATACTTAAATCATGGATAATCCAGGCTCCTCTCTTCCTTCAGTTGCCCCTCATGGCAAAGCACACACAGATTTGTTTCCCTCAACTAGTCTGCCTATTTTCAAGACTAGCTGTTCTCTCCTGCCTTTCTTTTTGGGTTTTAGTTTTGTTTTGGTTTTGACTTTGAATTCCAGATGAAACACTCTCAGGTAACATTTGAAGATTTGCAGGACTTAGGATAACAAAGAAAGTCTCAGGAAAGAGCCTTCTATCCCAGGGGCATAGCTTTTTCTTGCCTTCTTTGAAAGCTTTTGCATGTGTGTTTGTGTAGTTGTTTTTTTCTTTTTTTTTCTTTTTTCATTTTGCCACTGAACATAGATGTCCCAGAAATAGACAACCAGAAGCTATAAAAGTCAGCCAAGTTCCTTTTGATTCTATTTCTTCTTTATTGTAATTTCTGTTCCTTCCACGGTGCTAGAAAATTCTGTTTATCTTGACTCTGCATCCACTAAGACACTTGCAAACTTCTTTTCTAAGATTTAGAACTGGGTCTCGCTCGGGTCCTTAAGGAATTAAGACTTCTTTCTCAGGCCAGCTTCCAGAGCCTGTGTTTTATCATTGAACACATCCTGGAGTTGTCTAGAGTTTGTCATTTTGCTACCTATTGAGAAGCTCCACCCTTCAGGGACTTCCAGAAGCCCAGCAATACCTCTCCGGCTTTCTGTCCAGCTGCACTGCGGCTTAGCCTTGCTTACTCCTCAGCTCTGAGACGGTGCCTCAAGTCCTAGGAACAGCCCCCAAAAGGGAAACTAGCCACTCCTAATCTTAAAGGAAGAAATCCAGGCCTTTCTTCCACCATCACAAATATCTTAGGCAGGAAATGTACCGAAAGTGAGGACTAAAGCAAACCCAGCCAGGACACCTCACCCAACAGCAACATATTACCTCTCCTTTGTGCTGCAGTTCCTGTTTGCAAAAACCTTTCACGCTCATTAGCGTTGGAATCTCACGTGACCCTTCTTACAGGTAAGTCCATTGAGGCTCATGATGGCATTCAGTCCATTGTCCCGGATCAGCTAGAGCCACAGGAAATAAAGACACAGTACGTTTCTTCTTTCATTTTAAACCTTCACTTATTTCTGTAACCAAGTGACATTTGTGGGGTGTCTACTAAGTGTCAAACCCTAGAAAGACACATCAGTTCATACCACAGGCTTCAAGCTATCATATCCAACTCTGTGTTCTGCTAACAAACTATGGAGCTAGAAAAACCCTGATAAAAGCCCTTTCTCCTTATTCAGAAATCTCATGGTTTCTTAGAAAGTCGGTTGCATTTTGCTCAAGCAAGCGGCACTTGAGATTCACAGTACTTTGTCTCCTTGAGGTCTCAGAAGCCCTCCTTTCTGGGGAAGCCTCATTGTTCTAAAGATACCAGGGATGCAGCTTCCCCTAAAGATGGGCCTTCCTTCCCCTAAAGATGTCCTTCCTCTAGTAATGTGTGTTTCATTTGCCAAACCTGGAGAATGAGCTGGCAGGTGGCATCCAGGTTTAATTATTAGCTGGTTGCAGTATCTTATGTGTGGCCCAGGCCCCAGATGTCTTCAAAAATTCAAGAAAACTATCTGCAGGCATGTTGTCTTTGATTTCAGACCCCACAAGGAAGGCACCCCGTGCTCTAAAGAGTCAGGCAGCACATGCTCAAGGGCCCAGCCTTGTTCTCAATGTAATAGACCTAGCCAAGGAAAATGAGAGCATCCCATGGGAATGAAAGGCATAGTGTCCGATGTCTCAGAGACCAAGGAGTGTAGGGACTGGGACCTGCCCCCTGCCTTGAAAATCGGGAGGGTCCTGGTGATTCTTTTGAGTGTAGTCTCTTACTCAGCAAAGGCTCGCCTATAAAACATAACATTAGTGACAGCGTTCCCTCGATCTGCAGGTAACAGGCACTAACAAATATGAAAAGAAAAAGAGAACAGAGAGCCATCCAAATGCATGCTTTTTTAACCTTTTCGATTCCAAGTGGATGTTGACCTGCTATCTCCAGACTGCCCTTTGCACAGTAGGAGCAGAACCAGGCTAAGAGCGTCGTGTTCCTTGGTGGTTGCCAGGCAGCCTGCTGTCCGGCTCTCTAGATTCAGCTCTCCGTTTCTATTTTGTTTCTAAGGCTGGGATACGTTCTTGATGTGCGAACAGAACACTCTGCTGCCCTTTGCAATTTACGCCTGGTTGAAGTTTCTCACATCATAGCCTATCTTCATCAGAGATCTGTGTTTCCCAGGAAGAAACGCAGACATGCCTTCAAATGTGCTGATCCCAGGGCACTAGGGGACGTTCAGGATCACAGCTGGCCCCCAAGTCAGGAAATACCATCTGGGCCCTGTCCACTCACTCGGGTTGTTTGACAGGTTCAATCCGTGCTTCTGGTCACTCTAGGCATCCAGAAACCCCTGCAGATTTGCAGAGACCAGAGCTGCCTTTCTCAGCCCAGCTGCACACGCTGCAGGCATTTGCCACCCTGTGCACATGTCTGCAAGCACCTTTCCATGCGGCCGTCTCGCCCACCCTCAGCACTCAGTCCCCAGCTCCGAGGCCTTCCCTGTGTTCCCTGCCCAGCCCACCTTGCCCTCTTCACTTCTTACTCTTGGCAGCCCTTGTCTTTTCTCTCACTTTGGCTACTTAATATATAACACCTTGGACACCTGTGTGTGGATTTTTCTGGCTTTTCTAACTCCAGTATGAATCCCTTCCAGGGCAGGGGCAGAGCCTACAGTTTACAGAACCCCTTGGTTTCCCACAGCACACAGCATCCTACAGTCACAGGTCTTCCTTCTGTGTCATCCACACCAGCCTGGCTCTGGGACCCAAGAAGTGAAATTTGGGAATGAGGCTCCTCAGGGTTGCAGGAAGAACTAGGGGCTGCCTTGGGTCATGAGATTTGTTTGAATGTGTCTGGGGCCGCCTAGCCAGGATTCCTGGGAACTGAAGCCTCATTTGTCCCCAGGATTTATGAGCACGGTCACATTATGGTGACCCTGTGGCAGCGTGTCTGCCATGTGTGGGACCCAGCACCTCCCTCTCTATTCCTCTTTCTGCCTGCATTGTTTCTCCTCTCTTTCCCTCTCCTTAAAAGCTTCTGCTTAATGCCTTCCCTCTGTATTCCTCTCGGCTTTTGCTGCTGTTGGCTTCTCTATTTAGCTCATATTCAGACTTCCTGGGAGAGAAGGTTTGACTGGGTGATCCAGCCGCCATGTGTATAGAAATCTACTGGGCAGAGCTTCATGTCAGACCACCTCCTAGGATGCTGGTCAGCCTGTTGCAGCTACCTTTTTGGTCAGGTGTCCACCTCTGGTCCAACCAGCTGTGATCAGTGTAGCAGGGCCACTGGGGCTGAATCAAGGCAACTGATCCTGGAAAACCCCTCCAAAGCATGGCTGGCCCTGGTGCCCAAGGTCTCATGAGGACACAGAGCAGCCCGCCTTGACCTACAGTGCTTCTCCACCTCCCACTGGGTGAACGACAGATCCAAGATTCCTGAAGGCTCTTCTTTAGGTGACATAGCTATCAGTAGTCATCAAAGGCTGACTCAAATCTGCACAGTAACAAGATTCTGTACATTGTAGATAGCTTTCCATCACTGCCCATTCTTTAACTGTTCCTAATGCACTCTTCCAACTTAGCGTTTCATTAATCCAGTGGAAATGTCTTCCTTCTCTTTCATTCATTCATTCAAACAATCACTTATCAAGAATGCATTGAGGAATTATCATATGTCAGGCATCGTACTAGGGCCTGAGGACACACAGATCAAGAAAGCACAGCTTCTATCTTCAAAGACCCCGAGATAGGGTGAAGGAGCTTACACTACATTGGTTTGTGATGAGTTCATCATTCTCCCTTCTGGTAAGAGTGTGGGAATGTTGTGAAAGCTGGCACAATCATACATAGAAACTAAGTACAAAGTGCCCGGATCACTTTTGGTCAGGACCCTCCTGTGATACCATAAACATCACATTTAGAGGGGGAACTCACCCTCAGAGTTGGAGCATCCCGGGACAACTGAGTTTCTTACAGCCTCGCAGTCTGCTCATACTTCTCATGCCTCAGCAAGTACATTCCTCTAAACACAGGAATGTTGAACCTTGCACTTCATTCCCAGGGTGCTCTTACGTATGAGTGTGAAAATAGGCACATAATACTGATAACAATAAGCGTCCCACCTCCCGTTTGCTCTCCCTGGTCCCAGTGTTAGCACACAGAGGGATGGGAATGAGCCCATGCTCCTTAGCAGGTCAGCAGGTAACACTCTCCATGTTTTGCTACTAAAATGCTCAGCAGTCCAGGGCAGTGCATGCTACAGCCACATCGTGAATTATTTTAGGCATAAAATATTCCAGTGAGAGATTGGAAAATTAGCAGATTCTCATGAGATTAGGGGCAAAGGCTACTGCATTTCTCTCTCTGTGTGTGTGGCCCTCTCTTGCTTTCTCTTGGCCCTGCTTAAGCAAAAAAATAAAAATCAGTCCATTCCTTCAGCACCCTCAAAAATATTCCCTACTTCATTGTTTAGTGGTTTATTCAAAAAGACATCATGGAACTCAAATACATTTGAGATTCTCTCATTTCAGAGGCCTTGTAGTTTGTGTAGTAAATTTTGTTTACCTTAACATATAACAAAGGTTTTTTGAGTGTGTAACCAGATAGCAATTTCAGGTAGGCTCCCATTCTTACCAAGTTTTAGCTTCTAATAATAATATTGCATTTTTTATTATTATACTTTAAGTTGTGGGATACCTGCGCAGAACATGCAGGTTTGTTACATAGGTATACATGTGCCATGGTGGTTTGCTGCACCCATCAACCCGTCATCTACATTAGGTATTTCTCCTAATGCTCTCCCTCCCCTAGCCCCCCACCCTAGACAGGCCCTGGAGTGTGATGTTCCCCTCCCTGTGTCCCCATGTGTTCTCATTGTTCAACTCCCACTTATGAGAGAGAACATGTGGTGTTTGGTTTTCTGTTCCTGTGTTAGTTTGCTGAGGATGGTGGTTTCCAACTTCATCCATGTCCCTGCAAAGGACATGAACTTATCCTTTTTATGGCTGCATAGTATTCCATGGTGTATATCTGCCACATTTTCTTTATCCGGTCTATCATTGATGGGCGTTTAGGTTGGTTCCAAGTCTTTGCTGTTGTGAATAGTGCTGCAATAAATATGTGTGTGCATGTGTCTTTATAGTAGAATGATTTATAATCCTTTGGGTATATACCCAGTAATGGGATTGCTGGGTCAAATGGTATTTCTAGTTCTAGATCTTTGAGGAATCGCCACACTGTCTTCCACAATGGCTGAACTAATTTACACTGCCACCAACAGTGTAAAAGCGTTCCTGTTTCTCCACATCCTCTCCAGCATCCGTTGTTTCCTGACTTTTTAATGATTGCCATTCTAACTGGTGTAAGATGATATCTCATTGTGGTTTTGATTTGCATTTCTCTAATGACCAGTGATGATGAGCTTTTTTTCATATGTTTGTTGGCTGCATAAATGTCTTCTTTTGATGTGGCTTTATGCTCTGCTACCAAAAAAGCAGCAAGCATTTTTTTTTAAATGCCTTTAATCCAAATGTTTTATCCTGCAGATAAAGGTTCAGGTCTGTGACTTTTTAGCCCAGCTCTGACCTCTCATTAGATGTTTTGCAGATAGTTGGTTTGCACTGGCTTGGAGCTTTCTTGGCGACGGTGCAAGGCAGGCTGCATAGGTATGATTACTGCCCTTTGACGAATGTCTTGAACCCTGGCACTTTGGCTCCAAAAGCAACACCTTGTCCTTCTTTCCATTCAGCCTCAATAGATTATGTCCCTGTGTTAAGTTAGAGGACTTTCCTGAGACCGTTTTTCAACCTCCAATATCTTTTAGATTCAATCCTTAAGCTAATAGGGTAGAAGTTCCTTTGGATCATGACCCCAAACATAACTTTCCTAGCTCCTTGCTAAAATTTTTAACCACAAATGGATAATGTGCCTCAACATGAAGCCCCCTTTACACTGCAGTCTAAATCCTCTTGGAAAGGGTCTGGGACAGCCACAACATAGGCACTTTGTCTCCATGGCAGAGAATGACAGCCGGGCTCCAGGTATGGGTGCAATACAAGTTGCATCTCACACCATCTAGTGACAAATCCAGTCCAGGTGGATTCATTGAGCAGTCCCTATGGGGCTCCCTGCATGGTGCCCCATTCTGTCCACGAGCGGAGGGTGTGTCTTCAGGCTGTGCTGGTGCTTGCCTGGCCTTGCCCACGCGTACTTTATTCTCTACTCACCTATGTCCCAAGCACAGTTGCTTCAGGCTGTGCTACGGGCAAACACCCGGCTTCCTCGAAGTGATGCCAGTGCTACTTCCTTCTGCCCCCTCTGAGCAAAGATGCCCTCGAGACCAGCTAGAAGGAAGTTTGCATACCTGTGGCTGTTACCCCACCTGTCACCTGAAAATGACCCCATGCCCCAGCTCAGAAGTTAGAAATTGACCTATACTGCCTAAAATTAGTGTCTCCCATCAAAAAGTGTGCATGCATAGGTGTGTTTATTATATATAAATATGCACATTGTACACAGATACATACACACATGCATACACATATACATCTAGATGAAATGTGAGCGTTAAATATCTACTGCCTACTCCAGGTTGATAGCTCTATACCTATTAAGACAGCACAGTGCAAAGACCACTCTGGAATGCCTCATATGTAGGTCTCTCCCACGGTTTTGTTCCTGGACTCTTCCCTTGTCATTGCAGCTTCCTGGGCTCCCGAGTTTTGCGGGGATAAAACCTCCGTAGGGCAACTCAGACCCCACTAGGTTTGTCCTTTGTGCTACAAAGCCAAGTATGAATTTGCATAAAGTGAACAAAAAGTAAATTGCAAGCTCCTGGAGCAGCTGTCAAACCTCCACAAAGCCTGTTGGGAATTTAGAGCCAAGGGGAGAAGCGGAAGACCCAGGCAGTTACTGGAAGAACCTGTGGCTTTGAAGCGTTCCACTAAGACTGGGGCTTTTGCTTATGAAGTCTTCCACTTCCTATCACCAGAATCCTTCATATTGCCACATTCCCACTACCACAAAACCAAGCTCTGAGTCAATGGAAAACACTGTTAAGACTTCTAGAGATGGATTCCTAACATCCATTTCTGAACTCTTCTCTCCTCCCATCCACGAACCATGGATCCCAGTCCTCACCCACCCACTCCTACCCTGTTCCAAACACAACTGAAAACTCATCTCTTTTATGAGCTTGCTCTGACAAGTGCAGTTCTGCGGCAATTAACATATTCTTTTAGAAAAATCTTGATGAGCAGAGCAGCTGTGAATCTGCTCACCACCCTCAGGTGCAAGATACATCACAACCCTTAATTTTCCTAGATCCAATTAAACTGGCTCTGAGCACCTGCTGTCCAGGGTTGGAAGTGTTCACGTATCCACCATTATTGAGGGACACCACCCGTACCTGGGGTTGTATAAATGGCCCTAGAAACTTACACTGTCCATAAAACGTGTGGAGGGGTTTCTGGTCTTGCTTCTGACTAAGTCTGCACAACACATTACAAGTCACAAGCCTGTGGGTACATTTCCTCTATATCCAGGAAAGCCATGAGACCATCACTGGGTCTCCAAGGTCTCAGCCCTGTGACTCAGTCTCCAGGCACCCCCATATTACCCTGTGTTAGTTTCCTTATGCAGCTGGAACAAACTACGATAAACTTGGAGGCTTAAACAACACAAATGTATCTGGCAAGTCTGCGGGTTAGAAGTCTAACTCAGGTCTCACTGGGTTAAAATTGTTTTCAGCAGGACTGCATTACTGCTGCACCTTCCAGGGGAGAATCTGTTTCCTTGCCTTTCCATCTTCCAGAGGCCGCCCACAATCCTTGTCTCATGGCCCCCTCCTCCCCCCTCAAAGCCAGCACCATGGGCTGAGTCCTTCTCACATTGCCATCTCTCTCGTTCTCCCTCTCCTGCCTCCCTCTCCCACTTAAAAGGACTCTTGTGATGACACTGGGCTTCCCGGATAATCCAGGATAATCTCCCCAGTTGAAGGTCAGCTGATTAGCAACCTTAACTCCAACTGCAACCTCGATTTTTCTTTGTATAGTGGAACATATTCACAGATTCTGTATATCAGAAAACCCAGCTCACTTCTGCAGGTCTTAGGGGCCCCTCCCTTTCCCTAGTAAGGCCTTTGCCAGCTTTTCCTAATAAAAATCCCAAAGCTTCATCCCTTTGGAGCAATCCAGTGCTTTGCCTACCACAGCCAAGGCTTTGGGAAACCAAAGACCTTTAAAGAACCTCCTCTAAGGCAAGGCATAAATCCCTTCTGGCAAGACACAAATCCCCTTCTGGCCCTCTCCAAAGGGGGCAAAGAAAACAACTGCCCCTTTTGGGGTGGGAAAAAACAGATCATTTCTCAGTCATCCTTCCTACACTTGTGTCTTTGTGTCTGCTGAACCCTGGCAGGGCGTCTTTTCCTCTGCCTCCATTCCCCTTCCTCTCTTCATGCATGTGTGGGCCTGGGACCACATCCTGTACTTCTGGAAGCTTCCAGCAGGGCTCACACAGTGCTCTGCACACACATTCAAGTGTTCCACTGATCTTGCACCTTATGAACAAGGCTCCAAAAGTCAGCAAAAATATCAGCGAATATAAGGCTTTGCCATCAATTCTAGTAGCTGGAGCACTTAAAACTTTTGCTTGGGATTTATTTGGATGGAATGCTAGAGCTCAAAAGAAAAAATCCACTGAGCAGTCAGAGTGGATAAAGGACAATTTACAGAGTATGTAGAAGTTATAGACTCCCATTCCAAATGGTCAGTCTTAAAGGATCTGAAATTACCTATTCATTTATTCAAGAAAAATTTCTTTAGCTCTTGTTATGTGCCAGGCACTGTCTCAGTGCTGGGTTTAAGGTCGCAGGAGACGTCATGTTGTCTTTTTCTTTTCCACTGTTTAATCAGAGGGGAATTACTCAGAGTCAAGTGAGTATCATGGAGAATACCAGCTTTAGAGGTCAAACACCCTAGGCAAGTTATGGAACTTTCCAGAAACTCCTCTCCCCTATCTTAACAATGGTGATAAAAACGACATTTGTTCACAGCCTTTTGGAGAAGACTGAATTGTATACAGAGCACACTCAGTAAACACCCTCACCTCCCTTCCCCTCTGCCTCAGAGATAGGCCCAAAGCAACCCCAGATCACCAGACAGCTGGAAGAATGAAGGAAGTGGGCTCTCTTGCAACCTCATGATTTGTTACTCTGTTCCCCAGATCTGGATTATCCCTGGGCCTTTGATTTGCTACCTAAGGACTGCCACTCCTGCTTTCCTTAACCCGCTCCCACCTCACCCAAGACAGTTAGTCCACCATCTCCCCATTCCCATCTGCTATGGACTGAGTTATGTTCCCCATAAATTCATATGTTGACATCCTAATCCACCATGTGATGGCATTTGGGAGTTGGGGACTTTGAGAGGTAATTGGATCCTAAGGGTAGGGCCCTCAGGATGGAGTCAGCACCCTTATAAGAGAGATCACAGATAGAGTTTGCTGTCTGCCATGTGGGCGTGAATAGGTGGCCTCCTGCAAGCCAGGAAGAGAGCCCTCATTAGGAACAGAACCGGCCGGCACCTTGAGCTTGGGTTTCCCAGCCTTCAGAACTGTGAGAAACAAAAGTTTGTTATTTAAGCCACCAGTTGGTGGTACTTTGTCACGGCTGCCCCAGCGAACACACCGTGATCCTGGAATTGCCTCCGCTGCCCTAGTGGGACGTGTGTGCTCCTGTGTTTTCTTCAAGGCTGTGAGACTTGAGGGCAGGGGCTGCATCTTTATTCACCCCTGTACCCAGCTCTTAGCACAGGATCTGGCACATAGCAGGTGTTCAGTGTGTATAAATTGAATTGAACGGGAATCTGCCTACTCCTGTTTTGTTTACCTTTGCTGCCGTAACAAATTACTGAAAATTGATTGGACTAATATCACAAATGCATTGACTTAAGATCCTAGAGGTCAGAAGTCCAACAGGAGTCTCACTGGGCTAAAGCCAAGGTGTCATCAGGGCTGTGTTCCTTTCTGGAAGCTCTGGGGGAATCCACTTCCTTTCCTTTCCCAGATTCTACAGGCCACCTGCACTCCTTGGCTCATGGTCCCCTTCCCACATCTTCAAAACCAGCAACCATGGCCAGGCATGATGTCTCACCTCTGTAATCCCAGCATTTGGGGAGGCCAAGGGAGGAGGATTCACTTGCACTGAGGAGTCTGAGACCAGCCTGGGCAACAGAGTAATACCTCATCTCTGCAATAAATATAGAAATAAATAAATAAATAATACATAACAAAACTAGCTGACTATGGTGGTGCACACCTGTGGTCCCAGCTACTCAGAAGGCTGAGGCAGGAGTATCACTTGAGCCTGGGAGGTCAAGGGGCTGCCGTGAGCCCTAATTGCACCACCAAACTCTAGCCTGGGCCACAGCAAGACCCTGTCTGTCAAAAAAAAAAAAAAAAAAAAAAAAAAAAAAAAAAAAAACCAGCAACGTTGGGCTAAGTCCTTCTTATGCTACTATCTCCCTGGTTCCCTCTCTTCTGCTGTCTCCCTCTTCCACTTTTCAGGACCTAGGATAATCTTCCAGCTGACTGACAACCTCCATTCCATCTGGAAGTATAATTTCTCCTTGACATGTAACATGCATATCCACAGTTCCCGGGATCAGGATGTGGGCCTCGTTGGGGCCATTATTCTGCCTACTATATGCCATATAAAGAGGTTTGAAAATAACCTCCATCCTAATTTGTGATTCCTGCAACTCAGTGAAATCCTTACACACCCCCCACTGTTGCCTTCCCTATGACACATACTCCAAATAAGCCTGGTCTCTAGACTTGAATATCTCAGGAACATCTGAAAAACATTGCATAGGAGATAAATTACCAGGCCTGCCAAGCTTCAGTTATTGCTCTCTGATCCTTAGTTCAGCAACTACTTAATCTCCACTTCTCTTACTTGAATTATTACCATCAGTGAAAGATGGTGTTTGGGGACAGGCTGTGGAATAAGGATTCTGCCAGTTTTGTTGCCCTTTTCTCCTCCTCCCAAGAGGACATGGCTTGGTGGGTTGGAAATCCCAGAGGAGACCCGTTCCTAACCTGAGCTTTTCTCTGTCTGGACCTCTCATTCTTTCTGTTTCCAGGGCATTCCAAATCATGTGCATTCCTTCCCAGTCACCTCTCAGCTTATCTCATCTGGAAAAATAGACACCTATACTATCCATTTTTTTTATTTTATTATTATTATACTTTAAGTTTTAGGGTACATGTGCACAATGTGCAGGTTTGTTACATATGTATACATGTGCCATGTTGGTGTGCTGCACCCATTAACTCGTCATTTAGCATTAGGTATATCTCCTAATGCTATCCCTCCCCCCTCCCCCCACCCCACAACAGTCCCCGGTGTGTGATGTTCCTCTTCCTGTGTCCATGTGTTCTCATTGTTCAATTCCCACCTATGAGTGAGAACATGCGGTGTTTGGTTTTTTGTCCTTGCGATATACTATCCATTATTGATAGAGTAGTGTGGCTCCCTTACTGATTTGGGGAAGAGTGAATTTTTCTCCAAAAAGTTCAAAGCATTTTCATGAATATAACATTTCACTCCCCACAAAAATCTTCGTGGGATTATAAATAGGAGGTATGATAATGGAGGCAAAGTGTGTAGAAGTATTATTGACCATATTAAAAAGTAATCGCTGAGGGGTTTTTTTAATGGTGTAAGTGGTTTCCCCATGGAAAGTAGGTGTTTGTATCTCTGTCTAGTACTGTCATAGTCTTTGTTTTTTTAGCTTCTGTAACAGAATACCGCATATTGGGTAATTTATAATGAACAGAAATTTATTTCTCACAATTCTGGAGGCTGCAAGTCTAAGATGGAGGGGCTAGCATCTGGAGAGGGCCTTCTTGCTGCATCATTTCATGACAGAAGGTGGAAGGGTAAGAGAGGGTGAGAGGGAAGAAAGTAAGAGAGGGGCCAAACTCATTCTCTTATGAGGAGCCCACTCTCTCAATAGCAGCATTAATCCATCCGTGAGGGGGGAGCCCTCGTGGCCTAATCACCTCTTAAATGTTCCACCTCTTAGTACCATCACAGTGGCAATTAAATTTCACATGAGTTGTGGAGAAGACAAACATTCAAACCATGGCAGGTACCCAAACAGCAAGCTGACATACAATCAGGGCATCTACAGATATATATGTATCACACACACACATATACACACGCATACACATGCACACACATACATACATATGATTGCATCCACCCAGCACCTCATTTATTCAGGCAATGTCTCCTGAGCCTCCACTATGTCTCAGGTACCATCACAGACACTGGGCTGGGGACAAAATGAGTAAAGCATAGTTGCTTACCTTGAAGATTGAGGGTCTGTCAGGGAAGAGACATGAAAGCCAGCCACTGTCATCCTGTGGGCTAAGTGCTGTCCCAGAGGCAGGCACTGGGTGGTGAGGACAGAAACTAAACATATTGGGAGCTCTCTGGCAGGCTTCCAGGGAAGGGCAAGTCTGAGCTGACTCCTGAGGATTTCGCTAGTCTATGGGGGCTGAGGAAGAGCCTGGGAGACAACAGAGGCAACATGTGGGCACACATCTGCAGGAAGGAGCACAGTCCTTAGAGAATCCTGAGTTCCCCCAAGTGCAGAGAAGAGATGGAAGGTTTGGAAGAAGAGGACACATCATCAGTGGCCCAGAGAGCCTTGCTGGGAGCCTGGACTTGATGAGCAACCACTGAACAATTTAAAGCAGGACAGGAACTGATGGAATCTGAATTAGAGAGAGCCCAATCTGAAGCTCTGTGAGAAATGAAGTGGATGTTGGCAAGACTGGAACAGTGATCTAGATATGGTGACTGCCACAGCAACCCCAGTGAAAACTGATGAGAGGGCTACAGAACGCTTTGTAGAGGATGGCCACTCATGTATGAATGTGTCAATGCACAGAGAGATCTCTGAAAAGATGTTCCTGGAAATGTCAACAATGGTTACCTCTGCTGGCAGGATACAAGGTGTTTTTCTTTTTAATATTTTTCTGGGTTAATTAAAATGTTCTACATGAGTATATACCATCTTTATAATCCAGAACAACAACAACAAAAAAAACAGTTAATTAAAAACTGACCCTGAGATTGAATACAGAAATGGACAGTGGCCAACCACATATAAAAATAGCACTTGGACCCACAGCCTGCAGCCACCTGCCCAGGAAACCAACTGCTTTTCTACAATAAACAACCCAGGAAGCCAGCCTGTTGTAAGTCAGCCTTGCAAGAAACCAGTGACACTCCAGAAAGCTAAACAATAACTTCTGTAACAATTGGCCCAAATGACCAGGACTTGGTTAATAACCAAATTTCCCTGATTTTTGCTCCTACTTCCAACTTAAGGCCAATTGGTAAAAGTCAAATATGCCCCCTCACCAATCACACAGGATGTCCATTTCTAGGTAGCTCACCTGCAGCTTCCCCATGATGACAGTTTCCATCAGGGCATGCCTGAGGCCTTCCCCCTTTTCCAACATGAAGCTTTCTCACTCCCCTGCCTGCCTTTGGGCCGTTACCAAATGCACGTGATGGTCCCTTACTACAGCACGTGTGAATAAATAGCCTCTGTTTTCCTCACTTGGTTGATTTTCACTTATTTCCACAACCCAAAGAGTTCTGGTGCTTTGGGGACAGCAAAGAGGGACCATGAGGAAAGGCTTTTAGGAAAAGGAAGCCACAGGACTTGGCATCTGTTGGCAGTGGGGTGAAAGATGGAGACACAAAGATGCCTCTGGGTGCTGGCTTGGTATCCTGGGCTGGCGTTGGTGCCATGCACAGAGCCCTGCACAGGAGGGGCCACATGGAAAAGGTCTGAGCTGGGGCCTTGCAGAAAAGAAGGAACAATCATCAGGTGATGAGGATGCTTAGAAAAGGAACTCTGTGGAGGCATGGGCAAGGCTAGTCACCAAGAAGGAAAGGAGAGGAACCCAGGGCTGGCAACATCTAGAGCCATCACAACCCTGAGTCTAAAGGGGCCAAGGGAGGAAACCAGACAGAGCTGCAGGAGAGAGGACCACTGAGTGGGACTATGGTTGTAGGAAGAGGAACACAGCCCATTTCAACTCAACCCATCTTAATAGAAAGGTTCCATTCTCCTCCTACTCTTTGATCTCCCACCAGAACCTCTCATGAGCCAAGCCCAACAGGAAGCCAGAGGACATGAGAGACCAGGTACATCCAGAAAGGTCATTCTCCTGGGCTGCAGAGAGAGTCCAGAGGGTGTGGGGGGACTCTTCAGGGACAGATGGAGAATATCTAGTCCAGACAGCATGGGGATAACAATCTCTGTCTTGAAAAAATGTTTATTTTGAGGTTCTTACAGGAAATCCATGTGGAAATATCTTGCAAGCAAGTCAATATGACAGCAAAGAAATTGAGGGAAAGAAAGATCTGACCTGGAGAGCTAGATGAGGAAGTCATCTACATATAGGGAGCGCTTCATCCACAGGAGACCTTTCCCCAAGAAACAGTGAGGGATGAGAAGAAAAAGAGGCTGAAGACAAACCATGGGGTACCCCCAACATTCAAGGGGACAGACAGAAGAGGAAGTCAGGAAAAGTCACTGAGAAGGAGAATTGGTCAGAGATCTAAAGGCAAAAGCTGGAGTGTTTATCAGATTTGCAGTCATGCTTTTTAGCAGCAAAGTCTACTAGTCAATTAGGCAAAGATCTAAACCTAAAGGCATAGGCTCAAACCAAAGCCAAATCATGCTATTCAAGTTTATGGTCCTTGAGCCTCCAGGAACAGGGGAATGGCAGAAGAATGTCAATGAAAAGAGTCAAACTCTGTAAAATATTTGAAGAGATTTATTCTGAGCCAAATATGAGTGACACAGCCCTCAGGAGGTCCTGAGAACATGTATGTGCCCAAGGTGGTCAGGGTGCAGCTTGGTTTGATACATTTTAGGGAGACATGAGACTTCAATCAAATACATTTCAGAAATACATTGGTTCAGTCCAGAAAGGCGGGACAACTCAAAGGAGGGGGGTTGTTAGTTCCAGTTTATAGGTAGATTTAGAATGTTTTCTAGTCGACAATGGGTTGAGTTTATCTAAAGACCTGGGATCAATAGAAAGGTAATGTCTAGGTTGCGATAAGAGATGTGGAGACCAAAGTTTTATCATGCAGCTGAAGCCTCCAGGTTGCAGGCTTCAGAGAGAGTAGATTGTAACCGATTCTTATCAGACTTCGGGTCTGTGTTGATGTTAATGCCAGAGAGGTATAATAAGGCGTGTCCAATCCCCACTTACCATAATGGCCTGAACCAGTCTCTCAGGTTAAATTTTAGGAGAGCCCTGGCCAAGGAAGAAGTCCACTCAGATGGTTGGGGGGCGTTCAAATTTTGTTTTTGGTTTACAAGAGCTACTGGTTTGTAGTAGTGCTGGGCACAGCATTTGCACTTCCTTGGGCACACGTTTTAAAATAGTCCCAGTGAGCTTCCTCCACAAGCCACACTGGAGTCATGGGCTTAGCAGGAAAGAACAGGGAGACTGGCAATGTTGCCACAGGTGCTTCAAAGCTGGGACCATGATTCATTTCTTCAGCCCTGGATAACAACACCTGATCTTTTTTTTTTTCAAACCTAAAGAATTGTTCATGAACCAAAATTTTTAAATAAATAAATAAAATGAATATTTACCCAAGCCAATGGTACACTGCCCTCTCCCAGTTCACTTTTCCCATTTGTAAATGCCCGTTTTTCCAGGAGCTTTTCTCCCTCTCTCCCTCCTCACCCCATCATGCATGGCATCAACATAAGATACTGTCAATGTCAAGCTTCTCCAATCAGGCACAAATTGGGTTATTAGTGGTGTGCAGAAAGCTGACACGAGCTTGCATAGCACTCAAAAAAATGAAAAACAATTGAACCAGCGGGCTAAAGTAGCCACAGCTCCCAAACTAGGAGGGAACATATTTACACACGTTTATCAGCAATTCCCCAACCATTTTTTGATTAGTTGTGTTCAATACCCCTTATTATATCACATTATGAACTCTTATTAATTTTTTCCCAATTACAGAGCCCTCAGCTCCTTCCACATCAAAAGGTTAAACCCCCCTAATAAGCAGCCCTTTTCTTCTGACTTAAGCCAACCAAGGGACTGCCTTTTGCATCAATTTTATTCCCAACATGCTAAGAGCTGGCGTTCCTCAGTACTGGATGTTCTGTAACAGCCCTGCCCAGTGGAAATATAATGCCAGCCACCTGCATAATCTTAAATTCTATAATATGAACCTTTGAAAGGAAAAAAGAAATAGGTGAAATTAAAATAATGATATATTTTATTTCACCCACTATATCCAGATATTAAAAGCTCAACATGTAATTGGTATGACAATTATTAATGGGATAGTTTACTTTTACATTATTACTCTTCAAAAATCCCCTGTGTGTTTAACACTTACTGCACATCTCTATTCAGACCAGGCAAATTTCAGGCTGGTAGCTGCTGTATTGGCCAGCACAGGTCTGCAAGAGACAAGCAGCTTTCTCTCTTCTCCTCTGGTGACTGACACAGGATTCTCTCTGCCGAAGTTACTCATTTTTTCCAGATAACCTTACCCTTCAGCCCATCCAAAGAGGAATTTGCAGATTAAAGAGGATGTTTTTGTTTGTATGTATCAAAAAGTTATTAGGGAGTATTGGTGCTAGAAGGAGAATTATCCAGCACTTAATCCATCTTACTGTGTTTTCAACAGCATTATCCAAGTCAATGCAGGGCCCATTAAAAACAAACACACAAACCAAATCTCTTCTGGTCCAGCTGAGAATATGTTTAAAGAACATTTCTTGGGGCTCAGGGAAAGGGGTATAAATAGAAATGTTAGCACTAAGACTGGGAGCACCAGCATCTTTGAATTTATGATATGAGCCAAAAGTTTGCAAAACTGGGTAAAACATGACTTCTCAAGGACACATCATTCGCAAATGTTGAGTTCTGCAGGCAAGGCAAAGTCGAGACAAGAGTGCAGATTTCTACTTTTCCCTAAAAAAGAGCAGATGTGATTACTTTAGTGTATGTACTTGCGTTGAGAATTCAGTCAAGTAACTTTAAAGAAATCAAATAAACCTTTGCTGGAGAAGGCAAGAATAATTCAGGGGAGGCACAGCAAAGCACACAGGCTTTGCCAATGGGCCCCAGGGGGGAGAAGCATGGAAGCAGGAGAAAATGTAATTTTAAAAGGACTATATCCCAAGTGCATGAAACCCAAACAGCATTGCAGTAGACAAGCCACAGGGCAGGGAAGTACAGGCCGTTTGTAATCTATGAGCTATTAATAAGTCATCCCCAGGAGACACAGAACACCAAATGGGGAACCATAGTTGGCCCCCAGGGCTGCCTGTCTCCATGGCCCATGCTGGCTGTCTGTGTGAGCCGAGACTCAAAAGTGCTCAAAATCTCACTGTTAAAAAAGAGTGTGAGCATTAAACAAATACAGCCCTGGAAAGTATGAGAAACCACTGTCCTGAAACCCATCATTCCACCTTGGCTTCCTGGAGAGCTGGCCAGGTGCAGAGCATGGTTTGACCCCAGGGAGAAGCCCAGAGTTTTCATGCTGTCTACCAAAAAGGCATCTCAATGGCAAATCCTTCTATCTCCTTCCAAGTTCATTCACTGTGGCCTTAAAATATACTCTACAAACATAGAACCAGAATGTCTTTGGGTTCCTAGACGGGGCCACTGCAGGGTTATACAAGATCATCGGGCAGGAATCTGCCCCCTTCTGTGCAGCAACTGTCCCAAACCAGAGTACATGGCTTGGTGAGCAGAGAATCAGCAGGGAGACTTTGTGACTCAGACTCTGTCCCCAGAAACCCTGTCCCCAGACACCACTCAGGCCTCACCCTAAATAGACTATGACTGGGCAGAAGGGAATCAAGTCCTCTTTCCGGATATTTTCCTTCCAGGATGGAAGACTTGACTGCAGATCAATTATGATCAGAGCTGCCTAAAGATATCGCAAGGTTATTGCTAGGAAAACTTTTCCTTTTAGCAAGATGATCCTGGAAAAATAAACAAACAAACGCCAACAGAGAAATCGCCCTCTTGACTTTCGTTCTGCTTCACTTTACAAATGCAGCTAATTTTGCAAGAGAAACACTGCCACCCAAGCTGAGAGAAAAAGGAAAATGCAAATATTTCCACTGTCTGATGAAAATCCACCAAGTAGTTCAGGTTAAAGTAGGAATCACCTCAAGGAATAAATGACTGATAAGCACAAATCCAGTTTACTTCTGGCCACTCTGACCCCTAATGAGACGTACTCCTGTAGCACATATACCCAGAGAGAGGCAATATGAAACAGGTCTTCTCTTGCCATCGGGCACTGATGCACAGTGAGGACCTCAGAGAAAAAACAAGCTGTGCTGTGTAAAGAAGCTCTGCAGATCCCCCCGTAACATATCAGTACAACACAGGAAAAGAACATCACACAATAAAAGAGAAAGTCCAATCTCACAAAAGGAAAAGCATCGTGCCCCCAACGTAATTTGTTAGGAAACTCATGTCAGGAGAAAAATCACATTGTCCCCCAGTCAACTGCAACAGCCCAGCGCAGCAACTCGTGTCTAAGTTGCATAAAAGTATTATTAAGGACGGTGCCTCCAGGAGGGTGACCGTGAAATGCTGAAGTCAGTTGGAGCTCATAGGCATTCATCACAGTCACCAGGTATTAATGGCTTGCCAGATGTTCCAACCTGGCCTCAAGCATGGTTGTCAGCGCTGCAGGCTGCAGAGGTGAACAGTACCTTAACAGGGCTGGGATGTAGGCTGCCCAGGCTCATGGAGGAGTCCCCTGCATTGTGCCTCCCTCTCTCCATCTCCCCATCGGGACACTGGCCCTGGATGGACATGCCACCATGCTTTATCTCTCAGATGTCTACCCTGCACACCCCTGGTTCTCAGGCTTAGGCAGATGAAGACACATGACCTTCCAGAGGTGTTGGACTTCTAGAGTTTTACCATCAAAAGCAACTTCTCTTTTCTCAGGTGAAATTAACCATTTACAAGAGTGCATTTCAGAGGCATTTAGTACATTGATGATGTTGTGCAGCCAACAACTCCATCATGTTCCAAAACATTCTCATTACCCCAAAAGGAAAGCCCATGCTCATAAAGCAGTGACTCCCAACTCCAAAACAGTGTTTAAGAGGATGTCTTATTTCATTCCAAAAAAATGTCTCCTACCCCACCCCACCCTCACCCCCAGACTCAGACCAGTTTTAAGCCACAAAAGAACCCTGAGTTCCCCTGGCAGGGATTTGTGTTTTATTGGTCTTTGCATCCCCAGGGCCTAGCACAGGGCTCGGTACACAGGAGGTGCCTGGTAGAAGTTATGGGACCAAAATGGCAGAGATGGGGCTCCAAGCCTGTGCTTGAGCCATCAGGTATGTACGTTTCAGCTCATCTGTTTTGAGCCAAGCCCCTAGGCTGCACTTTACTATAGACTCCACCTGAAGTTCACCCAAGTCTGTGCTACCGAAAAAGTCAGAGCCCGGAGGGGGAGAATTCTCCATTATTCTCAGAGTGCTGACCCCATGTGCTTCCCAATGGCTCATCCCATAGATGGGGCTCCATACCCCAGGCTCTCTTCCCTTAGGAAACCTTTCAAGGAAGGCCGTTTGATTGTGTTTCTTTCTCCCCTAATAATTCTCCCCAGCTCTGCCCCAGCTGCCACTGCCACTGCCACAGCTGCCGTAGAGGTGGGAGCTGTGCCTTCAGCATCCTCCAAGTGGCTGCTCCAGGCCTCATTCAGAGCAGGTGTCCCTGTGTCCTCTGCCTCCAGCTGTGGGTTTCCACCAAGCAAAGTCACAGGCTTTACACACCCCTTCCTCCCACAGCCCATACACATCACTCTCAAGGGAAGGTCAGGGGGCTTGCATGGAGTCTATGGGGTGGAGCCCAATGTGGATACTACACTGGCCCTGGCCCCGACCTCCCTAGTTGCCAAGTCATCATTCACCAAGCTGAGAGCTTCAGTGAGAAGGGCTGGAGGAGGGATAAATGCAGAACACATTCAGAGCCTACAGTGCTGAGGTTTGGGGGCTTCCTGGCAGCTGGAGGAGCAGCACCGCACTCGAATATGGAATGATTCCATTTGCAAACCCATAGGGAAAAACTGGAGTGGGTGAAGGTGAAAGCGCCGTGGGTGGTCTGTAGGTAATCCCAGCCTCAGGCTGTCCCCGTTTCTGGTGATAGGATTCTATTTTAGAACCTTTACTTTCATCTTACCCTCTGAGTCTAGCAACAGAGTCTAAGCTAACCTCCCATTGTGTCAGAGAATCTTCCTCTGTTTGGGTAATATGTCACTCTCCTTTTTGCTTGTTGCTGGTTGACTGAGTCATGTCTCTTTCTACTGAGGCAAGGGGAAGGGAGCGGGAGTCGGTGCACGCTGAGGACAATAGGGGATGCTGACAGTGAATGCTTGGGCTGACAGCTTTGGGCTGTGTCAGGTGGAAACGGGGACATGCTGGGCTGGCCCTGAGCGAATCGTGAAGAAGGCATAGTGGGGGTGTGCCCATCTCCAACGTTCCTGTCATTCATTCCAGGAGCCGCCAAACCAAATATCAAATACGTTCCACAGAACCAAGATGTGCGTAGGTTATCCTAAGCTCAAATGAGTTTGGGAAAGCACATTTAAGCAATTATATATATCAATCATAGGATTTCTCAGAGCCCTTAATAGGCTCACTTGTTCTAGAACTCTCCAAGAGGGAGACAGAGTGGGCAACCTTTCCCAAACCTGCATCCCTTTATTTCCCTTCCATGTCACCCCCTCCTTCCCACCACCTTCCAGCAAAATAGGATCCCTTCACCCCCACTGCAAGGATGTAGGACTTGTTTCAGTGGAGGTGCTGCAGTGAGCTCGTATCAGCTCATGACAGCTGATCGTTAAATAGCGGGAATGTTGTGAGCTGGTCAACAGGTGATAGTTTGCAGTCAGCCATGGTGGGAGCTTGTACACCACAAAAATTGACAAATGCTACAAATTGAGGCTTTTTGTTAAGACAGATCAATTTATAGAGGCTTCCTGGGATTGGAGGGGGCCCACTGGATCCAAGAACTCCTCGCTGGTGCTCTCTCCGCTATAGAACCCTTAGACTGGGCTCTCCTCTGTACAACATTTTAGGGTCTGCACAATCTCCACTTTGCACAAACTAGTAGAGCAGAGATCCATGCACAAAGTCACAAGCCCCTCAATTCCTCCCCCGTGGGAGCATCTTCAAGCCACCCCTACCAGGAAAAAAACCAGCTGGTTTCTCCCCGCTAGTGAAGTCATTTTGAGAAGAAAAATGATATTCCTAGAACCTGACACAATAGAAAGGTAGGAGCCCACATCTACTGTAAAGATTTCAACCTCCGTCTTCTGGTACCTCAAAGCCTCAGGGTACACAACAGGATGACTCAAACAAATTGAGAAAAACACTTAAAATGCAAGAGACCTGCTGATAATGAAGCTGGCAGGACTGAACATCTTCTCATTCAGCTAAGGCTAAATGGAAACTGGTGGCCTGCTTCAATCCAGGGCCATTTTGAAGAACATGCATGTGCCTGGTTCACAGGAAACCAAGTTGTCTGAGAAATGAAGGCAGAGGCTGAGAGAAGAACTACACCTACATGTCTGACCCATGGAGGAAAAGAATCATTTTCTTCTCTGAAACCTGGGGAAATGCAACACTCACAAAACACAGTCGTGTATGTGACCATACAGGGAGACATTGCGCTCCCATCAACCGAAACCTGCCTTATGAAACCTTTTAACTAAAATTATTTCATTTGCTTTCTAGAAAAAGGACATGCAATTTATTCAATGCATCAGACCATTCAAAGACACATCAAGCTTTCTTTTAAAAGAAATTTCTTATTTTATCCTAAAAAACCCTAAAAAAGTGAATATTTTTCAGGGTAGAAGTTGGTAGCATAAGCTGTTGACCAACAGTCCCTAGAAGAAAGATGCTGAGATGCGGAGATGTTTGGCCACTGGCCAAAGAACAGGTACCAAGTGATTATCTGAGGACCTGAGTCTTTGAAACCCCAAATCTAGTTAGTGCATGTCTCCTCCACAAAACCCAGGCAAAGGAAATGCCCATCTCCGAGAGCTCAAATAAAACATGGCAATGATTACAGAGAGCAGACTCCTCTTCAAAAGACCCCCGAAATACCAACGGCAGATTTCTCCAGAACAACACAGATGCAATGAAGTGCAAAACATAGGCCTTTTGCATTCCACTCAAGTATCGCCAGGAATTTAAGCCACGTTTAAGTAAAAGTAATTCTATTTTATTGATGCAGGAATTAGTATAATCACTGAAATACATCCAGAGGGTGCAGCCTTTATAGGAAAAGAGGAAGTCAGCATTAATTTGTTCAAAATGCTAACACTTAACTGCAAGCACAAAGTTAAACAACAGGACGTCTATAGAGTGTGCATTAAAGGTGAAGTCAAGAGGGAAAATGATGCAGAGAAATAACAGTTTTCTTGTAGAATTAAACATACCTTGTTAGAGCAGGGAAAATACCCTTGAATGCTTGCTTGCCAGCCCCCCCTTTTCTTGCTGGTACCAGGTGGAGCTACCCAACAGGTGTTGAGTTGTGGGGATCAGTTTGTTCTTAACCCTCAACTATGTGGTCACTGCTCTGGGTGAATTACCTGGGACCCTTTTTTCTCCTTCAAAACCCAGTTTCTGTCATCCCCAGGAGAGGGACAGCAGAGAAAATGAAATTCAATTTTCCACTTGCTAGAATTCTTAAGAGAAGCGGGTTTGTGGGAAGTGGGTTGGAACATCTGTCTAAAATTGGAACTCCGGCTAATGTGAGGGTTTGGATTGACTATTCTTTCCTCTGTCGTGAGAACCCATGACGTGGTGGAATCAAAGCAAATCCAAATCGGTCTTGCCCCAGAAAATTGACGAGGAAACGTCCTGCCCATCAGTCATGCAGAGACTAGTTCTTCCGAAATAGCTTCCCCGTTCCTCACTCTAAAGCTCACCAGACCTTTTTAGAAGATTTGGCTTTCCACAATTCTGGAATCTAAGAGAGGGCGACTTGTGTCTTAACTGGAGTGGGAAAACCAAGCAATCACTTTCTCGCTTCTCTCTGCCCCTCTTCAAGACTGAAAAGTCTGATCTAATTTATGGACACTCCAGGATAGGTGACCACAATCCATTGGAAAGACTGGAACAACTGTCACATTCTGAGCAGGGGTGACCAGTCTGGCCAGCCCCACACACCCTGCTGTGCCTGGCATTGTGTCTCTCAGACAGGGAGGGGCCCATCTTCTCTCTGAGGGCAACGCTTTGACCTTCATTCTGTTTCTTCCCAATCCCTGGGAGATCTTGTTCTTGCTTTCCCTCTAGAATGTCCCACTGCTTCATTTCTACTGGTTGCTTCCCCTCCCTCGTTTGGAAAACTAGGTGTCATGCTTGTTTTCCCCAGCCACGCTGCCATCTCCCTTCCTCATCTAAGATGAGTGTGTCTTGCAGCTTCAGCCATCATCACCCTCTGTCCCTGCAGTCGAACTTCCATCCTGACCACCCTATTCAGAGTCTCTGGGAGTTTCCTTCCTTGCTAGGAAGGGCCTCTCCCTTGCTGAATGCACCACCTTGGCCTCCTCATCCTGGACTCTTCTTATCAGCAGAGCCCCCTCATTTCCACTAACTCCTCCGCCTTCTCACTGCCTGCACCCTCTGCTCCTCCTGAGCACTATCTGTGGATGCTTCCTGAAGTATCTGGTGGTCTCGATTCTTGATTGTTGCTCTATACTCTCATCCTCTGAGACAGCCCATCTGTCTGCTCAGCACCCTTGGGTGTTTCATGCTTCTGTGCTGTTTGGTTAATAAAAAGTACCCTAGACTTAGAGCAATCACCCAAGACCAAACCCAATTGCAGCTGTGTAACCTTGGGCAAGGTAGCCAGCCTCTCTCAGATCAATGATGCTGCCTACCACACAGATTTATTAAGGGGAGGGAATAAAGCTGAAAACAGATGTGAAGCTACAAAGCTCAATGCCGGCACATAGTAGGTGTTCAATAAATGTTCATCCTATTCCCTAGCTGCGAGTTCCCCTTCCCAACTTATGATTTTGTAAGACACCAGGATCTTCCCACTTACCAGATCTTAATCTGCCATCAAATCTTAGAAAGTCTTTTTTTCTCTATTAGCCTTATCCCTTCTCCTCCATCCCCAGCATCCTCTCTCTAGTGTTGACCCATATCCCAAACACAAGCCCCTTAAATCTTTCACTCCATTATTTCCACTTCTTCTGCTCCACTGGGGTAATTTACTCTATTAACACAGGAGTGAGGCAAGATTCTTCTTGTTGCCACTTTTTCTCACCTTGTACACACATGCAGGCACACAAACACACACACACACACACACACACACACTTCTCTCATCTATCTGCAATGGCAGAAAGGAAAGAAGACAAGCTTCAGAATGGGACCAACTTGATGGAGGGTTCAATCTCCTATCCCCACCGAATATTAGACATGTAAGCTTCAGCAAGTGACTGAACCTTATGCACCTCCACTGCCTCATCTGTAAGACGGGTCAATACTCCCCCTGTGGGCTGTTGTGCCCTGCCCAGTACTTGGCACATAATAGATATTCAGTAAGGGTTGGCTTTTTCCCTTTCACACATCAGAGCCACAATAATTTCCCACCTCCTTTGTGATGCCTTTGCCAATTAGTCCAGCCACCGTTGGCCTCTGTCTCTGATGCACTAGAACATTCTTGGCCTCTTGTCCACAGTGTAGAATGCAACTGCACATTGATATGGGGCACTATGCAGGTTTTGTGTTACCAAGCAGGCTCTTAGCTTCCAGATGGGTCTGCCCATCTGTTTCTTAGATTATTTCTGGATTTCCCACAGTTTCCAGGACAATGTTGAGCTTATAAAAATAGTGATTATTGTAGTTACAAATTGTGTACCTTCTTCGACCCAGACACTATCATAATTGCTGTCATTTGTTCAATGGCTGCTGTGGACCAGGTGCCATCCTTGCAGGATTTTTTTCTTTCTCACAGTAACTCTTCAAGGTAGGTCTTATTATTTTCATTATGCAGTTGAGGAAACAGACTCTGAGGCAGAAGTGGCCTGAACAAATACTTGCAGATTGGAGTTGGGAGAACTGGATTCCAACCCAGGCCCACCAGGCACTATAGCCAAGCACCTTGTCACCAGGCTCCCAAAGTTCATTATGTCATTTCATTCTCCCAGCAACCCAGCAAGGTGGACATTTCACCCTATTTTGCATATGAAGACTTAAGGCTGCGGGTCCCTTGGCTGGTGGGCAGCAGAGCTGGGATTCCCCAGGACTGGCTGTCTCCAAGCTCCACACTGGAAGAATCAGGAGCAATAGATTTCTTCTTGCTCTCAGAAGGAAACCACCAACTCCACAGTCCCTGGGCAAGACAATAGCCTGAAGCAGCCACTGCTTCAGGGAAACACAGAAGGAGGAACGGACAGCCTAGGATCCCAAGGTCTGGGAGCTCACTCCAGCTCTGCCTCCTGGCAAATCTGTTGGCTTCCCTGGGCCTCACTTTCTTCATGTGTTCATCTAAAAAAAAGGAGGATGAAGTAAATGACATCTGAGGTTGCAGGACTGCTGCTAGCCCATACAGTGCCTTTGTGCAAATTACCACAGGTGCCCTTTCCTCTGGGTGGACTCAGCCCTATGAACGGGCATGTGTCTTGGCAGGGGAAGCATTGACTAGGTTTCCACCCTCTTTCTCCCCTCATCTGGGCATCTTTGTTAGCGGACAACCTATATCGCTGTACATGATGGTCATGACAGGTTCTTAATGGTTCTAACTAACTGTAGACAGTCCTGATTCTTGAAATCGCTTTAAAGAAGAATCAGGGGCTGGGCATGGTGGCTCACGCCTATAATGCCAACATTTTGGGAGGTTGAGGTGGGTGAATCGCTTGAGCTCAGGAGTTCACGACCAGCCTGAGCATCATGGCAAGACCCTGTCTCTACAAAAAGTACAAAAATTAGCTAGGCATGGTGGCCCGTGCCTATAGTCCCAGCTACTTAGGGGGCTGAGGTGGGAGGATTGCTTGGGCCCAGAAGGTTGAGGCTACAGTGAGCTGTGATCGCACCACTGCACTCCAGCCTGGGTGACAGAGTGAGACCCTGCCCCCCCCCCCAAAAAGAAGAAGAATCAGGGTATTGAATATCTGTCTCCTTTATCCAGCCCAGAGTGACGTGGCGTTTATCTCCTTTAAGCAATGAAATTGCACATTTTACCCAGCCATATGCCATGGGCAGCCAACATCAGTGTTTTGACCTTGCAGTGGGTACTAGACATTCTAAATTTAAATTCACATTGTGGGGTCCCCAAGCTAAAATGCTAATAGGACCCTTTACCCTTTAGAAGCTGTCACCAGGTCCTCATGGGATGTAGGATCTGTTCTACCACATACACCTATGACTTCAAACTTTCTGGTCTGTCTGGAATTCTGATTAGAATAGTCTCCCCTAGTCACAACAGCTCAAGGGACACAGCAAATCAAAACCAGCTCACCTTCACATGACAACACAGACACAAATGACAAGTGTTATCACCAGTCGCTGATGGGCAAGACTTCAGATAAGGACTTATGCCAAAGGATAAACATCAGGGCAAGGGACCAAAAGGAAACTACTGATTTTGAACTTCTGGTTCCACTTGTAACTACAGCTCTGAATTATCTCTCACATGTGTCTAGGTCATAAAATGGAAGCGTCTCTCTCCATACGCTTTTCTCTACATCTGCTTTGCAATTCAAACATATATATATATACACACACACACACACACATACCTACCCAGAGGCATCACTAACTAGTAACTGGTTATAAATCCAAGATCGCAGGAATCAATATGATGGCAAAATCCCACCATTTTTCAGTCTGGAGCTATAGCATCGTAGCTCTTTGTAAGCTCTTCCTGCAATGAGACAAGAATGCAGTCACAAGCTGATCTCTCATTTTAAATATATTTATGCTTTCTGTGTTTAAGCACAATCTCCTTTTCATTGTGGTAAAATATACCTAACATAAAATTTATCATTTTAACGATTCTTAAAGCGCACACTTCAATGATACATTCAAGGTAAATGGAAATACCATCCATTTCCAGAACTCTTCATCTTCCCAAACAGAAACTGTCCCCATTACACATTAACTCCCCAATCCCCCTGCTCCAGCCCCTGGCAATCACCATTCTGCTTTGTCTCTATGAATTTGGCTATTCTAGGAACCTCACGTAAGTGAAATCATATAGTACTTGTCCTTTCGTGTCTGGCTTATTTCACTGAGCATAATGTCCTCAAGCTTCACCCATGTGGGAGCATGTGTTAGAATTTTCTTCCTTTTCAAGGCTGAATAATACTCCACTGTATGGATAGAACACATTTTGTTTATCCATTTTTCTGTTGATGGACACTCGAATTGCTACCACCTTTTGGCCACTGTGAATAACGCTGCTATGAACATGGATATACAAATACTCATTTATATATGCCTTTCTTGACCAGTCAAGATGCAGAAGGCTTTGCTTGATCTGTGATTATGCTGAGTTCAGTTTGTTGTTGTTGTTGTTGTTGCTAGATGCAGATTCAATTCAATGAATCAACTGAAATAGAGCATTCTTGAAATTCACACTCAAAAATGAGCCAGTTTGAGGCTTGTTTGTGATACAAACCCTAAGAGAACTGTCTCCAAGGTTCTGTTTCTCCCCCATCTTTCTCCGTTCCTCCCAAATATTCGCCACCACTCTGGGATGAAGTTCATCACTTTTTCCATTTGAGCCTACCCTCCTACCAGAGGTCTCAGCAGCATTTTGTCTTGACTTCTATTCTATCAAACACCCGACTATCCCTCTTCCTTATAACCGGCTCTCCCTCTTCCTTATAACATCAACCTAAACCCTTTTGGCTCCTTCTCAACATGTAAAAGTATTCAAAACTCCCCCAGTTCACATATACACCCATGACACATGTGCACACATGCACACACATCCATGCACACACACACACACACGTGAGTCCTCACTCCATTCAGCTCCCCTCCAGCTCTCTCTGCCTTTAAATACTTCATCTACACTCACCGTCCCTCACTCCCTCACAGGTGAGTCACTCCTTAACCCACTGCAATCTGCCTTAGACCCCACCACTCCACCAACACCACCATCACCAAAGTCACCCCTACTATTAGTTTCCAGGGGTTGCCATAACAAATACCATGAACTGGGCAGCTTAAAACAAAAGAGACTTATCCTCTCATAATCTAGAGGTCAGAGTCCAAAGTCGAGGTGTCAGCAGGCCACCCTCCCTCCAAAAGCTCAAAGGGAGAATCTTTCCTTGCCTCTTCCAGCTTCTGTTGGCTCCGGGTGTTCCTTGGCTTGAGACCACATCTCTGCAGTCTCTGCCTCTGTCTTTATCTGGCTGCTTCTCCATGTCCCTGTGAATTCTGCTCGTCTCTTATGAGGACATCTAATTGGACTTAGAGCCCACCTTAATTCCATATGATCATATATTGACCCCTACCTTATTTATATCTGCAAAGACCCTATTTCCATATAAGGTCACCTTCTGAGGTTTGGGGTAGATACGAACTTTGGAGGGGAACCCTTCAATCCACAACACTAGTGAATCCCTATTGCCAAGTCCAATGGACAGCTCCCAGTAGCTCTATGCAGCATTTGTTTTGGTTATTCAAAATAGAAATAGATTTATGTTTCCTACTGGTTCTTTAGATGGTAGAAGCATATTAGGGGAAATTTTTAAATAGAAGAATTAAAAGAGAAAGCAAAGACACCCACAGAAACTTACAACTCAGAGATTAATCAAAATTTATACTTTGGAGAACATTCATTCTTTACACACACACATACACACACATTCACAAACATGCACACATTACTGTAAGATGGCAATATTTGCAAAGTAGACCATATGTTTCTTATGCTGCTGCTTCTCTTAATGCTGTGGCATGGACAATTTGCCAGGTCAATAAACATACACCCACTCATTCAATAAATAAGTGCTGTGGCCCTACTCCATGTACCACGTGCTTTTTCCAGGGCCTGAGCTCTAGCAGTGAATAAAACAGAAAGAGATCCCTACACTCCTGGAATGTACCTTCTGACAAGAGCCAACAGACAATTAAAAATGAAAACAATAACATCTACCATATTGGAAGGTGAAAAACACGACAGAAAAAGAAAACAGTAAAACAAGGAAGGATGACCATGAGTACTGGGAGGTAATGGATGAGATTTTAAATGTAAGCCTGGCCAGGTGTGGTGGCTCACACCTGTAATCCCAGCACTTTGGAAGGACGAGGGGGGTGGATCACCTGAGGTCAGGAGTTCAACACCAGCCTGGCCAACATGGTGAAACCCCATCTCTACTAAAAATACAAAAATTAGCCAGGCATGGTGGCATGCACCTGTAGTCCCAGCTACTTGGGAGGCTGAAGCAGGAGAATTGCTTGAACCCGGGAGGCAGAGGTTGCAGTGAGCTGAGTTCACTCCATTGCACCCCAGCCTGGGTGACAAGAGTGAAACTCCATCTCAAAAAAACAAAAAACAAATAAATAAATGCAAGCTTCATTGAAAAGATAATCTTTGCAAAGAGTTGAAGATCCCAAAATGTTGAAAAATAATTTTTAATGACTGCATGGTATTCCATTGATTATATCTGCAGCAGTATGTTTAACCAATGCTCTGGTGATAGACATTTGGGTTGTTTCTGATTTTTCACTATTATAAAAGAGGCTGTACTACATCCCTGCATACAATTTATGAATATTTGTTATGTTAATTCCTTAGAATAAATGACCCTCAATTGTCAGTCCAAGGTGAATTTTCATTTCTAAATTGTGATACCTACTCTTACCCTTCCTTCCGGAAAGACTGTGCTATTACACATAATACATACAAGTATGAAATTACACTTCCTCTCCCAACACACACCTTTCACATACTCATTTGTCATTTATTTAAAATTTTGCGAATCTTAGGGTAACAAAGTTTATCTTATTTGTATTGCTTTCCTTTGCCATGGATGGACAGTCTTTTTATATGTTTTCTAGCTACTTTTTTTAAGACAGAGTCTTGCTCTATTGCCCAGGCTGGAGTTCAGTGGCGTGATCTCGGCTCACTGCAACCTCTGCCTCCCAGGTTCAAGCGATTCTCTTGCCTCAGCCTCCTAAGTAGCTGGGATTACCAGCACGCACCACCATGCCCAGCTAATTTTTGTATTTTTAATAGAGACAGGGTTTCACTATGTTGGCCAGGTTGGTCTGGAACTTCTGATCTCATGATCCATATTCCTTCTATCAGAAACTCCTCATTTATTTCCTTTGACCATTTTTTTCTGTTGGGGTATTTATTGCTTTTGTAAACTGGGAATATATATGTGTCGTGTTGTAAATATTTTTCCTGTTTTTTTAATAGACATTTACAATTTTTACATTGTCAGAAATATTCTTTTAAAATAGTTTCTGGATTTCTGTCATGGTTAAAAAAAGGCCTGCCTAAATCTTAGAATTTTTTTTAAGACATCTTACACTTCTGTAGTTTTATTTTTTGCCTTTAAATCCTTGATCTCTTTAGAATTTATTCTAATAAAAGGAATAAGGAGAAGACTCATCATTTTTTTTCCAGGAGGGCAATCAGTTGTCCCACAGCCTGCAGTGAATAATGCCCTTGAGAAATGCTTCCTCTGCAACTGCTCCAGGTCCAGGTCGCCCTCAGCTCTAGCCCCACACACCTGGTTGCCTACAGGAGAACTCACCTGAATGTCTGCAGATACTTTAAACTGAATATGCCCAAACGAACATGATCCTCTGCCATCCAAAATCCATTCTTCCTGTCTCGACCACCATACTACCCAACCGCCATTGGGTCATTCTCCTGCCCACTCCCCTCCACACTCACTAGTCTCCAACTTAAATCAGTTCTACTTCTTAGCCCCAAATCCACTGCCATCTCTTCACTCCCATGGCTGCCTCCTTATTTCAGCACCTGGCCATTTCTCCTTCCTACAGGCACCCTTCAACAACCGACTGCCCAGTGACTCAAAGCCAGACTGCAGACGCTTCCTGTGTTACCCATGAGCTAAAACCTAGTAATAGTTGTGCGTGTTGTAAGGGTTGTAAAAAGTTTTTTTTTTTAATATGCAACAGAGACCTGTGTTTCCTGAAAGCAACACATTGACTAAGCAAAAGTATTTACCGTCTGGCTCTTTACAGAATGCTTGCCGACCCTTGCATCTAATCTATACTCCATACCACTGCTCTTCAGAGACCTTTCTAAAACACTCAAAATACTCAATCATATCACTCCCCAGTTTAAAAACAATCTCCTTAGTCTAGCACAGAGGACTTCAGGGCCCAGCGTGGGCTTCATCCACCTCTCTTTTCTCATTTCCCATTCCCCTTCATTTCCTCCACGCACACCGCATACCAGCAGTGCAGAATCTGTGCCACTCCCAACCAAAGTTGTTTCATGCCTTTAAAGACTTTTACACATGCTGTTCTTGCTTTTCTTTTTTTTTTTTATTTGTTTTCTATCAGTCAATTTGTATTTTAGATTCAAGGAGTACGTGTGCAGGATTGTTACATGGGCATATTGCTTGATGCTGAGGTTTGGAGTACAGCATTCTGTCACACATTTAGTGAACGTAGTACCAATAGGTTTTCAACCCTTGAGCCCGTCCCTCCTTCTCCCCTCTAGTAGTCCCCAGTGTTTCCCAATGCTATCTTTACATCCATTAATCCTCAGTGTTTAGCTCCTACTCATAAGTGAGAACATACAGTATTTGGTTTTCTGTTCCTGCGTTAATTCACTTGGGATAATGACCTCCACCTACTATGCTGCAAAGGATGTGATTTCATTCTTTTCATGGCTGTGTAGTATTCCATGGTGTATTGTACCACATTTTCTTTAACCAGTCCACCAATGATGGGCACCTAGGTTGATTCCATGTCTTTACTCTTTGTGAATAATGCTGCGATGAACATACAAATGCATGTATCTTCTTGGTAGAAGAATTTATTTTCCTTTAGGAATATATTCAGTAGTGGGATTGCTGGGTTGAATGGCAGCTCTGAGTTCTTTGAGAAATCTCCAAATTGCTTTCCACCGTGGCTAAACTAATTTATATTTCCACCAACAGTATATAAGTTTCCCTTTTCTCCACAGCCTCACAAGCATCTGTTGTTTTTTGACTTTTTAATAATAGCCATTCTGACTGGTGTGAGAAGGTATCTCACTGCGGCTTTCATTTGCATTTCTCTGATGATCGGAGATGTTAAACATTTTTTCATATGTTTGTTGACCACTTGTATGTCTTCTTTTGAGAAGTCTGTTTATGTCTGTTGCCCACTTGTTAATGGGGTTGTTTTTTCCTTGTTAAATTAAATTCCTTTTAGATTTTGGATATTACACCTTAGTCAGATGCAGTTTGCCAATATTATCTCCCATTACCTTGGTTGTCTGTTTACCCTGTTGATAGTTTGTTTTGCTGTACAGAGGCTCTTTAGTTTAATTAGGGCCTGCGTATCAACTTTTGACTTGTTGCAATTGTTTTCAAGGGACGTAGTCATATATTCTTTCCGAAGGCTGATGTCCAGAATGGTGTTTCCTAGGTTTCCTCCTAGGATTCTTATAGTTTGAGGTCTTACATTTAAACTTTTAATCTATATTGAGTTAATCTTTGTATATGGTGAAAGGTAGGGATTGAATTTCATTCTTCTGCACATGGCTAGCCAGCTATCCCAGTACCATTATTAAATAGAAAGTCCTTTCCCCACTGCTTATTTTTGTCAACCTTGTCAAAGATCAGATGGCTATAGGTATGTGGCTTTATTGCTGAGTTCTCTGTTCTGTTGCATTGGTCTATGTGTCTGTTTTTGTACCAGTACCGTGCTGTTTTGGTTACTGTAGCCTTATAGTGTAGTTTGAAGTCAGATAATGTGATGCTTCTGGCTTTGTACTTTTTGCCTACGATTGCTTTAGCTATTCAGGTTTTTTGGTTCCATATGAATTTTAGAACAGTTTTTATAAATCTGTGAAAAATGACATTGGTAGTTTCATAGGAATAGCATTGAATCTGTAGATTGCTTTGGGCAATATGGCTGTTTTAATGATATTGATTCTTCCAGTCCATGAGCATGGGATGTTTTTCCATTTGTGTCATCTCTGATTTCTTTCCACAGTGTTTTGTAGTTCTTGTAGAGATCATTCACCTCCTTGGTTAGATATATTCCTAGGTGTTTTATTTTTGTGTGGCTATGATAAGTGGGATTTTATTCTTGATTCAGCTCTCAGCTTGAACATTATTAGTGTATAGAAATGACACTGATTTTTGTACATTGATTTTTGCATCCTGAAACTCTACCGAAGTTGTTTATCAGTTCCAGGAGCCTTTTGGCAGAGTCTTTAGTATTTTTTAGGTATAGAATCATATTATCAGCAAAGAGAGATCATTTTACTTCTTCTCTTCCTATTTGGATGTACTTTATTTCTTTCCCTTGCCTGATTGCTCTGGCTAGGACTTCCTGTGCTTGCTTTTCAGATGCCCCACCATCCCAGTCTTTGTCCATCAGGAAGCAAGCACATACTCACCATTACCTTGGGCTAACCCATCCTGCTCTACACCCAAGACAAATTGAAATGTAATGTTGCCCATACCCTCCCCAGTGCCCCTTTCTCTGATCTCTGTTTCCACAGTGTTTTAACTTACTTCCAACCGGCGGAAATCTATTTCCAATGAGGCCATGTTGTAGCCTGTATCAGAATTTCCTTCCATATGTTTGTCCTTTTGTGTCTGGTTTATTTCATTTAAATAATGTCTTCAAGGTTCACCCATGTTGTAGCATATATCAGAATCTCCTTCCTTTTTAAGGCTGAGTAATAATCCATTGTATGTACATACCACATTTTGTTTAGCGATTCATTTCTTGACGCAACAGTTGTATTCACCTTTTCACTGCTGTGGAGAATGCTAGTATGAACACTGGTGTGCAAGTATCTGTTTGAGCCCCTGCTTTCAATCCCTTTGGGTTTCCTAGAAGTGCAATTGCTGGATTACATGGTAATTCTATGTTTAACTTTTTGAGGGACTAAGATACTGTTTTTCATAGCAGCTGCACTGTTTTACACTCCCACCAGTGATATACCAGCATTCCAATTTCTCTACATCCTGCCAACACTTGCTATTTTCTTTTTTTAAAATAATAACCATCTAATAGATGTGAAGTGGTATCTCATTATGGCTTTGATTTGCATTTTTCTAATGACTAGCAATGAAGAATTTCTTTTCATTTGTTTATTGGCCATTTGGATATCTTCTTTGGAGAGATGTCTATTCAAGTCCTTTGCCCATTTCTGAATGGGTTGTTTATTTTTTGTTAAGGTGTAAGAGTTCTTTATATATTCTGGATCCCAGTCCCTTATCAGATGTATGACTAGAAAATGTTTTCTCGGCCGGGCGCGGTGGCTCACGCCTGTAATCCCAGCACTTTGGGAGGCCGAGGCGGGTGGATCATGAGGTCAGGAGATCGAGACCATCCTGGCTAACAAGGTGAAACCCCGTCTCTACTAAAAATACAAAAAATTAGCCGGGCGCGGTGGCGGGCGCCTGTAGTCCCAGCTACTCGGGAGGCTGAGGCAGGAGAATGGCGTGAACCCGGGAAGCGGAGCTTGCAGTGAGCCGAGATTGCGCCACTGCAGTCCGCAGTCCGGCCTGGGCGACAGAGCGAGACTCCGTCTCAAAAAAAAAAAAAAAAGAAAAGAAAATGTTTTCTCCCATTCTGTGGGTTGGGGGTGATTTTTGATGAGGAAGAAACCACACTTCTGTGTCACTAAGGGCACTGCCCAAACAACTGACACTTGGTTAAACCCAAGAGAAAGATGACATCTGTCCCGTTCTCCTTAGCTCACTGTGACAGCGCCCCCAGCCCCCAGGCCTCCTGGACACCCTCCTCCTTCAAGGTCCCCTGGACAGTTACAGGGATAGCTGACTCGACTTGTCCTATAGGTTTCACTCCTCAAGTTGCCTCAAACTTGCATACATTCTCATTTTTCCTTCTAATTCATACCCCCAATAAGGACCCTGTAGGGTTTAGTTACGATTTTCTTGGATTCAGGTCAAGCAAATGTCTCAGTTTCTAAATTGTCAGCTGTATGGGATGGGATACCTTCAGATCAAGTGCTTTATCATTATTTAGCTCTTTGTGTGATACATTTCTTAAATCAGGTATCTAGAGTGTCTCGATGTGTTGTTTGGCAATTTGTTTTTTTAATTATAAAAGTAATATAAATGTATTCTAGAAAATTTCAAAAATGTTTGTTTAACAAGAAAATTAAAAGTACTCATGAACCCCCCCACCCAAAATTGCCCTATTAACATTCACATCTGGTGTATTTCCTTCCAATCTTTGACTTTGCAGGTACATTAGAGATCTATCCTGTTTTTCTCAACTAGGTTTTCCCCACGACATTAAAAAGTCTCAAAGTACTTTTTGTATGTTTTCTTGGATACTGGAAGTTTCACCTGCAAAATTCATATACAACTTGAAATGTAAGAAACATCTACTACAGACCAGGGCCACCAGGGGAGGCTTCCCTGCAACAAGAGCTGTACCTGAAATGCAACAACACAATCCCACTGATTCGAGGACAAGGCTCCGCCCAGCTGTGGCTCTGTCATTTATTATTATTTCTTTCAGATTAAATTTCAACATGAGGCTATTTTGTACCTTAGCTAGTTCCATGTAAATTGATAATTTTTCTAAAAGAGAAGGAGAAAGAAACAAAAGAGAGGAGGAGAAAAACTGACCTTCACACAGGCCCACATTTACTCTGAGCCAAAATCCTGAAAAGCTACTCTCAAAGTCAAGTAAATCATCAAAGTTCTCAGCGCCATTCTTTGGGTCCCTTTGCACATTTGTGCAGCATTTCATGGTTAACAGAGGGTGTACCCCCTCTACATTATCCTTGGTGGTAAGAAGTTGCCTGTGTCATCAGCTGTGCAGTAACATGGGAGAAATGTCTGCTCTCCCAACCACAGCTGCAACTTGCCCTACGGAGCAGCTCAAAATGCTCCTGGAGATGCGATTCAGATCCCCCGCTCAAATTCACACCTGGGATTCCGAGAAAGAAAGAAATGTCACAAAATGTGATCACCATTTCCTTCTATATTTACCCTGCAACATCTGCATGCATGCCAGTGAGTGCTGAGCCGCCGCTCCCTGCTCAGACCTGGACTCGCCCTCTCTCCCTAGCCCCATTCCCTGTGATGACTCTGGACACAGCCCTGAGGCTCTGGCCCCTCTTTTGCTCTCACCCACCCCATACCCCACACCCTCTCCTCCTCCTGGCCCCTCGGGGCTCCTCCTTCATCTCTTCTCTCCCAGAACTCTCACATTTCCTTGGCTTTTTTTATTTCTCTCAACTCCATGCCTGTTCATCCCACCAGCTGCCATGATGCAAGGCCCAGCCTTCCCTCCCCATCTCCCCATGGATGCACCTGGCCTGCACCCACGGCCTCACCTGGGAGGGACCCACCGGAGCCACCTTCCAAACACACTACCAGGGAGGTTTGGCTTTTTCTGTTTGTTTTGAAATTTTTGTTGTTTTTTTGTTTCCCATTGTTATTGTATTTTTTTTTTATTATTATACTTTAAGTTCTAGGGTACCTGTGCACAACGTGCAGGTTTGTTACATAGGTATACATGTGCCATGTTGGTGTGCTGCACCCATCAACTTGTCATTTACATTAGGTATTTCTCCTAATACTATCCCTCCCCCAATCCCCCACCCCCTAACAGGCACCGGTGTGTGATGTTCCCCGCCCTGCATCCAAGTGTTCTCATTGTTCAATTCCCACCTATGAGAATATGCAGTGTTTACTTTTTGTTGGTTTTTAAAGGCAATGAAGTAGCATTGCATTACATTTCTTCCCCTAATAACAAACACAAGCATTTAATTAACCCCAGACTAATTCATTACAAACACTAAACCCAGACATTCATCTTCGGCTTTCTTTTCTCTGTCTTTGCTCTTTCCCACAACCATTCCCCCTGACCACTCTTCTATCTGCTTATAGGTGTCATATATTTCTTCCCACAACATTAGAGATAAGGCTCAATTTGAAAACAGACACAAAATATATAATGGGTCAAACACAATCATTGCTTTTCTGGTTTCTAGACAGATAGATAGCAGCTCTCCACCCATGACTCAGGATCCAGGCTCCTTCACCTCTTGACTTCATTGTCCCCCACAGAAGGGGCAAAGGCATAAGGAGGGGACACATCCACTGTTTAGGACAATGGCCCAGGAAGACACACTCAACTCCAGATGGGCCAAGACTCAATCACCATGGCCAACCCTCAATGCAAAGAGGATGAGAAATGTGGTCCAGCCCTGGGAGGAACTGGATTTTAGGGGAGTAACAGATATCCCCCCAGACTTTCCAGAGCACTGATCGCTACTCATTCATTAACCTTTCAAAACAGGTTCTTCCAGGTCAGGACAATTGCCTGGAGCTGGGGGTTTGCAGTTTAGTCAGAAAAGGGATAAAGCCTACAAATTGGAGATGGAGGGGAGGCAGGAATAAATTTCCTTTGTAACATTTTTTAAGTATGATATATCACTGAAGACTTGAGAATCAGCTAATTTGACAAACCCTCTTCTCCCACTTAAGGACTCAGAAAGACAAGAGCTTAGGGTGGCTTTGCACAGCTGGGCAGCCTCCCAGCGGTCAAGACGGGATATACACCAGGCCTGCTGGACCCTTCGCAGGGCTCTGCAGACAAGGTCTCCCCAGCCAGGCACAGTTTGAGCCCAGACACCGTTCCATATAAAGTCATATTTAGAGACTTCCACTCAGCACAAAATTAGCAGTGAGAGCTCAGAGTTGTTGACCATTCAAGGACAAGAACACCCTGCCATGTAGGGGGTAGCGGCAGTGAGAAAGCCATGGCCTCTGCCTCCCTCCACACATCCCAACCCACCTCCAGTGAGAAGGACATGGCCTTTGCCTCCATCCATACACCCACCCCATCTCCAGTGAGAAGGACATGGCCCCTGCCTCCCTCCACACACCCACCCTAACTCCAGTGAGAAGGACATGGCCTCTGCCTCCATCCATACACCCACCCCACCTCCAGCCCTCCCAACCTCAACAGCCCCCCATCAACACCTATCCTGGTATTTGTTCTAAGAAAGGGAAAAAAGCAAATTTTCTTACAAATGAATGACTTTTCTTATTTTCAATGAAGGACTACTGAGGGAGATCATCTAAAAGTCAAAGCTGTCAGACTAGAGAGTAGGCTCTGCAGAACAGATGCTGTCTCTTCCTGAGGCTGAAACACAAAAACAGATCCAGGAGATTGATTTTTAAGGCAACTGATCATCCATGAGCAAGGTTAACTCATAAGTTAGGTTGGGGGCACTCAAATCCCATCTCCGGCTATGTTCTTATTCAGATAAATGATGGTTTGTGGAGAGATGACATTTGTCCTTTAACCAAGATTAAAAACAGAGTGTCCATAAAGGAAACACATGGCAGAGTCAAACGACACAGAATTTAAGTCTGGAGGAAGAAATTTCTTACCAAACTTGTAGAAGACTTTAGTATTATTGGCCAAATAAATAATTTCATAAGTGGATTATATGCTTTTAAACAGCAGAAATCGGTTCCAAAATTCCCCTGCACTCAAGTTTTAGGAGAGCTTTCCTAATGCATTATTAACTAATGAGTGAACCAGTGCATTAATCATGAAAGCCATAAGAAACAACATAACTAGACATGGTGCCTCATGCTTGTAATCCCAGCATTTTGGGAGGCCAAGGTGTGAGGATGGCTTGAGACCAGGAGTTCAAGACCAGTCTGAGCAACATAGTGAGACCCCCGTCTCCATGAAAATAAAATAATTGGCCAGGCATAGTGACATAAGCCTGAGCCTCCTGTGCCTACTCAGGAGGCTGAGGTGGGAGGATCACTTGAACCCAGGAGATCAAGGCTGCAGAGAGCTATGATGGTGCCACTATACTCTAGCCTGGGTGGCAGAGCGAGACCCTATCTCTAAAAAAAAAAAAAAAAATTTAAACTTTTTTAAAAGAAAAAAAATAACCACAAGCTAAAATTACAGATGTTGAATGTTGAGGAGGCAGAAACCAAATCAAATATGTAAGCACACAGACAGAGAGAACATTTCCCCACCCTTTTTTACTTACCTTGGCATTGAATCAACCATTAAAGTACAATGCATGCATACTTACCGACAAAAACCAGAAATGTTTTTTAAACCCTGAAATTTGGCCAATAGTTCAAAGAGCTTGTTCAAGACTCTTGCCCTAAACATAAGGAAAGTGACAAGGGAACAATTTATTACAAAAAAATATTGATTGCAAGTCTGTTACATGCAGGCACAGATCACATACATGGTTTTGTTTAACCTTATAACAACACTGTGAGTTGGGTATCATGATCAATTTTGTAAATGAGGAAACTGAGGCTCACGAATTTGGATAGTGTGTTGTAAGTCAGTTCAGGCTGCCATAATAAAATATCACAGAATGGGTGGCTTAAACAATGGACATTTATTTTCTCATCGTTCTGGAGGCTGGAGTTCAAGATCAAGGTGTTGGCAGGGTTAGTTTCTGGGAGCCCTCTCTCCTTGGTTTGCAGATGGCCACCTTCTCCCTGTGTCTCATATGGCTTTTCCTCTGTTTGTGTGCACCCCTGGTGTCTCTCCCTCTTCGCATAAGGATACCAGTCCTATTAGATTGGAGCCCCAACCCTATGGCCTCATATAACCTTTAACTATCTCCTTAAAGGCCTTATCTCCCAATACTGTCACCTTAGGGGTTGGGGCTCAAGCCCCATATGGATTTGGTGAGGACACAATACAGTCCATAACAGATATCATGGCCAAGAGCCCACTAAGAGTTGCTAAGTAGTAGAGCTAAGCCTGTCTGAATCTAAAGAGGACTCCTTCATCAGAGCTTACTGCCTCTCCCATGCCACAGCATCTCAGAGTTGGGAGGCATCCCTCTGTGAGAGCTGACTCAGTAGAACCTGCTGGCAGGGACACAATTTTGCAGCAATAAGCTCCGTCCTGGTGGGCAGGATGGTGAAGTACTTACACAAACTAGATCGAAGAGCACAGAAGTCCAAGTCAACTAGAGGCCTATCCAGATGGTGTGGAATAAAAATGGCTTTGTCTACTTTGTTTATAGCTACACAAATGGTATTTGGTTTCACCAGCCCATACAAAGTGTGCCGTTCCATTGTCCTCAAAGAGCCAGCCTTTCATTCAGTGTTTCTTTTCTTTTCTCCAAACCACCAGCTAACGTCCTGGAGGGCGACTCCATGGATCAGGACGTCGAAAGCCCAGTGGCCATTCACCAGCCAAAGTTGCCTAAGCAGGCCAGGGATGACCTGCCAAGACACATCAGCCGAGATCGGACCAAAAGGAAAATCCAGAGGTACGTGAGGAAAGACGGAAAGTGCAATGTTCATCACGGCAACGTGAGGGAGACCTATCGCTACCTGACCGATATCTTCACCACATTAGTGGACCTGAAGTGGAGATTCAACCTATTGATTTTTGTCATGGTTTACACAGTGACCTGGCTCTTTTTTGGAATGATCTGGTGGTTGATCGCATACATACGGGGAGACATGGACCACATAGAGGACCCCTCCTGGACTCCTTGTGTTACCAACCTCAACGGGTTCGTCTCTGCTTTTTTATTCTCAATAGAGACAGAAACCACCATTGGTTATGGCTACCGGGTCATCACAGATAAATGCCCAGAGGGAATTATTCTTCTCTTAATCCAATCTGTGTTGGGGTCCATTGTCAATGCATTCATGGTGGGATGCATGTTTGTAAAAATCTCTCAACCCAAGAAGAGGGCAGAGACCCTGGTCTTTTCCACCCATGCAGTGATCTCCATGCGGGATGGGAAACTGTGCCTGATGTTCCGGGTAGGGGACCTTAGGAATTCCCACATTGTGGAGGCTTCCATCAGAGCCAAGTTGATCAAATCCAAACAGACCTCGGAGGGGGAGTTCATCCCGTTGAACCAGACGGATATCAACGTAGGGTATTACACGGGGGATGACCGTCTGTTTCTGGTGTCACCGCTGATCATTAGCCATGAAATTAACCAACAGAGTCCTTTCTGGGAGATCTCCAAAGCCCAGCTGCCCAAAGAGGAACTGGAAATTGTGGTCATCCTAGAAGGAATGGTGGAAGCCACAGGTAAGATGTGTTCTATCCTGGGATGGCTGTGGGATAGATGCTCATTTTAAACTGGACCTGATGTTCTTATCTATTACAAGATCTAGAATACTGAACCTCACTCAATATTGACAACATCCCCTTGCTTCATGACATAGTATGCCTACATGTCTCACCTGAAGTATATCCACCAAGAAGCCTAACCATTTAGTTTTTTAAAGCCCTTTGGAAAATAAATTAATGAACAATGAAAAATCACCATGTAATATATTTTAAGTCTCCAAATATTTACCTAAATTAAACTCTGATCTGTCTCTAAAGCATGTTTTAAATGGCCTTAAAACATTGCTAATTTAAATACTTGAGGTTATTTGTTACCAAGTTAGAAGGAGGAAGTTAAGCCTTTCAAAGGAAGCCTGACAAACTGCTTTAATAAAAATGCAATTTCACCCATTCTTTGAGAGTCATTTATAAGGCCTATAGCATTGGTTTTTCTTTTGTATGAAGTGAGTGCCTAGTATCTCTCCACATTCAACCTGCTGAGCTCCCAGTAAGTATAAAGCTGCAGACACAGTAAATAACTCTAGCAGAAAAGAAAAAAGTTGAAGATCCATTCATCTTAATCCCGCCGGCCCTCCTGCTGTTAATGGCTAATCATTGGGATGTTTTAGGGAAGATGATCTGTTCAGGAAATAGAGAAAATGGTCTGTTTTTACTGACGTCTTCGCTCATGTCTGAAATTTGCACGTTACACATCCCAACAGCAAAGCAGGTTCTGCCCATGTTTGTATGTAACATCCCCCAAAACAGAGCCATCAGCTAGGACTCAAGATAACCATAGTGCCTCACGGGGAAAGTATAAACCAGAACCCTAATTCATTAAGGTCTTTATTGTTCTTTGAGGTAGTAATAGTGTCTTTGGGGTCCTTTTTCCTGATACCATCAGCCCTTTTACGCTTTTAAGTCTTCAGCTTGAGATTCAGGTGGTTTATATTGTCTGAAATTGCATGACCAGCAGGCTGGCCCCATGTTCTTCATCAACCTGTGACAAGTAACTTAATCCTGTGATCCCTTTTAGGGAAAAGCCATGGGTCCCATGTTTCTACCTCCCTGTACCCAACAGGCAAGGTCACAACCTCTCACAAATTTCTTTTACGGTGGTGGTGTGAAACTTTTGCTATAGGGTTTTTAAATGCAGCAAACAGTGAAAACGTGAGTAAAGGGCTTTGCATGGAGCTCAATGGTAGGAGCGGTCTCCTTTCCATAGAACAAAAGGCACAGGAACCTAATCGGAAAGTAGCTTTAAAGAATAACAAAAGTCACTGTTGCAAAATAAGACATAAGTGCTCCAGGTGTTAACAGGACTATCTGTACCTTGAGCCTGATTTGGGGGTGCATTTGTGTGGCAATAGTTGGGTGGGGAGGAGGAAGGGAGATAGAAGGGAGAAGTAGAAGGGAAGGCAGGGGAGGAGGAAGGGGAGGAAGGAGAGGAGGAGAAGGGGAGGAAGGAGGGAAGAGAAAGGGAGGAAGGAGAGGAGGAGAAGGGGAGGAAGGAGGGAAGAGAAAGGGAGGAAGGAGAGGAGGAGAAGGGGAGGAGGGAGGGAAGAGGAGGGAGAGAGGAGGAGGGGAGGAGGGAGGGAAGAGAAAGGGAGGAAGAAGAGGAGGAGAAGGGGAGGAGGGAGGGAGGAGGAGGGAGGGAAGAGAAAGGGAGGAAGGAGAGGAGGAGAAGGGGAGGAGGGAGGGAAGAGAAAGGGAGGAGGGAGAGAGGAGGAGGGGAGGCTGGGGAGGAGGGAGGAAAGAGAAATAATTCAAACAGGGAGCTGTCACTTTCCTACAGACCAGAAACTTCCCCAACCTCAGCTGAGCACAGGGACTCTGGATCCCCCTAGCGGCCACAGAGCTACAGCCTCTGACACTATGAACTGACCACTCAGGATGCAGTTTTTCTTTTCCCTTTTCACCATAAATTCCCCCAAGAGGACATGAGAGAGGGCAGTGTCTCCAAGCTCAAGAAGCAAAAACCACTGGAGACGTACCCTCTGGTTACTGATGCTAGTCTGAGCTTTAAATTGTGGGAGTTAAGCTTTGTGTTCCCTCAAACCAGAGCCCAATCTCTGTAAAATAAATGAATCTGGAATAAGCAAATTATCTTTGTGATGTCCCTGAGTCAGAATTCTCCCTGGGGCAGGCCCTGGCTTTCTGATGACAGCTGGTAATGAGTGAGCCTTTCCAAAGGGAGGAATATGGTTTTCTTGGTAATTAACAGTGATACTTGCCTCTGAGCACCCTATGGCCTTTCTACAGCTTTCATAGAGAAATCTGAGTAATTACCAGCAAAATCAATCCAAACGCTCACCCCATCCCTGGGAAAAGGCAACTGCTACTCATTTTCTTTTAAAAAATAGTCTTCTAATTTCTAGACTTGGGGGGGGGGTTCTAGAAAGTTCTGGAGGTGTCTGGAAACTGGAAGTGTCTTGGTCTTTTCCTCAGGGGAATCATACAACTCAGTACCCCCAGCACAGCTGCTCTCTTACGCTTCAGCAGGATACTGTTTCTTTGTGAATGAAAAGCTCAATTAGGATTTATGGGCATTAAACAGGCCCTTAGGGGAGAAAAATGCTTCAATCTCTCAAAACCACAGGAAAAAAAAATGTGGACCAAATGCACACTCGAGGAAAACAAATTCACAGGGATCTAATTATTCATTGTAGTGCTGGACTGGAAATCAGGAGCCGTGATAATAGCAAGCTGACACAAAACAGCTTCCCCTGCGCTCATCACTTCTTTCAACAATGTCGCAGTTGACCTTAACCTGCTGTGCTCAGTGGTCTCCACGAGCAGGCCTCTTCCAGGGAGGAGGGAAGGCCCACATGGCCACCTTCACGCGGTGCCCTCTTCCCTGTTAGGAAGCAGGCATCCTGGGCACAGGATGATCCCAGCGTGGTGTTTTCCGGAGACCGGAGTTGTCCCACAGGAGGCCACCTGGGTCCTTCCGTCTGCTGGGAGCTCAGGCCCGGTGCAGGCGAGTGGTGCTCTGTGGATGCACTGCCTTCCAATGCCAGCCGCATTGCAGGGTCAGGTTCCATTTTTAGAAAACGAAAGTGGGCTCCTTGAAGGCTGGAAGCGAGCCCCCCTTTCATGGCCTTGAAGGGACTGCACAAAAGACAGACCCATGCCCACGCAGAACAGCCCCGAGTCCTTTGTGAATGGCTTTGGCCTGGTCCCGCCTGAAGTCAGGAGGGACATGCCAGGCGACCTTTCAAGAACCTTCCAGTCATGTGGTTCTATTTTTGAAAATGAATCAAACCCTGGAAAATTCTGACACCAGCCACTCAGACATCTAGGAGTTGGCTGTGTCTCATCTGCAGATATATTTTTAAAGGGGGCCGTTTATGTTCCTGACACATGGGCGATTTTGAGATAGTGGTGTTTACAGAAGGTTTCATAGCTACGTAAACAAACGTGCTCAGCAGCTGTGGCCCATGTGTGTTAAAATAGTAAAGCATTCATATAGACTGTTATTTATAGAGGGCAAATGGGCCTCGAGGCAAGATGACAGCCACGCAGCGCTGGGCTTGCTGCCAGTCAGCCCCCACTACGGCCTTGCTGATTGACGAACTTCCACATTTACCCCCAGCGATTATACAACTGCGACAGGCAGCACTTGCCCACTCCTCGGCAAATGTGCTGGCAAGGATGAGTCCCCGTTAAGCCTTTTGGTTATTTTACACTTCTTTTGATGGAACCTATCAGACTTACACAAAAACAGACCCAGTAGTATCACTAACCTCTGTGTCCCCGTCATTCTGCTCCAGTGATTATCAATTCAGGGTCAAACTTGCTTCCTCTGTATCCCCACTCATTGGCTGCCCACCAGAATCACATCATCCTCATCTGCAAATATTTCGGTATGTGCCCCTAAAAGATAAGGATTCTTTTAAAAACATAGCTATCATACCATTATGACACCTAAAATAATGACCAATAAATTAAGATCCAACATCTACCAAGTGTTCAAACTTCCAATCGTCTCTTACATGTCACTGTTTTTTATATTTACAATCAGCTTGTTTGAATCAGGATACAAATAAGGTTAACACATGGTGATTGGTTGAGATATCTTGTAAGCCTCTTAATCTATGACTTCTTCTTCCATCTGTTTTTTTTTCCAATAAGTTTTTCTTAAAGAAGATAACTTCTGAAAGATTTAAATACTGCATAGAACACTGGGGAGAGTGGAGGATGAAACACACCAGAGAACACTTTATAGACAAGGAGGCAAGGCCAATTAATCGGAAGTTGCCATCTGGGAGTTAACAAGGAGGACAGCCAGTGTTCACTGGAAATAGGTGAAGGCAACCCATCACCCATCCTTCACCACAGAAAAGCTCAGTTCTGTCACTAGTATAGTTATTCCCAGGCAGAGAATTTTAGTCACATAAATCACACCACAGATCATAAAATTTTTGAGTTGGAGGGAATCTTTGCCCATTTCACAGATGAAGAAATGGAACCTCAACAAGACCCGTGACTTGGCTAAGGTCAAATAGCCACTAGCAGGGCAGGACCTTGAAAGCCACAGCCACCAATGGTGTTGTCGGGCACTCTGTGTTCAGTGCCCTTTGCACCATGAGTGCTGCTGATTCATGATGATTCGGCAGAGAAATGCACCCAGAAAAGACACCTGATATTTCTTTTCTTTTCTTTTCTTTTTTTTGAGACAGGGTTTTGCTCTCGTTGCCCAGGCTGGAGTGCAGTGGCGTGATCTTGGCTCACTGCAACCTCCGCCTCCTGGGTTCAAACGATTCTCCTGCCTCAGCCTCCTGAGTAGCTGGGATTACAGGCATGCACCACCACCGCGCCCGGCTAATTTTGTAATTTTAGTAGAGATGGGGTTTCTCCGTGTTGGTCAGGCTGGTCTGGAACTCCCCACCTCAGGTGATCCACCCACCTTGGCCTCCCAAAGTGCTGGGATTACAGGTGTGAGCCACCGCGCCCAGTCAACAACTGATATTTCATGTGCAGATGACTGGTATTAATGTGCCCTCAATTCTTTTCTCTCACCATTAGTTCTTCCTTTCCTTTAAGGTTCTTCTGTTTCCAAATGTTATCAATTCATTTTTAAATTACGTAGACATTGACATGAATTTTAAACAACCATGTATCAGAATGAGATGTACCACAAAACAATTCTGAAATCAAAATTAAATAAGCATTGTCTACAAAAATACCCCTGGAAGAACATGATGTTCTGTCAGGTCTGATTTCCAGGCACATTTTTCTTTACTGTAATCAAAAATGCCAATCTACCCTAGCAGGGGAGAATATGAGATTGCAGCCTTTGAAAAGATAAGACTGCTGAGGGTAAGCATCACCATGCTCTTAAACTGTTTCTAGTAATGATATTTCATAGCTGCTACATTTTTCAAATCTTATTTTTCTCCTTTTGATAATTTACTGCTGATCCCTCCATTGCCAAGCCATTATCTCCAATTTTACCATTTTTTATCTTAAGAGTTATAACCCCAACCACCCAGCCTGGGAAAAGAGTTAATTGGTGAGCTCTGAAATGCTAAGAACTTGGGTAAAACTCTTCATAGAGGCATCTTCCTGGAGGAATCTCTATAAGGAGTGATTTTTTTCAATTTAAAGACATATGGAATATGTTTTTCCTAGGTCAAAATCTGCCACCCGTAAATCAAGAAATCCAGCTCTCCTTTCTTTTTGAGCATTAAGTGTAGCTCATTTATTCAGGGCTTCCTTCCAATATGTCTATCTCATTATAATATATCCCAGTAGTATCATTGGCTGGCTGGGTAAAAACTGGTGACAACTGCTCCCCAAATATGGTAAACTCTCTATAATCCTCCACAGCTTGGGGACACTGTGTTCTGGTTCATCAGATGTCTTAACAATTGGATTTTGGATGCTATGGTGCACACATAGAGTCTTAACTTTTCTACCACTCCTTCCAAAAGGCAGGCTACTGTAAGAAACCTAGCATTATAACTCCACTAAACATTTCCCATACTTTAGAAGACAAGGAGTCAAGGTCACCATATATTACTGTGATTGAAAAAGGCAAAAATTGTTCATTGTTCACCAATACCAGAAAATCCATTGTTCTTCCTTCTCCAAATGGGCCATAAGAAGCCACTAAATTAGATGCTCAATAGAAGTGAGTGATGATCTCTCAGTATATACAATGTGGAATTCAAAGCCATTGGACAAAATTGGACTAGCATCTAAATTTAGCTCAGACCCAAACTCTAAAGTCAATACTCATCTTCCAAAGGAACAGCATCATCCAAATTAGGAGATGAACGTCAAATCGTGTGAAGTCTCTAATTAGCATATCCTTAAACAAATAGAGTTTTATTATTTCCTAGGGCATTCAGTAATACAAGTGCGGACAGCAGGTTGCCAGCAAAGCAGTTTTACTCAACAATTTCTAATGACCGGAAGAGGATCACTGGGGAAAGCTATGTAAATTATTCACACACACACATGCACAGATACTAAACAGCTAAGCAGCCTGAGGTGCTGCTGCTTCAGTCAATCATGCCCTTGCTCCACAGTGGCACACCCACCCACTTATAACCTTGTTTGTTATATTAATTACTTAGTAAGCTTCTTTTTCCAAATTAACTTCTCTGGCTATAGCTCAGTTCATCTGTGCCCCTTTGTGTCATTTACAGCATCAGGCCATCCTGGGTTCAAGCCACAGTTGTTCCCTTCCCTGCCTTACGTAACCTCTGTCTGTCTCCATTTCTTCAACTCTAAAATGGGAACAATAATGGTACCTACTCACGGGTAACCTTTCAACCCTCTGAATTCCATTAGAGCAGATCATCTCTTCCTCTATAGACCACACAGGCAAAAAACAAGAAAGAGTAAAGCTTTGCGGGGACAGGAGGCCGGGCAGTCGGGAGACCCAGTCCCAGCGAGCATCTTCATTGTCCCCAGGGACCTTGCAGTTAGTGCTGTGATAGAATGACAAATGACTCCCCTCTAAAACCACTCTGAATAGTCAAAACAGCGAGTGTTAACCTGTGAGCACCAGGCCACACAGTGCACAAGCACAATGCAAGGGTAAAAGCCAGCCTGGCCTCTGCCCGGGTACTGCCATGAATGACAAATCGATGGGATCTGAATTAATGAGAATCACTGGACTCAGTCAGAAGGGACTTTGCATTCCTATAGATAGTAACGTCTCATCATTCCAATTTCTACCGAAAGTGGACATGAATGTAGATTACTCCCAGGTCTTCTGAGGCAACTGCTCAGTGAGAACAAGACTAATCGTTTACATTTGAAAACAATATGATTTCTATATTCCCATTTCCTCTCCTAGATTTTTCATAAGAATTCTGAGGTATCAGCTGATGTTCCAATTTAGAAAATGCATTTCTGTGCTGTTAACCAAATAATATTTACTTTCATGGTTAGTTCTTATAGATACATCTGCTTTAAAGTACAGCTATACTTCAACGAAGTGGACAGTAAATGTGAATTTCTATGTAGCCAATTTCATTATTCTCTGTTTACATAGAAAGAATGATAGATACTATATCAGTCTGCTTTGGCTAAGTTATGCTGCTGTAACAGACAACCCCAAAGGCTGAAAACAGTGGTTTATTTCTCATTCGCACTACATGGCAGCCGCAGCTGTTTACAGCCTGTTTTCTCCAAGATGCAGACTGAAGGAGCAGCCCCTACATAGGACACACCGTTCTTAAGTCAGGGAAAAACAAGAGACAGGGCCAAACACTCGCTTCTGCTCACAATTTGTTAGTCATAGCAAGTCATATGGCAGTGCCTAATGTCAATAAAATGGGGAAATATAATTTTTTCACAGGAGCTTCGAGTAAATCATTGAGAGCAACAATTTCAGTTTACCACAGATCGCCTCATGGTTTTGAAAACCAGTAAGCTGAGCTGAAAAATTTTTTGTGAGTTAGGTTTTGAAATGTGTGGTGTCATTAGCGTGTTCACCAAAAATTCCCAGCTTTCATCCTTTCAGACACGTATTAGATTGCATTTCCCTATTCTTGTTGAACAGGGCTATGCGAACAGTAGTCCCATCAATAGAAACATTAAGAGGTGAGTATCCCTCTGGTGGAAACTTTACAAGCCAAAGTGTGTTCCCTTCCCACTTCTTAAGGCTCTCGTGGAAGCACATGTCACAGAGAAGCTTCTGTCCTCCTGACCCTTGACTGGCTTTGAAGAGTAGACCTCAAGCCAAGTCCCATGTGATATACAGGATGACTGAGGAAATAACCTTATGTTGGGTTAAGCTACTGAAATTTGGGTTGCTTGTCACCAAGGTAAAATCTAGCCTATCTTGCCTGATATAAAATGTCACATTAACATTTTGACAAGTTGGCCATTGTATACTGCCAAGCATACTAGACTTGCCAGGAAATGAATCTGCAGCTGGCTACTTTGCAGAACTTCTCCTCTAGCTTTTAAATTCTTTCTTCACTGGTGAAGACTGAGATCAGACAGACTGAATTCAAACTCTGTCTCCACTCTTGACTATCCCTGTGATTGAGTATATCACATTCCTTACCTTCACAAAATCTTTTTTTCCCCATTCTGAAAAATGGGAATGATACTTGTACCTACAAAAAGATTCCACGAGATAATCATGCACATCCTTCACTGTGGAGCCTGGTGCGTAGTAGGTGCTCAATCAATTAAGAGAGTGACACTATGATTCTGTGAATCATACTGTTCTCATAGCTGTCATTTATTTCATGCCTAATGGATGCCAATTACCTTATTAGATGTTTTGCATGGATTATTTTAAATCTTCAAAGCAATTCTGAAATGTGGGTACCATTCCCATTTAACAAATGAGGAAGTTGGCTCTTGCAAGGGGGTTGGGAAGACAGTAACTTGGCCAAGGTCACCCAGCTGGTGAAGTGATGAAGCCAGGATGCAGTCTCAGGGCTGCCCCTTCCCCAGTCTATCTGCTCCAGTGCCCCTCTAGAGGAGCCTACACAAATCCTATGGCATGTTTGAGGAGCTCCAAGATAGTGGTTATTGATTCGAGTTCATTAATGCACCGACAACTATGGCTCAATGATATATAATTTCTTGATTACAGGCCATGGCTTCTCCACTGGGCTCCCCTTTCCTGACTGCAGGAGGCAGGCAGGAATGATCCAGTCTTGCATAACAGTTGGCATTGAGTCCCTTGAAAGGGCAGTCTAGAGGCTCCCACCCTCCAGTTCTACCCAATTCAGTGTTATCAGGTGACTGTGCCAGTTGAAGCTCTGGGTTAACCCCATCCAAAATGCCCTGGTGCCGTGCCAAGTATAACCCAAAGTGCAACCAAGTGTAACCCAAAGTGCGGCCAGCTGACAAACCCTTAAGGGAGGAAAAAAAAAAGTTTAACATTGAAAGGGAAAAATCAATTTTGACTCTGAATTCCCTGCCAGAAAGCACTATAATAAAAAGATATAGGCTTTGATCAGCCTAATTAAGCTCGGCTGGGGTTTCCATTCCACTGTAAAACACTCAACAAGACCCTTTTTGGAGATGATGATGATGATGATGATGATGACGACGACTCATACTGAGGCCATCCTAGGAAGATTTTAATTATTCATCTGCTAAGTAAATACATTTCCTTTTACATTTCCTCAAGCATGTTTTATATAGTGTAAATATTAATAGAAATCTGTGAAAGCGGACGGATAATGGAGGGCTTGATGAGTAATGGGATTAGAGGAGAATGTACAATAGGGGATAGCTGAGATGGCTAGACTGTAGAGACTGAGTCTAAAATAGACTAAGGCTCCATTCGCATTGGCCCAAAATTAAGTATGTTTAATACAACTTGGAAAGCTAAAGTAGTGATAAAAAGCAGGGCTTTGTTTGCTTAACATACTCAGTAATATGTACTTTATGTTTCCTCAAACAAAGTTGGAAAAGGTGTACAACCTCAGGGGAACAAATATGCTGCTGGTTCGTGATCCCCCTAGATGATGTTAAGGATTCGTGAGGTCCGACACGGATGGGTCAAGAGAGATTTTCAAGCACTTTCCTGGTCCCTCCAGCAGAATTTCTTTTTGTTCCCCCAAAGGGACCTCAGCATGTTCAGCATGGCCTGCAGACCCTGTGTTACCCCATACCCCCAAGGCTAGGGGAAGAGAGAGATCATATCTGTTAAGCCAACAACAGATGGGTCATGACTACAAATGAAAGGGAAGGCAGCTTGAGGGGCCACCCACAAACCAGGCCCAGCAGGGCAAGGCGGGGCTGGGTTCCAATACAGCTGCATGGAGTCACATCCTGGGTTTGGTGGATGAATTAGCAAAAGCCTCACCTGTGGCTGGATTTCTCATCCCCGACATTGAAGAGGCTCAGTGTGGGTACTTTGAGTTCCCTGTGCCAGCCAGGCAAGGTGTCCTCCACTACCACATTGAAAGGTAGAATGGCACAGTGGCGTTTCTGTCCTTGAGTGCAGTCTGACACATACTTGACCAGGTACAAGGAGCATCTCATGAACAGTGAGCACCCATGACCCAGGAAGGTGGTGGCCCAGTGGAGAGGGGGCACGGAGGGTGTTAGATGTTTTGTGCACTTGCCTTCAGGGGGTACCTGTCATATGTCTCACCCCAGGGTCTCTTCTTATAATGAAACGAAATCCACAGATGTAATATGAATTTAATATAAATGTTTAGTCTTTTTATCTTCCAACCCACCAAACTCTTGATTTCTACTTTCTTCCCTCTCTTCAGTCTTTCAACACCATCTCCCCCTTAGATAGCAACCTGGTCTCATGCTTAGTTGAGAAAATAGAAGCAATCAGACCGAACACTGGCATCTTCTCACGACCATTTCCACCACATACCTGGGCCTCTCCCTCTTTCCCATTTCTGCCACACACCTGGGCCTCTCCCTCTTTCTTCCCCCCTGTTGCTGTGGAGCCCTGTTCCATCAAGGGCCATCTCCAACTCCCATTCCCTCAGCCTACTCAAAGACTTTTGGACTACAACCATCCTCTTTCTTTCCTCCATCACCAATTTTTCCTAATAGTTCTATTTCCATCAACATCAAAACATTCCCTAATATCCACCACCTCAAAGAACAAACAAAGAAAAACAAAACTATACTTCTTTTGGTGCCATGTCCCTTTCTAGTAGTTTCCCATTTCTCAGCTCTCTTTCTCTCAGGACTTCTAGAAAGAATCACCTGTCCTCTCCTTCGCCACTTTCTTACTTCCCATCTCAAATGGGCTTCCCTTCCCACCACACCACCAAAACTCACCAACAACGTCCATCCCGCCAGATCCAAAGACCACTCCACTGTTCCTGGGTTCCCTGGCCTCTCCACATCATTAGCGCACTTGACCGCAGCCTCCCTCTCCAGCACTTTCTTCCTTGGCACTCATGACTCCCCTACTGCTTTCCCTCCTACCTCAATAAGAGTGCCTTTCCATTCTCTTCTGCAAGCTATTCTCCTCTTCCCAAAATGCCTCAGAGCCTATTCCAACCAGAGTCCTGTCCCCTACTTTCCTTCTCAGCGACTTCAGCCCTTGTCTTTAATTACCATCTTTTTCTATGTGACACTAAATTTCTATCTTCAGTACTAACCTCTCCCCTGAGCTCTGCACTCAAAGATTTAAATGCATACGTGGCCTAACAAGCTTGTACAACCAGTATGGCCAAAGCAGAAGCTAGAGATTTCCCAAGTCCTCTAGAGGCTGTTCGGCTCTTCATCTTCCCCAGGGCCATAAATGTTATCCTGAGCCATACTGTGACTCAAGTCAAAAACTACAGCGTCATCGGAGATTCATCTCAGTCCCTTACCATGGAAATCCTATGGGTATTACTTCCAAAATATGTCTGTCTCTATGGCCACCATCCCAGATTAAGTTGTCATAATGTGGAGGCCGTGACGTTCAACTGGTCTATCTGCTAATGACCACGCTACCAAAGTTCACTTGGCACAGAACAGTCAGAGCTTTTTTTTTTTTTTTTTTTTGTGAGACAAAATCTCACTCTGTCATCCAGGCTAGAGTGCAGTGGTACGATCTCAGCTGACTGCAACCTCCGCCTCCTGGGTTCAAGCGATTCTCCTGCCTCAGCCTCCCAAGTAGCTGGGATTACAGGCGCCCACCACCACGCCCAGCTAATTTTTGTATTTTTAGTAGAGACGGGGTTTCACCACATTGGCCAGGCTGGTCTCGAACTCCTGACCTCAAGTGATCCACCCACCTCAGCCTCCCAAAGTGCTGGGATCACAGGCATGAGCCACCGTGCCCGGCCCAGAGCACTCTTAGTAAGACATAAATCAGAGCAAATCACCTCACTTGCTTAAAACCCTCCAGTGGATTTTCACTGCACTTGGAAAAATCTTTGGCCTATAAGATCCCCCTGGCCTGGCTCCTGCCTGCTTGTCTGCTCTCACCTCCAACCTCTTCCCAACTGACATGTTGCAGCCACATGGGTTTCCAATCCTGAGCACAGAGATCTTGCTCAGGAGGTCTTCTCTGATCACCCAAAAGAAACTAGCTCCCTGACCACTGTGCGTCATACAATGCTGTGTGGCACTCATGGCCAGCTGACATTATGTCATTAATTTAATTATTACCAATTAGAATGTAAGCTCTGTGAGAGCAAGGCCTTGTCTTGCTCATTGCTATCCTCTCAGTACCCAGAGCAGTTCCTGGACCACAGCGGGCCCTGGATACATAGGTACAGAGAGAATGAAAGGAGGAATAAATGAGTGAAATCTCCTATGTGGTCACAAACCAGACTGCTCTCTTAAGCACATAGAAAAGAAGTCTTGAGTCACTTAAAATTGCCACACACACACACACAAAAAGTTAACCTGGTCTTGGTCAAACCTGAAGCCTCTACCTTCTGGCAATGGGAATAACTCCAGGCAACCAGTTCCAACCGCCTCCTCCCTGTCTCCTTCAAGGTTCCCTTCCTCCACCTGCAATTCAAAACCTCGGTGGTTCCCCAGGGCTCTGTCCTGCACCCTCAATGCTTCCCTTCTGCACATTTTCCCAGGCAATCTCTTCCTGCCTCTGGGCACCACCTCCGTCAGTATAGAGGTAGTTCCCACAGGCACAGCCCCATGCCTCTCTCCTAAGCTACAGACCCAGGCAGCTGTGTCCTCCTGGGCATCTCCATTGGGGTGGCTCTCAAGTCCCTAAAATATAATGTGTCCTAAAGTCAGATTTGCTTCCTGTCATGCATTTCATATCTTGATGAAAGGAACTTTGTCTCCCAGGTGCCCAGGTCGGAAATGACCTGGCCGTCATCTTGTGCTCTTCCCTCCCACGTGCTCCACAGCCCAGCTATTCCCATGGGGCTGCTGCCAGACCATAGGCTCTCTTATGCAAATGAGCAAAAGGCATCCCTCCTCAAGACACTCTACTGCCATCTGCTGGGAAGTCTGTGGAATAGGTCTATATAGCTGTACCCCTAAGATGTGGTGAGTTGTGCAGTGTACATCCTGCACAACCATATGAGGCGGCCCTGGCTAAGCTTGTCCATTCCATCTTGTACCTGTCTCTAGTACCCAAACATCCTTTCCTCTCAGGGGCTTGGCCGCTGCCCTGGTTCATGCCACCAAGCCCTCCTGCTGGACCATTACCATGCTCCATACTGATCTCCCTAAATGTAGTCTCTCGTTTTTGCAATTCCCTTCCTCATCATTGTCAGAATAAACTTTGTAACATAAAAATCTCATCCCCTCAACTCCCCGGTTCAGAGATTCTCAATAGCTTCTGAGGAGCTAGAGAATAGAGACCAACCACCTTTGCCTGTCACAGACATGGCACCTCTCCAGGTGTCCTGTCCTTTGCCCCACTACCTCCATAGGCTGCAGACGTTCCTGAATATGCCATGGATTATTTCAACCCTGGCCTGCACATGTGCTGTGACATCGTCTCTGCCTAGGATACCCTTTTCCATTACCTTTCCAATAACTCCTGCCCACAAATCTCCCTGCAAATGCCACCCCTATGGAACCTTTCTCAAAAGTCCTCCCTCTGCTTCTGCTGAGTTTCTGCAAATCTCCATGATGTTTCATGGGTGACTGACCACATGTGGGTGTCCTCAACAGACTACACTTTTGAGGATAAAGATTATGCCTTTTTTTTTTCTGTTCCCAGAAAGTAACACAATCTGGCACATGGTCAGTGCTCAATAAAAAGGATGAAAAAAATAAATGATTTTTCTAAAAATAAGGTGTGGCCTTTCTAAATATGTCTCAGACCCTCAAGAGTTTCCTTTCCACCGGACGCTATGTAATCTGGGCTCTACCAGTTGTGGGCAACATCTGGCTTCCCTATGAAGGCTGTCATGTCATTTAATGTAAAAATTAAAGACACATTTTACTAAGAGTCTATTCTATAGGTTCCCCTCCCACCCAGTATTCACCACACATCTTATAAACTCCATCTGACATAAATACAGAGAGTTTAAAGCGGACATCCAAAAAGCAAACTTGTCCCCAGATTTCAGTCTCAAAATCACACAAGAGACTCAAGAGACTCTGCCAACTAGGAATATCCCTGTGCCCCTTTTTAAAGTGGGTCTAGTCCAACAGAGACTCTCCAAGGCCAGGAGATTGGACTCCAAGAGCAGCCATGCCCCAAGGCTTTCATGCTACCTAATTACATGCTCAGGGACTCCCTTTGATGTTATCCGATTTCCCTGGCAAATCTCCTCCCCTCTGCCAGAGGAACAAGCTGGCTCTCAGAAGAGCAAAACATGGGAAGGGTGATCGCTTTCCAGAAGTTTCTAATTAATATGAATATGAGGTATCCATATCAATAAAAAATGCTCTATCCCTAAGTATCCCTTCCCCCTGCAGTAATAGAGGAGGAGTGGGAAGGATGAGCCTCCAAAACTATGCAAAAGGCCTTTTGAAAGGTAAAAACTCAACAGGCAAGGGGGCCGAAGCTGAGGTGTACTCAATCTGCAGGCAAAGACCTTCCAGAACCTTCCATGTGCCTGGCATTGTACAAAGATAAAAAGGACAAAGTCCTGCCCTTACGGAACTGGTATTTTAGAGCAAGGATTAAGCAAAGAATTTCCTGTAAAAGGCCAGATTGTAAATATTTCAGGGTTTGTGGATAGTCTCCGTCACAACAGCTCAACTCTGCCATAAATTGTGTTTATGGACACATATCATTTTCACATGTCATAAAGTATTATTCTTCACTTTGGATTTTTTTTTAACCATTTTAAAATGGCAAAATTAGCCAGGTGCCGTGGCTTACACCTGAAATCCCAGTACTTTGGGAGGCCAAGGCAGGAGGATGGCTTGAGCCCAGGAGTTCAAGACCAGCCTGGCCAAGATGGTGAAACCCCATCTCTACTAAAAATACAAAAAAATTAGCCAAGCGTGGTGGCACACACATATAATCCCAGCTACTCAGGAGGCTGAGGCATGAGAATCATTTGAACCCTGAAGGTAAAGATTACAGTAAGCCAAGATCGTGCCACTGCACTCCATCCTGGGTGACAGAGCAAGACTCTGTCTCAAAAAAAAAAAAAAAATTACCTGGGCATGGTGGCGCTCGTTTGTGGTCTCAGCTACTAGAGAGGCTGGGGCAGGAGGATCAGCTGAGTCCAGGAGGTCGAAAGGCTGCAGTGAGCTATGATGGTGCCACTGCACTCTAGCCTGGGCAACAGAGCGAGATCCTGTCTCAAACAACAACAACAAAAGTCAAAACTATTTTTAATTCTTTCCTCACATAAAAACAAATTACAATACAATATGGAATGGAATCATATACATAAGAAAACATTTTCGATGAGGAGGGGAACAGCAGGAAGACCATGAGCCCCCCTCCCGCACTCCCAGCCAGAACCGCTCTTCGAGTGGGCACCGCATCATCACTGCCAGGATGCAGCAAGGGCAGCCCCCGCCTGGAGAAGCAGGGCAGCCAGCATCCATTTCTCCTGGACAGGCAGAAGTGGCCACAGTCCATGAGGAGATGAGATCATTTGCATGTGTATTTGCATTTGCATTCTCCCTGGATGAGAAAATAAGGGGGAGATGAGGTTTCCTGACCTTTGGGAGGAAGATAAAATTGAACTTCTGTTCAAAAGCAGAGATCCCGCAGTAAACAGTACTATTATTAACATTCTGTTTTCAAAGAAAATGATAAAAGAGCATGAGTGTCTTTGTTTAACGAGTGTTTGCACCAATGCCCCCATTTCCTTTTGGGCTTGCTCTGTCTTTCTTTGGGTGAAAAGTACTCCCACTACTTAAAGTGTCCCAACTCCTCACACCGACATTTATTCTTATCATAAATGCATTTGAACGTTAAAGGTCCCAAACTCCACCCACTCCAAAAGAGACTCTCTTTGTGCAAACTCCTCTCTCTCCCACCCCTATTTGCCTAGGAGACTGAGTGTAACTTAGAATAATGTACCATCAACAAATATAAATCACACATCCACACCACACAACCTTATCCTCTCTCAGGCGATTGTGGAACACTGTCTATGCAGAAAGGCACCATTAACAAACTCTTTGAAAATGCATCCAATCACACAGATCAACTATTGCCAACATGGCCCCCAAGGAATATTGTTTGAACTTTCTCATCACCAAACCAACCAAATGTGGTTGGTGGGAAGCCCTCACAAAGACCCTAAGATGTGGTTTGGCTTAATTCCTATCCAGCTGATAGGCAGGACCTTGGATCAGAATAATTGCAACAAACGCTTGAGTACCAGTAGCACATATGAAATTTCTCAACTCAAAGTCGTTTTCTTCTAGAATGGATTTTCCCTGGAAAACACACATTGGGAATACTCAGGTTCTTCCCGGCTTGCTTTGTTCTCTGTCTTTCCCACCCCACTTTCTATGGCTCCTTTCCCCCAGCCAATCGAAATTCTTCACACCCTGTAAGGTCCAAGCAAGCTCTGCCTCTTCCATGAGGCCTCACAGGGTTCAGCCAATCCTGTGCTCCCTCCTCAAACCAGTTTAGCTCTCCCCAGCAAGGGGAGCACCCCATTGGCCCCTGTTCTGTTTCCTACTTCCCCCATGTCAATGACATTTCTCCAGGCAGAATTAAGCCACACGGTGGTCAAACAATCGTCTTATGGTCTTCTCGCTCCCTCCTCCCCTTGGCACCATGCTGAGCACATGAAGACCACAGCACCTGTTGGTGACAATTTAGGGAGCCTGTCAAGATACCTCTTGGCCTGACTGTGGATCCAAACCACAGGAGAGTTCATTGAGGACAATTTGATGAGTGAATCTGGCTACAAAAGCTCAACACAGCTAACTCATTTCAGATCATGAAATTGATCCTGTTCGCCATGCTACCTCAGGAGCTAGGGGCAGAAGGAATGATCTTCCACATTTTACCACATCTATCATTCTCTCTAGATATAGACACACATGTAGATGTATGTGTGAATGCATGTATACATGTGAGTTTTTTTAATCATTTGAAAGTAAACTGTAGGCATGATGCAGTTATGTAAAAGTGAAGACAGTCTTACAAAACCACAGTGTGATTTTCAAAATCAGAAAATGCATATTGACATAATGCTACTATATCTAATCTGATATAGTAGCATCTGCAGACTTGATTCAGATTTTGCCAATTTTTCCAACCATTTCTTCTTATATTCTAGGAAATCCCAGGTCGTACTTTGTTGTCATGTCTCTCAATCTCATATTATCTAGTGGAATTCTTCTGTCTTTCCTTATCTTTCATGACATTAATTTTTTGAAGACTATAGAGCAGTTATTTTGTAGCATGTGCCTCAACTTAAGGTTTTTAATGTTCTTTTCATGATTAGATTTAGGTTATGTCTGTGGGGCAAGAATACAAAGTGGTGCTGTGTCCCTCCCAGTGCATTATATCAGGAGGCACATAAGGTCAGCTTTTCCTAATTTGAATGATGTTAACTTCTATCTCTGGCTCAGGTGGTGTCTGCCAGGTTTCTTAACTTTAAAATTACTAGTTTTCACCTTGTAAGAAGTATCTCAGAGCAGTTACTTTGAGGCCATGTAAATATCTTATTCCTCCTCAAACTTTGCTTTTAGCATTCATCGATAATTCTAACCTGAATCGGTTATTTCTACGATGGTTACCTCTGAATGCATGGTTCTTTCTACATTGATGTGTTCTCTTTCAGCTATAAGGAAGAGCTTTTCCCCTCCCTTAGTTATCTATTGATCTATCTATATCAGTATGGATTCATGGATTCCTCTTGTATTCAATGAGTTATAATCTGCTACTGATATTATTTGTGATGCTCACATTATCCCAGATCTGGCCAGTGGGATCCCTTTCTAGTGGCTCTTTGCCCTTTGAACATAATCATTTTGTGTGTTCTTCCTTTTTTCTGGCACAAAAAGATGTTACAGGCTCACCTTGGACTTTTTCAGCTCCAGCTCTGGAGTCAGACATTTCTCCAAAGATTCCTTGTTCCTTTTACTAGGGAATGGTCTTTAGAAGCCAAGACATAGGCACTTGGTGTACCGAGAAGATATTCATACCAGGTCCCTCCATTTACAAAAGAGGTCGGTTCTAGCCCAGCTTAACTGGCTGCTAAGTACACGTATCTGAACTAAACTCATAGCTCAAAAACACTGCCTTCCAGAAACTGTCAGGGAGAAATCCCAAGCTCCTCACTCCAATACTTACCAGCATGTTGATCTGGAGTGAAAACATGTAGGGAGGTCTGCATAAAGTCACAGCTCCTGCATTCTTCCAGAAGTCTCAGACCCAGCTCTTAACACCTGCAGGAGGATCAAAGAGCCACCCTACACTTAGAAGCCCACTACTTTTATTGAGCTGCATAATGTAAAAACCAGCCCTGTGAAACTGACCCTGTGTCTGCTAGAAGGTGGTGTTAACTTCCCCACCAGCTGCCTTGTTGCAAACTCTCTGGGGAAATTTCTTCATGTCACAGCACTAAGAATAGTTGGACTTTTGCTTAGCCATTGATTTCCTTTTATGGGATGGACACTGTTAAGTTCTGTAACAAGCCAGGTCTCCCTTGTGGTTGCAACAATGCCTGGAATCAAATTTATTGGGCATGCAGCAAGATTGTGCATCATTATGGTGTGCATGCTCACTTCATTCCTGGTGCTTTTTAGGTCCCTACCCTAGGGGCTACTCTCTCCATAGCACCACCCCTGAAATTGGCTGTGTTATATGCTGTGTATATTAGTCAGCTCAGGCTGCCATAACAAAATATCATAGGCTAGGCAGCTTAAACAACAGATATTTATTTACTAACAGTCTGGAGGCTGGAAGTCCCAGATAGAGGTAGCTTGGGTTCCTGGTGAGGGCCTTCTTCCTAGCATGAAGGCCTTCCCACTCTATCTTCACGGGGCCTTTCCTCTGTGCAGGCACAGAGAGAAGGAGCCCTCTTTTGTGTCTCTTCTGGAACTACTGGATCAGGTTCCCCACCTGATACAATACAATGAGTAGACAGTGGGACGTTTCACCTTTGGGACCTCCTCTAAGTACAGTCACATTGGGAGTTAGGGCTTCAGCATAGGAACTTGGGGGGTGCACAATTCAGTCCATGACATTACGCAAAGTACTTCTATTCTTCTTGGACCAAATCAGAGCAATAATAAAGGGACACAATGTTTTCATCATCACTAAAAGTCTGTAGCCTCCACATAAGTTCCCCGACACACCGCTGACACCTGGAATAGAGAACCTGACTTTTTGCAGACTAAAATGTTGTAAGGGCCACACATGTAGCTTGATCAATGGTGCTTTATCTAAAGTTATGTAAGGCAAAATCCCTATATGTAAAATGTGGCTTCTTATTCCACAGTCAGGCAGTATTGAAAGATACCAAAAATGCTAACAGTACTCTTTCTCCAAAGCTGGCCATGCCCCTTCTCTATTTGAACGTGTGAGCTTGTCCTCGCTAAAAGAACCATCAAGGTGGAGGAGGTCAAGGGTCTGAGTGAAGGTGATGGGAGGCTGTCCTGGTGAGAAGCACTAAGATAAACACACAGCCGGCCATCCATGGGTCCAATCGTCACCTCCACAGCAGCAGAAAGTGCCTTCAGGAAAACTCAGGGCCCACAGGTATCTGAGGCTGCAGTGTGGGGAACACCACCTCTGTCCCAGGAGGGGCCTTTCTCCCTCCAGAACCTTCTCAGCACTTTCTTACTTCCCACGCCCCTCTGGCAGGAAGGCACCATTTGCCCGGTGGCTGGCACAACACAAAACTGTTAGACAAAAAGGCTAGGGGATTAAATGTCAATGTTTAGATAATCAATGTAAAGAAGTTTTATTATATTTGTTCCAATGTTTGTTTTTTTTAAAAAAAAAATGGTAAATAATTGAATGAAGATAGTGGGCACATGGAAGAAATGAAAAGCGTGAAAAGTATTTCTGCAGGAATGAGTTCAGGTTGAGGGAAGAAAGTGGGTACCGCTGGAGGGAGGGCATGAGGAAGCCAGACTACCAAAAGGTAACAGTTCTATGAAAAACTTCTTTATAATGATTATCAAAGTGTTACCATTTAATCTATTAGACCATTTGTCTGTGGGCCTGGGGAGCTCTGTTCTAGCTCATCCAATAGTGTTTCTGCTTTTATCCCAAAATCACGTATCAATTTTTTAAATTTTCACTATGTTGTATCCCCCCACCCCTCCCACCTCTCTTCCTGCCCACTCTCGTCTGAGAGGATCTAGGTTCTCAGGGGCGAGCACCTGCCTGCTAGAGAGGCCCAAGGGGCGTACGGTGGCCCCTGCTTCTCTCCCGGCTTGTCCCAGATCCACACAGCCCACCTTGAGGGTTTGATTTCCTGGTTCTCCTCCAGGATTCTGTCTTATGGACTCATCCGCCGTGGTTCATTCCTGCATACTCCTTCATTCTGCAACTCAGCCAATCCCTGGGCCCCTCCTTGTGACAGAGAAATTTAAGACTCCCATCCTCCAAATGGTGATGTGAATCAAGAGATGGCAGAACTTACAGTCTTGCTTATGTGGGCATTGAACGAGACATTGCTTGGATGTTGCCTAAAACATCAGTTCTACCTTCAAGTGGCAAGAAAACATAGCACTTGGTACCATCTATCTCGAAAAATTAAGACATTTAAACAGGTCATCTGATGGATTTCCAAGTTGGATTCATGTTTTTAATTTCCTGCTGTCAAAATAGAGGGATGTTTCCCTCTACCCATTAACCATTTTTAATAAAAGCTTGAAAACATGATGGAACATACACAGGGTGCGGCAGTCACTAGTGACACTTTGTAGAAGCTCACTTACAGAATGAGTTTCTTTGTGGCTCTTGTCAACCCAAATAAAGATTTGCGTCAAAAACTGTCCCTTCTTGGTATCTATGTTAAGAGTAAAGCTTAGCATATCTAATGCTACCCTTTCGCTCTAAGTTTAATGAAATAACCATTTAGGTGAGGGGAGTGGCCTTAGAAATTTGGGCTAAATCAATGGTTCCTTGGCAGATCGCTGAGTAATTTGTGGTTATCAATGGAAACATTTTGTTTGTTAGAGAATGTCACATTGTCAATATTCTATGTCTCTTTGAAAGTGAATTTGAAGGGTTCTGCCATTTTCCTGATTCACTCCAAAGCCAGAACCTAAACTCTATTTCAGAGAGCAGGAAGGCCCCAACCATTGGGCCCCAACATCCTGGCAGAAGAGAATGTTGTCTCTCAGGCCAGCACATGTCTAATCAAGACACGGTTCCTATTGGCCCCCCACATTCCCGTCAGTTTCCAAATTGTTGCACTAAAATGGGGCTTGGGATAGAGGCAACATCCTTACAGCAGATCAGTGTGGGAGCTGGGACTGGCACTGCTGAGGAGAATATATTGATTCTTCTGTCTACTTTAAATCCACACACTTTAAGTACCATTCACACCCCTAATGCTGCTCCTTGGAAATTATTCTGAAGGAAAAAAAAAATGCATTGCCTTTTTTTCTCAAGGGTAAAGGGAGAGGCAGTTGAAACACAAATATTAAATGGGAATTTGTCTGCCACTCTACGTTTTTTGTTTTTTGGGATTTTTTGGTTTTTGTTTTTACTTTAAGTTCTGGGATACTTGTGCAGAACATGCAGCTTTGTTACATAGGTATACATGTGCCATGGTGGTTTGTTGCGCCCATCAACCTGTCATCTAGGTTTTAAGCCCCGCATGCATTAAGTATTTGTCCTAATGCAATCCATGGAAATGGACACACATATCAAATTCCACTGCCTCAAACCCCAAATGACTAAGTGCTGGAATGCCACGACATCCCAAACTGCTTGAAATAAATGGGCCATCAGCTGAGGTTAGAGAAACCTTTTTTTTAATTATACAGCAAAACGTCTCAAAAAATATGTTTGATCCAGAGTGGTGGATCATAGCAAAAGCACATTGAATGAATATGTTCATGTCCCTGTCACTATTTAACTTAGCGGGGCCTGCCTGCAGGGTCTAAGGAGTTCTAACGGCTGTGCTTTCCTGTGAGCACAGGTGCGCGGTTACTCACACAGATTCCACCCCTGCCGAGTGGCCTCCAACCATGTCTCACTATATCCCACTGTCATATCCAAAATCAGATTTTGGATTTGCCAAAAACTGAGCAAAGCTAGAACAGAGACCGTAATCACTGAGCAGTGGCTGAAGATGTTCCTGGAAACCATTCTAGCCAGAAGCCAAACTGTGAATCAGGAAGATACGGGACACCTCAGAGGAACTCCTTAGAAGTCGGTCTCAGCTGATGCTCCCATTCAATAGGTGTCAATAGTTCCCACCTTCCAACAAGAGCTGCCAGAGCTCTGAGCAGGCTGTGCCAAGCAGGCTGGGAGGGTGTCAAAATGCCCAGCACTTCACCCTCATTGAAGATAAATCATCAGAAAGTTAAGATTTGGGAGCATCACAGCCCCCAATAAGGGAGGGGAGGGAGATGTCTCTCACTTCCAGTCTAGTAAATGAAGACCCTGTGGGAATCCTTAGAGGTCCTGACAGAGGCCCCCCTACACCTGAGCCTAGGGGTGCCAGGAAATTGTTGTCCTAGCCATACCTGGCCATCTGCCCTTGCAGTGGCTTCAGGGGTTGGAAACCCTGCACTCTCAGCCCCACACAATTCAATTATCTGTCTCTGTCCTTATTCCTCAAAGGTGTGACCTAAGCTTGCTTAGCTTGGAATTGAAAAAGTAACCTGGGCCAGGTACGGTGGCTCATGCCTGTAATCCCAGCACTTTAGGAGGCTGAGGCAGGTGGATCACGAGGTTGGGAGTTCAAGACCAGCCTGGCCAAGATGGTGAAACCTTGGTCTCTTCTAAAAATACCAAACTTAGCCGGGTATGGTGGCAGATGCCTGCAATCCCAGCTACTCAGGAGACTGAGGAAGAGAATTGCTTGATCCCGGTAGGAAGCAGAGGTTGCAGTGAGCCAAGATCACGCCACTGCACTCCAGCCTGGGCAACAGAGCAAGACTCTATCTCAAAAAAAAAAAAAAAAGAAAAGAAAAAAGAAGTAACCTGAAGTATCACCCATTAATATGTTACTTTGATGTACGAATATTTATGTCCAATTTCTGTTTGGAAAAGGAGGGGCTTTGTGGAATTTTTAAAATTCACATTTGTGCCCTGGCTGTGGCCATAGATATTCACTGAGCCAGGTGTCATGGTTGGTAGCTGTGGCACCATGCCGAAATTTCAAGAAAATACTCTTAGGCCTTTGGAAAATTGAAAAATCCTGAGGTTTCCTAAGACTGTCACAGCTGAGACCTTTTATCCCAGCAATGCCCATTACAAATGCAAGCATGCAGCTCCACAGTAGACATTGGCTGGAGGTGAAAATCTACCCCACAGAGCACCCCATCATTTCAATGCAAACAGACAGTTTATTGCAAGTCTTATGGTAGGCAGTCCTTGAATGATTTTAATTAACTTTTTATGTATCATTGACAAGTCCTTGAAGCTTTATAAACTTCAATACAGATTCAAGGAGGAATCGTTATTGTCAGGTTCATGCTATAGAGTAGAAAGCCTTGAATGTAAAAATAATTACATGGAAAATGATAAACCTTTGAACATTGAGTAGTTCATAATGATGACATGAAGAAGCATAGTCACTGGTAATTTATCAAATATATAGATATTTTGAAATAATTATATCATATGTCAATCAAACAATTTCAATCAAACAATTTTAATTGCATAATCTTATACTGAGAAAGAAAGGATTTTTATAAGGATAATCTGTAGTTTATTGCAGAGGGATAAGAGTATTTCTATTTTTTGAAATAATTTATCTAAAATTAAATTCCCTACGAATGCAGGAGTGGGGGTCATTAATGGAGAATCTGTGAGTTGGTGTCTTGGCCATGTGAGACCCAACTTTTGACTCTGCCTGAGACCCAAGCCATCTAGTTGACAGGGAGACACTACTGCTTCCCTGATAGGAAGCAATGGTGTGGGTGAAAGTCCCAGCCCACCACGTCCCTTGCACTCATCTCCCAATACTTCATGTGTTAAGAGACTAACCCTTTTCTTTCACGGTGGGCCATGAGTTTCAACATAAACATAGCCCGGCATGACATGTCATTTGTCTGATACTCAGTGGTAATTGGTTTCTTCTCACCAATAGATTGTTAATTCTTGGCAGGAATGAATGGAGAGAGGAAGGAAGAGAGAGAAGATAGAAATTTACTGAGTGCCTAGTATGTATTAAGAATGAGGACTGTGGTTAGATAGATGGACAGATAAGTCATGCCGTGAATGTTCGACCTGAACTGTAACTCTCCTCTATTGGGAGGCTCTGATAACAAAGAGACAGGATGAGAACAGTGAGCCCCTTAAAAGGTCAGAGGAAAACAAGATGGAAACCACTGAAAGGGGGAAGTAAGAAGAAAAAGAAAATATACTTTGCTTATGAATTTGCTTCCAAGTGACACTTCTTTATCCATTCCATCAGACTTTTTAGTATGTATGGATTTTGAAGTGATTGCAGAGCAATTAGTCAAAATTTCATCTCACTAAGTATGGTGGAGGGTGGAGAGCACCATTTTCTTCATTACTAGGGCTCTGTCCACCAGAAAGTGACTGCTTTTGAAAAGCTGTAGACTCTGCAAGCTTTCCTGTAATGGGACTTCTCATTTCCTCCTGCACTTCAATAGATAGAGGAACAGAGAGAATAGAGATATATTATACATATACATACATCATTCAGATATCCATTGATTTATATCACCTTTGATTTATCACCAACGATATATGGTGATTTATATCACCAATGATATATGCACCTTTGGTGTATATCTACAATACATATATCTAAATGTATCTCTACTACAATAGAATTATATTCATGAAACATATTCAAACCTGTTCCATTTGACTGCCATCATCCCCTCTTTGGATGTGATACTTCAGCCAACACTTTCATCATGTCCTTGTGTCTAGTAAGTTTTTCAAAATAGTACAACTAAGAGAAAAATATTAATACTTACTAGGCACCTAAGTCTGGGTTCCAACCAACCATCATGGAAGACATGTCTCATAAGTGAATAATCTCTGGTGCCTTATCTGGCATCTGCACCCCTCTCCCCCACCCCTTGGGTCATTGAGTCCGATATCACAGAATAAGCCTGGCCAACAGTGGGTTGTGTCACACATCCCATTAAGCTGAAAAACGAAGGTTAGGCTCACTAGGAAAAGCCCTGGACTTGTGTCCAGAGCCCTTTCACTCATGCCCTGTCCCTCCTGCTCATTAGCTGTGTCCTTGACTGACTGATCTGATTTCCCTGGACCTCATATTCTTTATCTGATGAGATTCCTGCCTGGCTAGGTTTCAATGATTATTAAATTAGATGATAAAAAAAAACATAGCATAGAATCTAGAATGTAGTAGATTTTTTAAAAAAAAAATGCTTTTAAAATACGGGTGTATCTCTAGTACTCAAGAGGTTCCATTTGCCTGTAAAATGACAGATGGTTCAAACATCTAAAAATGTCAAGTTAGAAAAAGTGCTTACTAATAAGGAATTAGCAGGTAATGCTTCTTTTTTAGGTTGAATTTGAATGAGATGAGCTGGGAATCCCATCACATATAATTCAAATATGTTAGAACAGTTTTGCTCTAAAATTATCCTTATAAGAGAAAAATAAAGAAGAAGAAACACCTGTCTGCCAAGCTCTTTAAAAATCAGCTATAGAAATAGAGAGTTCTCTATTTCTCATTCATGTGTTTTATGCCTAAAACAGGTCAGATAAGAAGGACACCTTCCATCTCAGATGGTAGGACTCAGTGAACAAAAACACTTTAAATCATCCACAGTTATTGAATATGCTATTGGTAGAACAAAGAAACCATTCCATCATCTGGCACTTGTTTATCTAGCAACTTTATCCATCTAGACTCTAGAATACAACTAAGAACTCCAAACTGAGGGGAGAAATGCAATCACAGAAGATGCCACAATGCCCGTGCAGTCCATCCCAGCATCTAAGACCGATGCTGGAAGCTAAGCAGAGGTGTGTCCTTTTTATTTATTGTTTTTCTAATAAGAAATCCTAACAAGCTCAGAGCTGACTGGTCTCCCAGACCAGAGGAGACCAAAGCAGCAAATAAAGGGAGGAGATGGATTTGCTATAAAACAGGCACATTGAGAGCAACAAGAGGCAAGTCTGACAGTGAATGGAAAAAAAGCCCAGAGCTATAAATCAAAGAAAAAAAGCCCAAACACGTCACTGTCTGGAATCCTTTATGAGAAAAGCCAATGTTTCTACCCACCTTACAATCTCCTGAGGCCAGGTCTGCATTGAAGGACAGAACAGTAGCTGATGTTTCAGCAAGATGGCACGGAGACATGAAGAAAAAGCTTAAATTATACCCAGTGCCGTCTGCTTGTGAAGAAAGGGAAGCGGCTGCCACAGTTTAGAAAGATTTCTGGCCTGGAATTGGGAAGTGTTTGCTTGCTTGCATGACAACTGAAAAGTGGTGAGTCTGGGTCAGCTGGAGCACTCATCCTGCGGCCTGTAACCCCGCGTTGCTGAGATACCGGCTGGGACGCTACCCTTAGCCTTTCTCCCTTCCAGCAGCCAATTTTCCAGGCCCAAGAGGCCCAGGTTAAGAGGCGCCTGTCATGCAGTTTTAACCCAAGCCAGCCACTGAAATGCCTCCAAGGGCCTGGGGCCTTTGGATCAAGTGCTGGGAGTGATCAGAACCCTCAGGGCCCTCCCTGATACCATCATGAATCACTTAACCACTCTGGGCCTCACTTTCCTCAGAAATTAGCTTCGTTCAGCAGAATGTGTATTGCAAGTCTGAATTTGCCTGCCTTTAAGAAGAGTGCTCTCTGGGTTTTGTCCCAGCCCACCCCACCTCTGCCCACCCTCCATTTTTTCAACCCCTGCCTTCCTTCCTGTCAAGCCTACATCCTGACACCTGCTGCATGTGAATTTGAGGCCATGACCAAATAAATGCACAGGTCCCTGTCTCCACCCGTGTCCCGATTAAGACTTCACACAGAGGCTGGGCGCGGTGGCTCACGCCTGTAATCCCAGCACTTTGGGAGGCCAGGGTGGGCAGATCACCTGAGGTCAGGAGTTCAAGACCAGCCTGGCCAACATGCTGAAACCCCGTCTCTACAAAAATACAAAAATTAGCCAGGCATGATGGTGGGTGCCTGTAATCCCAGCTACTCAGGAGGCTGAGACAGGAGAATCACTTGAACCCAGGAGGCGGAGATTGCAGTGAGCCGAGATCGCACCACTGCACTCCAGCCTGGGCAACAGAGCAAGACTCCATCTCCAAAAAAAAAAAAAAAAAAAAAAAAGACTTCACCCGGGAGAGTGAATGCGTGGAGGTTGCAAACTATAAACACCAACTTCAACACATATTTTTTCAATCATAGGCATTCTCTCCTTCCCAGACACTAGCTTCCTCCACCTTCACAGCCAGTTGGACTGGAGTGATGAGTCTCCCTCCATCTGCTTCAGTCTAAAGAAATTAGATTTCACCTGTCCCCCTCCTCAACCGGGTATCAAGAGAGCACGTATGAGTACCCCACAGCAAATCCTTCTTTGTCCACAGAGAAGGATTAATCTTCTGTTCCTCATTTTTTAAATTTTAATTTGGGTGTTTTTACATTAAAAGTAATGCTTGCACAGGATAAGACATTCAAATGGTATAAAGGATAGATAATGAAAAATACATCCCTTTCCATCCTCTGTTCTGCAGTCCCTCTGCTTGGATAGAAGCCGTGCTCACTGTCACTTGGGTGCCTTTCTGGAAACGTTCTATGCCTCTTCAGGTATATTGTAACATGTATTCATACATATTCCTATTGTGTTACACAAATGGAAGTGGATGATTTTGTATATGGTCAACTGCTTTTTATTAATTTAACATATACCACAAATCTTTATTAACACATTAACTTGTTCTTTTTAAATTGCAAAATAATACTTTATTTGATGGACATACGATCATTTCTATAACTAGTGCTCTAGAGAATATTATAGACAGCTTTCTACTTTTTTTGTTACAAATAACAGTGCAGTAAACCTCTGATATCCATAGGATAGATTTTTTTTTTTTTTTTTTTTTTTTTTTGGAGACAGAGTCTCACTCTGTCGCCCAGGCTGGAGTGCAGTGGCTCAATCTCGGCTCACTGCAAAGCTCCGTATCCTGGGTTCACGCCATTCTCCTGCCTCAGCCTCCCCAGCAGCTGGGACTACAGGCATACGCGCCACGCCCGGCTAATTTTTTGTATTTTTAGTAGAGGCGGGGTTTCACCATGTTAGCCAGGATGTTCTCAATCTCCTGAACTTGTGATCCGCCCGCCTTGGCCTCCCAAAGTGCTGGGATTACAGGCGTGACCCACTGCACCCGGCCAGGATAGATTCTTAGAAGTGAGATTGATGGGATAAAAGAGGATATGCATATTTTGCTTTTAAAGATATTGCCAAATTGCCCTCCTACAAAGGATCATTTGATTTCCAATCCTACCTCCAGAGACAGGCACGCCTTTGTCTACCTATTTTCATCCACACTGGGTAGAAACAACTCATTGATCTTTGCCAGTAGGATAAGTGAAAACGGGTGTCATTCGTGTTTTCTAGCATGTAGTTGGGCATCTTTCAATATATTTACTGGTGTTTCCTTTTCTTCTCTTTGCCCATTTCCTAATTGATTTTTTCTTTTTTCTAGTTGATTTGTAATGGCTGGCTTTATATAAAGGAAATGACTCCCTTGTCAGTTTTATGTTTTGCAGATATCTTTCATAGTCTGTCATTTGTCTTATTGATTTTTTTGTTAATGGTATTTTACCTGCAAAATATATTTATTTTATGTAGTGAAAGTTATTGACATGTTTCTTTCTGCCATCTCAGTTTTATGTTATACTTGGAAAGGCCTTCTCTATTCCTATAAAATTCACATAAAGTCATTCTCCCTTGTTTTCTCATAGTGCTTTCAACAGTTTAATTTTTAGACTGAGATCTTTGACCCCGCTGACTCGGCTGGGCAGCCAGCTTGCATTGTTTGCTGGAAGACCAGCCGATGTCCTAACACTTTTCACCGAATAATCTGGCTTTCCTCCATGGACTTAAGTGGTCTTCAGCTTTGTACTTCCTGATTTTATCCCACCCACTTTAGCAAAAGAAAACAATGGTTTCCAAATAATATTCCTAACCTTAGGCTAGGGTAACTGTTTCAAATACCAGTCTGAGTTCCCCTAACCTTCCTATGCTAACATAACACTTCACAATTACTGTTTGTGTTCCCCAAAATTCATATGGTAAAGTCCTAACCCTTAGTACCTAAGAATATGATCTTATTGGGAAATAGGCCCATTGCAGATGTAATTAGTTAAGTTAGATGAGGTCCTACTGGAGAAGAGCAGACCATAGTCCGATGTGGCTGGTGTCCTCATAAAAAAAAAAAATGGAGTGGAAATTTGGACACAGACATGTGCACGGGGAGAAGGCCGTGTGAAGATGACATCAGAAGTCAGGGTGATGCAACAAGAGCCAAAGATCGCCAGCAACTACCATAACCCGGGGGAGAGGCCTGGACCAGACCTCCCTTCACAGCCTCAGGAGGAACCAACCCTGCCAACACCTGGATCTCAGCTTCCAGCCTCCAGAACTGTGAGACCATACATTTCTGTCATTCAAGCCACCTGTTTGTGATACTTCGTTATGACAGCCCAAGGAGACTCAGACAACAATTATAGGGCAGTTTGATCATTTCTTGTTTATTACTAGAGACCAGTTCAGTTGTTGTTGGAGTAGGTGTGACACAGAACATCTTTCCTCTGTTTAGGGCAGGCTCACCAAACGTGGTCACTGTGCCTCTCAGACCATCAGAAAGATTCATGCCTGGCCTCCTGCCCACTCAGCCAGTGCAGTAGGCATGACGAGAAGCCAGCTCACCCCCGCTGCAGAAGGGATCCTTTCTCCCTCTGCCACTTCACATAATTGCTCCTTCCCCTGGGACGCACCAAGAAAGAAGCCTGGCCCCAGGTCCAGACCCCAGCTCTGTGGGGCCACTTCAGGCTCCCCACACCGGAACTCTGTGCATCTCACTCCCTTGGGGTTGGCTTCTGTCCTGTCTTCCTTTCTACCTCCCTGCCAGGCTTTGGTCTTTCCTACCCTTTTCATGCAAACGAACAAACAAATATGTTAAGCAGGGAAAACAGACCATTCTGGCCCTTAAAGAGACAGTGCACCTAGAGGTCCTCAGCAGAGAAGTGTTATCTGCAATGCGCAAATAAAAACTAAAGAAGCCAGTGGGCTTAAAGAAGGAAGAGAGGGTAGAGAAGACAGAGGAGGAGGAGGGGAGAAGGGAGGAACAAGATGATCACTCCAGGAAACCCTGAGGAAGGATTTATTCAAGCTGCTCTCTTTAAATGCTGTTTTTAAAAAAGCAAGAACCTGGAAAATCCCTCCAGAAAGGGGGGCTTCTTCCCTGCTGCCTCTTGCTGGTAACCAGGGCCATTTCTGTCACGGGGGAAGCCACATTTGCAACACTGGCTCCTTTTTCTGCAAATAGGATTTTTCTTTCAGGCTTGCTTTGTGCTTATGTGTGAATTTTTGGTGATGTCTTGTAGCCAATTTCCTCCCTCTGGGAATACATAGCTGAAGAAATTATAATGTAAATCAGGATGGTAATATGATTCAGAGGACATATTTTTCCAGGAATGCTTCCCTCGCTTGACGCCAGAGACTGAGAAACAGTATGGAAGCAAGCTGGATTTACTTGGGAAAACAAAGGCTGGCTTGAATGTTCCAGCTCTGATTTGGCCGAAGCGCGGTTCCCCACTAACTGGCAGGGCTGAGCCCGCTGCTCCCTGAAGCAGCCCTGTGTTCCTTCCCCATCACTCCTGATCTAGTGGAGGCCACTGGATTTGCAGAACTTCCCAATAGGCTGCAGGGACAGATGGCCCAGGGATGAGCAGCAGGACCCAGAATTGGCCCCACCCCAAGGAACACCCCTGGGCGGACAGAGGACCACTCTGCTCACTGCTTAAGCACCAACCCATCTGTAGTGAGTTGACTGGTGACCACTAAAAAGATATGTCCACATCCTAGGCCCCAGTACCGATGAATGGGGCCTTATAGGAAAAACGGTCTTTTTCCTATAAGGATGTAATTAGGTTAGGGGTCTCAAGATGAGATCATCCTGGATTATCCTGGTGGCCCCTAAATCCAATGACAATTGCCCTTATAAGAGACACACAGAAGAAGGTCACGTGAAGATGGAGGCAGAGACTGGAGTGATGCAGCCACCAGCAAAGGAATGCCTGGGGCCACCACGTTACACTTGGAAAGGCCTCCTCTATTCCTATAAAACCAATATAAAATAATGCTCCCTTGTTTTCTTGTAGTGCTTTCAATAGTTTAATTTTTAGACTGAGCTCTTTGACCCTGCTGGCTCGGCTGGGCAGTCAGCTTGCATTTTGTTCCAAATGACCAGCCTACGTGCTAACACTACTCCCTGAGAAGCCAGAAGAAGCAAGAAAGGACCTTCCTCTAGAGGCTTCAGAGTATGCACAGCCCTGAGGACACCCTGATTTCAGACTTCTGGCCTCCAGAAATGGGAAGGAATGATTTTTTATTGTTCTAAGCCTCCAAGTTTGTGGTAATTTGTTACTGCGGCTGCAGGAAACTAATCCACCATCCTTGCGAGCCACCCCTCCCCTTCTATTGTCTACCTGGTGACCACCTGAACAAATAACATTTGTGGAATGAAAGAAGCAACAGGACAGTAATGTGATGGGCCAAGGCCAGTCCCCAGTGTATGCACAAGACAGACTTCTTTCCCCTTAATGAAGAAATAGGGCAGCTGGTGTTCATCCCATTCAGCAACCAACTGAGACCAGCATCACACACCCTGACCTCAAATTACACAGGAGCTCCATGGGTGAGTGGTCTCACTGAACCAAGGTTACTACTCAGAGGTATGACCTTCTAGAAAATGTGATTTGGGTCGCTCCCTCTACTCCTCTCTTCGTCCTCTCTCCCGCTCTCTTTCTGGTTGAGTCACTAGCAAATTTCACCAGCCACATGTGTACTCAGCGACAAAAGGTTGAATGAATAGAAAGATTTTTAAAGTCACTCATGTTTTACCTTTTAGCGTGAAAGAAAAGTTATGAAGAATCTGACTCAGTACAGAAATTTCTAAGAAGCAACTCCCTCAAGACAGATCCGAGTGAAACCAACAAGCATGTGCATACACCTGTCAGAAGCACTTCATCAAATTACAGGTTTATGTTCAGCCCAGGACAATGTGAGAGCCAGTGTTAAATTCCCCAACAGGCAACTGTCACTCTTCTTTTAGACCAAAACCAACATAAGAGCTGTCCAGAGAAGAAAAAGAGAAGAGCACATCAGAGGAACTTGGCAAGTTATCAGATTACCACGACTATTTCTAGATCATCTTTCATTATCCCTGCCTACACCTTGGGAATTCCTCCCCTAATTTGAGAGTTTCAAGTTGTCAGCATCAATTGGCAAATGCCAAGTAAGGCAACACACAAGAATTCTCAGCCCCTGAAGAGAATTAGAGAGAAAAGAGGAACCCTACACCTTGGCATTGTTATTTCTGACTAGGGTCGTGAGAACCGAACCTTTTTTATTCTTTGACATCTAATGGACAGGTTCCTTGAGATTAGTTAGAAATCTTCCATTCAGTTCTAGAGATAATAGCGACATTCACAACCAACATGATCCTCAGGCCCAGTGTCCTTGATGGGAACCTCTGCAGAGCTACTGAGCGCTGTCCCTTGGGAGAATGGACTGTCCTGGCGAGCAGCTAGATACTGGGTTCATGGGTTAAAGAAGCGCCAGGAGGGTGTCACAGTGATGGTGGCTGCATTCTATACAGTGTGTATGTAGTCTGGGTTCTCCAGAGAAATATAATCAATAGGATGGATGAAGAGATAGAAAGAGAGAGATATACATCTGTCTATGCAGATACAAATATACATGATTTATTACAAGCATTGGCTCACACAGTTATGGAGGCTCAGAATTCCCAAGACCTGCAGTTTCCTGGAGACCCAGGAAAGCTAATGATGTAGTCCTAGTCCAAGTCCAAGTCCAAAAGGAAGAGAAGACCAGTGTCCCAGCTGTAGTACAGTCAGGCAAAGGGAGCAGATTCTCTTTTACTTTGCCTTTTTGTTCTGTTCAGGGCTTCAGCAGATTGAATAAGGGCAATCAGTTTTATTCAGTCTATTGATTCAAATGCTAATCTCATCCAGAACCACTCTCACGGAAGTATCTAGAAGGTTGTTTAACCAAATATCTGGGTGCCCCATGCCCAGTCGAGTTGATATATAAAATTAACCGTCATAGTCTGGATACCCAGGAATTTGACAGCAGCCACGTGCAGCCGAGAGTTCGTTGGTCAACTGTTCTGTGAGCTCGAGGAGTGAAGATCCTTGGATACTGGCTCAGTCTCAGGGAGGGCTGGGGGAGAAACATAATGCTGGGTCTTGCCCAACATTTCACTCTGAATTGTCTCGAGAGGGCTTTCTTCCTCAGGAATTTCTGCACTGAGATGGAACTTTACAACCTTTTTTCACTCCAAAAGGTAAAAAATGAGTAAATAATATAGTTGAAAACAAGCTGTTGTTCATATATACTCCTAGCCAGTAGAGGAAACCAGTTGAGAGAGAATGAGTGGGATCTATAAATCTCACTTTTGTATCAGAGAGACAGGAAAAAAGGCATGATTTGCTCTATGCCATTGATATACATACAAATATCTGGCTCTTGTCAAATAAGAATTTTAATTAAAATGGTCACAATGGTATCCAGCCCTTCTGCTGACATAGGGAATCCCTGAGCACCAGTGACCATGGATACTCTCAGTTGTTTCAAAAATGAATAACGAAGATGTTTGGTAAAGCTCTTCCAGGTTAATGTTGAAGATTTTTCCAACCATGTCTAGAAAGGCGACAGTATGTGATACACCAATTCATACAAAAGGTGGCCCTGAGGATTTAGAGAGATAAACAGAGTGCCAGGCTGAGTGTAATCCCTACCATACAGAAGGCCCCCTCGGTGAAGGTCAGTCAAACTTCCACTGGCCAATGAACACACTAACCCTTGGGCTGAGCTTGGATTGACAGTACATGACAAATGGTTAAGACTAGTGTTGATTTCCACCTTTCCTTCATTCAGCAAGCACTCTATTTCTTCCCTGTTCTTTCTGTGTTTGCCTGAGATCATGCAATTATCAATAACAGTAGTTATAACTAACATTCATTGAGTATTTACTGCATGCCAGCCCTGTTCTAAGTGTTTCACACGTATTAACTCACAAAATCCTTACTGCTCCTCTATAATGTAGATTCTGTTATTACCACCCTAATTATATGAGTAAGGAAACAGAGGCACAGGAGAGTGAATTAACTTGTCCAAGGGCACATAGCTTTTGTATTAGTTATCTCTTGCTGTACAATTTACCCCAAAACTTAGTGGCTGAAAACAACCAACACTTATTGTCTCACAGCTTCTGTAGATCTAGAATTCAGGAGCTACTTAGCTGAGTACTTATGAGGTTGCAATCAAGATGTTGGCTGGGGCTGCAGTCATCTGAAGGCTTGACTGGGGCTGGAGGATCCACTTCCAAGATGATACACTAATATGGCTGTTGACAGGAGGCCTCAGTTCCTTGCTACGTGGACATCTCTATAAGTTGCTTGGTGTCCTCACAACATGATAGCTAATTTTCCCCAAAGCAAACAATTCCAGAGAGAAAGAGAAAACCCACAGCACCCTTTAGACTTAGTCTCTAAAGTTACACACCATCACTTCCACTTTATTTAACAGAAATGAGTTACTAAATCCAGCCAACATGTAAGGGGAAGGAACGTAGGCTCCATCTCTTGAAGAGGGAGCATCAAATATTTTGTGCCTGTGTTTTAAACCATGTAAGCAGTAGAGCTGGGATTTGGCCCCCTCAGACTGGCTCCAACAGCTACATGCTTCACCACTACAGTAGGTGCTCCCTGAGTTTACGTGGGTCTCTCAGCCACATGTACAAAGCTCTGTAGTCTTTTCTATTTATTTATCCACCCATCTATCCATTCATTCATCTACCTGTCCATTCATCCATCTGTCCACCCATCCAGTCATCCATCCATCCACCCACCCATACATTCATCAATCCATTCATCAATGGGTTATTGCTCAGTGCAGGTAGTCCTCTCCTCCAGGCTCCTTCCCTCAGAGCTGCAGGTCCAGGCACCACTGCCTATCATGGAGGCTTTCTGGGTATTTCTGGGAATTATGCAAGAAGCCTATGACCCCAGAAAAGAGTTTTCAAACCAATCAGTTAAGACACTTAGGAGAGCATCCCCACCTCTCTATACAATCCCAGAAGTTTCTCTCTAAAACAGCACCGACCATAACATTCATGGATAACTCCTATTGTCTACAGGATTACAGGATAACATGCAAATTCCTTGGACATCATTGAAGTCCTTTTACAATGCTACCTTACCTGACCAGTATCATCTCATGTCCCCATCTTCACTTCAGCAGCCCAACGAATCACTCACTAGCTGTCGCTTCTAGATAATTACTGACCCCACTGCCCTGCATTTATCCTTCAAGGCTCTCCTAATAGGTCCCATCCTCTTTGAAATCTTCTCTGACACCACCACCCGCCAAGTTAGCCGGCTTCTGTTTGGCCCCATAGGGCCTTTGTGCATAACACTCAAATGCATTTAACACTTTGTTTTGTGAATTTCTAGCCTTCCACTAGAGAAATATCTCTGTGACAGTAAGAACTTTTGTAGGGCTAGGCAAAGAGCAGCAATTCCAAATGCTTGCCTTTGCCAATGAATGAATTAATGGATGGATGAATGGATTGTTGGCTGGCTGTATGAATGAGTGAACAGAAGGGTGTGTTGATGAATGGGTTGATGAATGGGTGAATGAGTGAACTGATGGATGACTGAAATGACTGGATGGGTGGGTGGATAGGTGGGTGGATGGATGGATGGATGGACAAATGGTTTGGTGTGTGGGTGGGTATATGGGTGAGGAAGTGGATGGATGGATGGATTGAATGAATGGATAAATGGATGGAGAGAAACAGTTTCTGATCTCTTGGAGCTTATGCAATAGTCAAACAAAAATAATTTTAACACATACTTTGAAGAAATTTGCTAAAGAAAAATGTTATGGAAAACAGCCCCATCATGATGAACTCATATGAAACATAAAGCATAAATTTCAAATACAAACAACAACAAAAAGGGAGGAAGAAGAAAGAAAGGGAAAGGAGAAGAAAGGAAAGGTCAAATAAAAGCACTCGTTAGTATTTCTGCAAACCCAAGGATTTGGTACTCCTGGCAAAGCAGGGCTATTTGGAGGTGTTTTTATTGGTTTTCCCCAAAAAACTGAAAATAAATTCTTTTGGCCAAGTTGATCTCTGGATGGAACACAGGGAGCTGCACATATGTGGCAGGATCAGAGCAGGTGAGGGCTGCCTACCAGGAACTGAGCTGTTGCCATGGAAAAGCCATCTCCCAGGCTGTGTACCGGAGTCCTCTCCCTCCCCATCCCCAGGCTGTCACACTGCAGCAGACTAGCTGGAGCTTGTCTCAAGCCACAGGAGGGACCAGTCCTGCAGTCCAAGGCCAGCAGAGTGGTGGGCACTGCCAGCATCGTGGCACCTGGGGAGAGGAACTGGAACCAATTATCGATTTCTGCCACTGGACAGTTAGACTCCTGAGTGCAACGTCAGCCTGACCAGGAGCCCTCTTCCTAGTCAACTGGGACCAGCACTGTAGTCACTCCTAATAAGGTCTCAGGTCCCAATGGGGACTGGTGGAGGTGGGGAAGGGGACATAGAGCTATTGGCACTAGAAATCTCCACCAGTGCCTGCAGAGCCTGCTGCTTTCTCTCGTGGTTCCTCAACCTCAGCACTATTGGCATTTGGAGCCAGGTCACTCTCTGTTGCAGGGGCCATCCTGCGCCTTGCAAGCTGTGTGCAGCATTCCTGGCCTCTACCTCTAAGTGCCAGTAGCACCCCCTCCAGTTTGACAATCAAAAATGTCTCCAGACATGGCTGCTGTCCCCACTTGGGCCAACACAACCCTGCTGAGAACACAGCTCTGGCTGGTGCCTTGCTTTCCCCTGGTTTTGCTCATCCACTTGCTACCTCCCCAAGCTGGCCCTGTGCACAGCCAGAAGTGGATGGAGTTTGTCTTTGAGCACAGCCCCCAGGCCAATGCCAGCTGCCCTGCACCTCATACGCCCACCCACAGGCCTCAGCACTCCCTGGTGTCCCTTCCACAAGGCACTGGGCTGTCCACTTCATTGCTTCACCCAACATAGATCCATCAGGTGCCTGGTGTTGGCTGGCGGCAGAGTTCAGTGGTGAGCAAAGTGCAGGGCCTCCCTCCTGCACTAATAGATGGAGCTTAGGGCCTACCTGGCCTGCCCGGCCTGTCCTACCATGTGCTTCTGGAGGTCACGGGACTCACACCTGGCCCATGCCAGGACCACCTCCTGGAGAAAGGACCCCTGTACCCTTCCTCTCCACCGCTGACCCAAAGGTCAGTCCCCAAGCCACAGACTTGCCACCTCCCTTTCTGCACTCAGACGTGCCCTGTGCCAAAGGTCAGTCCCCACGCCATGGGCCTGCCCATCTCCCTTTCCGCACTCAGCCCTGCCCTCCGCCAGCACTCCTGCAGTTCTGTGGTGCCCACGAATCTCCCACGGACCCTGTTAAAATGCAGGCTCAGATTCAGGAGGTCTGGGTTCTGCATTTGCAACCTGCTGGCAAGGGTGCAGGTATTGCTGGTCCAGAGCTCACATGAGGACAGAGGAGCCAAGCCACAGTTAGAGAAGCTGACAAGCGCAGCAGGGTCGGCGCACCCCACCCCCACCCCCACCCCCACCCCCGCTATTGACATGGGTTGGGGTCAGGGGTCTGGCTTGCCGTTAAGGTAACTCTAGCATAGGAATTTGGGAGTCAATGTAACAGTGATGGACTGTTTAGGGGTGGACCTCCAAATTCTTCTTTTGGTGTAAGAGTCTATAAGAGCCTGCTTGCTGGTTTGAAATTGCTTCCAGGAGCAGCGAAAGCCCCTAGTGACTACCTGCGGAGTCCGAATCAGGAGGTCAGCCCTTTTATGGCCACACGGCCTCTCCTGGGGCCGGAGAATTCCGCTCAGGGCAGGGCGATGCGGCGGCGCCCAGGGACTGGGTGTCATCGCAGCAGCTCCTCCCAGGGGTGCTGGGGACCGAGGGGCAGAGGCGCAGCCCGAGGGTCCCCGCGATGACAGTGGTGCTCATCCCCAGCGCGGTCAGCGCACCAGAAACCCGCACCGTACCTGCAGCCCTGAAAGACGCAGCGAGCGCGTGCGCCACCTAGCGGTGCGTCGGCTGCCCAGCCCGGCGCAGTTTCTTAAAGCCAATGCAGCCACTCGCGGAAAAATCCCCGCCAACTTGATTCCTTCCTCTCTGAGGTCTCATCTGTGTGGCCTTTACATCTCTGAGACGCAGCCATCATATTAACTCCAGATCCTTAAAGGAAAGACTTTTGGTTTTGCACAGGCCAGTAGTTCAAAACGGAGCCCCTGCTACATTGCCAGACGCTGGGAATATCACATTAAATAAAAGAAAGCTCATGGCTCAAGGGCCCAGTCCAAAGGAGACACTTAGAAAGTGGTGCGAAGGGTGTCGATTGAGTCAAACCCGGAGCAGCAGAGGAGCTCCGAGCAGGACTGCATGAGTCCACCTGGAAGGCTTGGGGACAGGGGCAGTGCAGGGTGGGCTGTCTGGGAAAAGCAGCCCTTACCTCTCCTTAGCCACCCTAAGTGAGTAAGTTGTCCAGATTTCTTTCATTCAATCATTCATTCATTATTCATTCATTCATTTATTCATTCGTCGTTTATTGCCCTCATGCTATGCGCTCTGCAGTGTTCTAGGTAGTCAGGACACAGCATGAGTAAACCAAGCTTACATCCAAGTGAGCAGAGAAAGACTAAACCAGAAAGTAAGCCTGTCGGAGTGAGACGTGCAGAAAGGAAAGGAATCACGGCTCTGGAGGGGGTGAAGTACGTGAGGTATAGGGGAGTCAGGGAAGCTGTCCCTGCAGAGCTAATACTAGATCCATCCTGGGTGAGAGGAGGTGTGAGCCCTGTGGGTATCAGGGAGAGAGTGTTCCAAGCAGAGAGGACCTGCATGCAAAGGCCCTGTGGTGAAAGGAAGCTTGGAGAAGCATCAAGGAGGCCTGACTCGGCGGAGCCAGTGGGTGAGGAGGGGAGTGGGCAGAGAGGAGGCGAGTGAGGTCACAGGCACCAGGCCAGGGAGAGCTTTGTGTGGCTTTTGCTCTGAGAGGGGAGCCCTGGAGGGTGTCGAGCAAAGAGTGGCATGACATTACATGCATTTTGAAAGGATGGCTGTGGTTGGCGTGTGAGCTGTAGATGACCAACTGTCCTCATTTGCTTGGGACTGAGGGATTTCCGGGATGTGGGACATTCAATGCTAAATGTGGGTAAGTCCCAGGCAAACAGAGATTAGTTGGTCACACAATGTGCAGATAGCAGCCAGTAACTGGGG